>NC_000002.12:8797878-9100909 GCF_000001405.40 Homo sapiens | reverse complement strand
CTTCTAGGAGAAGAAATGTTATGATATGCCCAAGTGGACTGAGCCTTTGTCCACCTCCCACCGCGCAGGAGCTGCTGAATCACGCTCCTGGGTCCGAGAGTAACACTGAGAATAACTGAGAGGACAGCGACCAGGGGAGGGCCTTGTGGACAAACTGTGTGGATGCTTGGCTGCAGGTCAGGCGGGACAGCGGAAGTTTCTGTTAATAACACAAGTTGAAACTAGCATGTGAAGATGACGGTGAAGATGAGACGTCCCCTTTCCCAAAGCTCAGAACTATGTAATGCTTGCCACCATCACCCTGCCCCTGGAACTTACCTAGAACCCCAGAGAAAAGAAGACAGGGGAACTCCAATATGACTGAGATTAGTAGTGAATGCCCCAGGAGAGGGAGCTAGTAATATAGAAAAATAAAGTCATATTTTTTGCATAGTTATTTTTATTATTATTTTTTTTGAGACAGGGTCTCATTCTGTTGCCCAGGCTGGAGTGCAGAGGCATGATCATGGCTTACTGCAACCTTGACCTCCTAGGCTCAAGTGATCCTCCCATCTCAGCCTCCCTAGTAGCTGGGACCACAGGTGTGCACCACCATGTCCAGCTAATTTTTTTATTTTTAGTAGAGATGGGGTCTCACTATGTTGTCCAGGCTGGTCTCCAAGTCCTAAGCTCAAGTGATTCTCCCACCTCCCAAAGTGTTGGGATTACAGGCGTAAGCCACCACACCTGGCATGCATATTCATGTTTGATTTCTGAGAGTTGCACCACTTCACAAAATTTTCTTAGCTATAGTTTCAAATCATGTAATCTACAGAGAGGGTCTCTGCAAGGTCCTAAAAGTGCTCTTAGAATGCACACAATTAATTTTAAATGGAAGCCTGAATGCTACATGAAGCGTTTTCAGAGTTAAGAAAGAGGTGTTTCCATTAAGTATGTTTGCCATCTAAAAGTCTTGGTAATGACCTTCTGTATTTCTTTGTGATACTTGCTTCAACCTAACACAATGGTTTTATAATCTAGGACTTTGAGGACTGTGTATTATTACCCTAGATTTTCTTAATTAATGGAAGTATCTTGGAACATTTGCTTCCTCTATAGGAACATCCTTTCTTTTCCTATCCCAAGCCTCTCCCAGGAACCATTGCTGAACTTGTCTTCCCTAGGGAGGGCTAATGACAGAAGATGCCTGCTGGCTGCCCACCGCAATGCCTGGGCCAGTTTCCAGCTGCCGAAGACCCTTCTTCAGCATATTATGTTGGTTGATGTCAATGTCAGGGGAACGGGGCATGTGACAGGAGAACGGTGTAGGGGCAGCCCTGGATCAACCATTAGAGAATCTTGCAAAGATCAAAAACAAACACACAAAAGGAGCCGAATCATTTAAAAGTCTTAGTCACACAAACGAAACCAACCCACAGCAAAGCAACCAAGCCGAACACCAAGGTCAGGAGCACGGCTTGTTGGTTAAAGCAGCTGCAAGTGTGGCTGTCTGTGCTCTGCCTGTGGAGAAGTCACCCACCCACTCTGAATCTGTGTTCTCCCCTTCAAAATGGACACGAATCACATCCTCCTCCTAGTGTGATTACAAGGGTTAAATGAGGAAAGCACTTTGTGTCTAGAATTACTTAAGGGAGGAAGACATTTTGTGTCTAAAACTACTTAAGGATGTAAGGAGAATACCAAGAGCCAGACCAGATTTGTTTTCTGTGATTTTAGGGGTGTTAAGCCCCTTCCCTTCAGGTGTCAGTTAACCCTTTAGAAGTCCCTCTGGGGGGGAGATATTTTGGGGGTAGCCATTCCAACTGCTTTGGAAAATCTGGTCTTCAAGTGTTTCATTTATATGGAAAAGGGGATCTTATTTCTAAATATCTTCAAGCTTCTGGCTTTTGTTCTCATCCATTCATTCAACACACATTCTCTCACCGGTCTGGGACCACGGAGCCTCCATTTGTTAAACTATCCCTGTCCCAGACTCTGAAACCCACTGAGTCCTCAACAAGAGGTGTATAGGGAGGCCCAGGCCAGCCCTGCTCAGTGTCAGCGCCCTTGAAGGGCCAGAGATCTGGCCCACGCTCCAGTCCAGGAGGCCAGCACTGCCCACGCCGGTCGGGAGGTGACTACATACAAATTCTGACCGGCAACATCACGAAGCACAAAGTGGGGACGCCAGGGTCAGCTTTAGAGCCCTCGGCTGTGCTTGGGGCCAGAGCCAAGAAAGCAAAGGACCTACTGCTGGGTGTGGGGAGGAGAGGGAAGGTGCCTGCACTGAGCACAGACCCCCTGGTCAGCTGCAGGTGTGCCATGTGGGAGAGGGTCAGCCTCGCCCAGACACAGAGGTTTGGGGCCCACCCTCAGTGGGGAGTCTTGCAACTGATCCTCCTTTGACCTTGACACTGTACTTCTCCAAGAACTGGCTTGTGATGGTCCTACTGCTCCCCCAAAGGGCTGCCTGTTCGGTCCCTGGGTCCCTCTTTTCCCTGTGCCTTTCCTGATACTGGTGTATGTGCCCAGAAACCTGTCAGCTACCATCGGCCTTATCCCTGTTTGGACAAATTCCCAGGATCCTGGTTTTGTTCTGACTAATGAGACTTATGTCTTGCCCCCTGTGGACAGATTTCCAGGCTTCAGATCCTCTGGTGAGTCCCTGCCTCCTGGACCCACCATCAGGGTTGTCCTGGGCTCACAGTTCCACCATCCCACCGCCCCACGTTTGTGGTTTATTCCTCGCACGCCCCGTTAGTCCCGTGCACAGAGCTCACTGCTCTTGCCCTTTATAACTCTGAACACAACTGTGTATCTGTGCTTATTATTCAGGTCTTTCCTACTAAACCGTCCACTTCCTGAGAACAAGGGCTAATGTCAATTCTCTTTTCTCTACTGTTGATTTCTTAGTGCCTAGTACAAAGAACATTTGTTGAATGAGTGAATGGATAATCATGAGTAAATTAATGTACATCCACCCTTATTTTCTAAAAAGTAATGGTAGGCAGCTTCCTTGCACATCTATTATTTTCCTTGATTGTTGGACAACCAAGGGTTAGAATCCTTTAAAGATGAGAGAATAGAGGCCCAGAGTGTTCATGATTCCACAGGCATAAGGCTACAAGGCATGGACTAGCCATTGTAACCCCTGCAGGCAAGTCTTGGGGGTGGGCAGACACACACACACACACACAAATACACACATCACATATACATATACACATATATATACACATACACACAAATACACACATCACATATACATATACACATATATACACATACACGCAAATACACATACACACACAAATACATCACATACATACACATACATATACACATACACAAATACATAGATATACAGACACACACACACGCACGTGTGCACGTGGAGAGGATGGAATGGGCTGGGCACGCATGCAGGCCACTGTACTATAAATAGTGGCAGTCATGACCCTCCCCACAGCTCTGGGAGATGCTTGTGGAGCAGGGAGCATTGAGCTTGACATTCTTGACATTTCGGTGTCCACAAACCATGGTGACCACGTAATCACAGTCGCAACACAGTCCCCGGGGGCTGCTGGACAGGCTGAAGTCTTGTTGGGGAAGTTTCTGGGCACTTGGAGAAGGGGCCCTGCCAGTCCCACAGCCTCCCTGGGGGCTTCCAGGCTCCCCCTGCCTCCCTGCCACCCAGTCCCCACTGAGTCTGCCAGGCCTTCCCTCCGACTGATCACCAAAAGGCCGTTTTCCATATCTGCGTCTCACGCAGCTGTGCAGGTAGAATACCAACAAGAACCCCGCTCCTTCAGGGATAATGGGAAAGTTCATGTGGCTTAAGTCGCTCTCCCTGGCCTGCTCGCCCTCCGAGAAGAGGGCGTGGGTGGTCTTTAGCTCCTGGCACTCCGGCTCCGCTGAGCCCCTGCCCCCACCCCTGCTGGCACAGCTGGCCCTGCAGCAGCCCCTGCCACTGCGCCCCCACCCTCCCGCTCCACACCCGGCTTCTGAGCCTGCTCAGAGCCCTCGGCTTTGGTGTCTGTTGCCACCCTCCCCGCCCTTGACCTGAAGACCCTCTCAGTCAGAGTAGCAGGGTCATCCTTGGGGAGGCAGTGGGAGGTCATCTCCGTGTGCCTGTCCTGGCCCAAGTGTCACCTGCTTGGGCACTTTCTGGGCATATCAGAGCCGCCTCAGCACGTTCAGCAGCCCGGGCTGAGTGACGGGTCCCTTGCCTGTGGTGTTTGGTGGCATCTCTGATGACATCTCATAGCGCCCTTGTTGTCTGTGAGGAGTGAGAAGCCAGCTCCTGGGGGGAGCCAAGGGATCTGGGGGAGCCGGCCTGACCGGCCTGCCTGGACCATTCCCTTCCCACAGCCCTGTGGCTGTGCGGGGGCCCCCTGGGGCAGGCCACTGAGCGGAACTCCAGGAGGGAGCGATGGCTCTGATGGGACCCCAGATGGAGGAGACCACTGTGGGGCCGGGTATGTGTCTGCCTGTGCCACCAAGGGAAAACCCTGCCTCTCTGCGGGCCGCAGCTGATTCCTCAGTGTGGAGAGGCCCTGGCCCAGACACCTCTCTGATCCCCTCCCTTGGCGATGTTAACCTGATTTGCTCTGTTCCCACAAGGCGAGTCTCCCAGGAAATGGGGGAGACCAGCAGTGTGTCTGGCCTCTCTGCCACTTCCTTCTGAGTTCCTTCTCCTCCCCTCCCTCACTTCAGAGGTCACTCTCTAGGGATCTGACCCTGAGGCCTGAGCACCCCTTTATCATCGCGCAGAGCTACTGGCACCGTGAGGGTGGGCCCTGCCCAACCAGCAAGCAGGCCCCGGGGTGGTTCTGAGGCCCTGGTCGGGCCTCCTGTGGGGCTGGCTGGGCCCCTCAGGCCCCTCTGGACGGGGCGGGCCTGCTTAGGAGATGCGTGCCCCGCCCCCCATCAGCTTCCTCCTCTTTCTTGCCCCTTGAGCTTCTCCACAGGGTGGGGGCAGCAGAGGCCATGCGCTTCCCGGGCTCAATGAGCTGTGGGCTTTTTGGAGACTGTTTGTTATTTCGCTTCCTGGCGGTTCTGCCAAGCGCCCTCCGGCCTCCGGCGCCGCCAGGCAGGTTCATCTAAGGATTCTGAACGCTGCTGCCGCCCTCTCCGGAATATCAAGCAGGCCTGGGCGGCCGCAGGGAGCACTTCCCGATCTCTCAGCTGTCAGCCCGACAGGGGCAGGGTGGTGGCAGGGGTGGTGGCAGGGGTGGTGGCAGGGGTGGTGGTGTGTGTGTATGTGGAGGACCCGGGGGCAGGGGCACTGGCGCTTCCCAAACCCAAATCCAGACCACGTCAGGGCAGCATTAGGGCTACAGGCGTGGGCTGGATTCTGTCTACTTGCATGGTTTCAGCCTGCAGAGTTTAAAAAGGCATGAATGACAAGAATAACAGGCAGAAGTGTTCATTCTCGGGGAATGGGCAGTTCCACCTACGGGCCCACCTGTCTCCATCCACCAGAGGCTCGGGGAGAGCTGTGCACACGGCACCGGCCAGCGCCAGCGTCCTTCCTGCCCCACTCCCCTAACTGCAGAGAAGGATATCCAAGTTCCCAAAGCAGCTGCGTTTCTCTGACGTTTCCCAACGTAGCTTTAGGATCTGTGCAGAGTCTGCATCCTACTCTTGAACGTACCCATGTTTGCTATTCTATAGAAGGACTGTTTTCAGTCACCGACTGACCAGTTAAGGTACTGGTTTCACCTCAAATCTTTGAGTGAAGTTAACCCCTCAGGAAGATACACATCCACTCTCTGGCCTGGCTCCCCAAATCCGCAGGGCACATAGGTACCTTCGTTTGAGAAGCAAGAGAAGAACATATATTATTATTACTATTATTTTTTGAGACAGGGTCTCACTCTGTTGGCCAGGCTGGAGTGCAGTGGCACAATCTCAGCTCATTGCAACCTCCGCCTCCCGGGCTCAAGCAATTCTCTTGCCTCAGCCTCTCGAGTAGCTGGGATTACAGGCATGCGCCACCATGCCCAGCTAATTTTTGTATTTTTAGTAGAAACGGGGTTTCACCATGTTGGCCAGGCTGGTCTCGAACTCCTGACCTCAGGTAATCTGCCCACCTCAGCCTCCCAATGTGCTGGGATTACAGGCGTTAGCCACTGTGCCTGGCTAGTATTATTTTCTTTAGAAGGCTCAAGAATCATCATATTCCACTATATCATTATTCATACCGACTTGCTGTACAAATTTGTATGTACCACCAAGCCTCCAGTGCATCCTTTTCTCCTGCTGCTGTGGGACTCTGCACCATTGGTTTTCAATGTATAGCTGAAGGTTTGGAGCATGAGTGTGAATTCTCCCATGAGGAGGCCTGCTTTCAGCAAGTGTTAGTTCTGTGCACACCAGAGCAGGAATGAGAGATTTAAGGAGATGGTTCAGGGTTTGGACTACATGCCCTGAGTTGGAGGGGCAGACCTCCAACTCTCACAAAGGAGGACTTCAGGGTCACAGAGAACTGCCAAGAGTGCTGGCAGGTCAGGAGCCCCGCCTGCTGGGTAGCCGCGCACTTCTGCAGCTCCACAGCAGGAGCCAAGCATCCCGTCAGGAGGAAGCCAGCGGAGCCTGGGTTGCTTGAGCTGCTCTAGTTCTGAGACCCTGCTCTGGCACCGCGCAGCTCCGAACGTCACCGATCCACATGATGTGTGTGGAGGGTTCTAGCCAGGGTCTTAGCGCTCAGTAAGTATGTGGTCAACCCGAGCCTGAATCCAGTAGTCAGGTGACTGTGGTGGGCGTGAGGTGGGAAGAAGGGTTGGGCTTCGTTTCAATGACTACTCAACTGGCAGTTGCACAGAGTCACTGCTGGGAAGTCAAGCCCACCAAGATGCAGGTGGTGGGCACACGACAGTGTGGGCAGACGCAGGGGCATGAGGTCCTGGCACACTGGCTCATGTGGCAGGGTGCAGACGGTCAGGCGGATATGGGGGAGAGGAGGCTGGGTGGGGGCAGGGGCAGGAGCTGGGCCGTGGAGGCCTGGTACTCATCGTGCTTGGAGTTTGAGGCTCATCCTGAAGGTTCTGAGATGCCAGTGGGAAATTTGAAGTGGAGGAGTTTTATGGCTAGATTTTAGTTCAGGATGAGCCCCTGGCTCAGTTTGGAGAGGATGAATTAGCGGGAAGGAAGACCAGGGGCAGGAAGCCAGCTACAAAGGTGTTGCAGCAACGTGGGTGAGAGACGGTGGGGGTTTCAAGGCTAAGAAAAGAGGCCTCAGAGTGGGTGTTATGGTCAACAGCTCCAGGACTGGTGCAACACATCTTTTTGATATTGTTCTCTTTTTTCCTTCCTCCCTCCCTGCCTCTCTCTCTCTCTTTCTTTCTCTTCCTTTTCTTCCTCTTTCTTTCTCTTTCGCTCTCTTTCTTTCCTCTTTCTCTCTTTCTTTCTCTCTTTCTTTCTTTCTTTCCTTCTTTCTTTCTTTCTCTCTTTCTTTCTTTCTTTCTTTCTCTCTTTCTTTCTTTCTGTCTCTCTCTCTCTCTCTCTTTTTCTTTTTTGAGACAAGCTCTCACTCTGTCGCCTAGGCTGAAAAGTGCAGTGTGATCACAACTCACTGCAGCCTTGAACTCCTGCACTCAAGCTGTCCTCCTGCCTCAGTCCCCCAAGTAGCTGGGACTGCAGGCTGGTGCCACCACACCTGGCTAATAGTATTATTTCTCTAATTTGATGTGACTCTTTTTTTAATGAGAAAGTATGGTGGGGTTATTGTTTTTAATTTTTAACATCTTTGAAGAGCTCTAGTTCCCCTCCCTCTTGGGTGGGGAAGAAAGTCGTGAATACCAGGGCTATAAGCTCCACTCTCTAGCCATGACAAGCCAGGGACAAGATGCTGTGTCCCTCAGGGATTACATCACAGCCCAGAGTTAAAATTTAACTTATCAGTAGTAGCTGCAAGGCTAGCTCTCAGTTTCCCCAGCCAAGACCTCCTGATTTGCCTCATTTCTGGGAGTACCTGGGGCTTAACACATTCTCCCAGGGAAGTTCAAGAGAACTGCAAGATTCAGGTCCATGGGGGCAGCACACTCCTCAAACCAGAAGTAATATGACCCCTGGCAATCTCAGAGCCAGTGACCCCTGGCAATCTCACCTTAGAACCCAAGAGGTAGACTGAGACTCAGCTCTACAAAGGCAGGGACCTTCCCCACAGTCAGAACTGCACCTCCAACATCCAACACAGTGCCCGGTGGCAATGACTGCTCACAGATAATGGCCAGATGAATGAATGAATAAACAACATGCCTGGAAAAGACAGTTGACATAATTCATATCCACAGACAAAAGGAAAAAAACTCTATGATCATCTCAATAAATGCAGGAAAAGTATGTGACAAAATTCAGCTTCCATTTATGACAAAAACCCTCAGCCAAATAGGAACCGAAAGAAATTGTTCAACCTCAAGCTATCGTACTAATATCAGACAAAGTAGACGGTACTAACAGCCAAATAGGAACTGAAAGAAATTGTTCAACCTCAAGCTATCGTACTAATATCAGACAAAGTAGACGGTAAGTCCAGAATTGTTAGAGTTAAAGAGGGGCATCATAATGACCAAATATTCAATTCAGCAGGAAGATGTAATAATTTAAAAATGTGTGCTCCTTAATAACATAGCTTCAAATTATATGAAGCAAACATGGACAGACTATAAAGAGAAATCAACAAATTCATAATTAGAGTAGGACAATTTAACAAATCTTTTAGTAAGTGACAGAATACATAGGTGAACATCAGAACAGATATAGGTGATTTGAAAAACGTGTTTAACAAACTTGATCTAGATGACCTAGAATGTTGTACCCTAAGAGCTGCAGATACTCATTGAGTTCAAGTGCATACAGACCTTCCTATAGAATGTAATCATACACTGAGTCATAAAACAAGTATTTTAAAATGTCAAAGAATTTAAATCACACAGACTATATTCTTTTATTATTAAGCTAGGAAATAACAAAAAGATGACTGGAAAATTCCAATGTGTTTCTGGAAATTTAAAAATACACTTCTAGACAAACCACAGGTTAAAGATAAAATGACAGTGGAAATTAGAATGTATTTTGAACTGAATTAAAATGTAAATATTCAAAATATAAATTTGTGAGGTATAACCGAACTTATGCTTACATGGAGATATATTGAAAAAAGGCTAAAAATAAATAATCTAAGAAGTTAGAGTCTGGATGTGGTGGCAAGCACCTGTAATCTCAGCTACTTGGGAGGCTGAGGCATGAGAATTGCTTGAATCTGGGAGGCGGAGGTTGCAGTGAGCTGAGATTGTGCCACTGCACTCCAGCCTGGGCAGCAAGAACGAAACTCCGTCTCAAAATAAATAAATAAATAAATAAAAAATTGCCGAATGTTGTGGCAGGCACCTGTAATCCCAGCTACTTGGGAGGCTGAGGCAGAAGAATCACTTGAACCCTGGAGGTGGAGGTTGCAATGAGCCAAGATCGCACCACTGCACTCCAGCTGGGTGACAAGAGCGAGACCCCATCTCAAAAAAAAGAAGTTAGAAAAAGAACTACAAATTAAATCCAAAGAAAGTAGAAGAAAATAAATAGTAAAGAGATGAGTAAATCTTCATTAAATACAAAACAAATTTACAATAGAGGATGAACAAAACCAAAATTGGTTATTTGGAAACACTAATTGATAAATTCCTGATAGGCTGATAAAAAAGAACAGAGGTAGCACAAATAACTGTATCTGGAATGAAAACGATGATTGCTAGAAATATTTTAAAGGCATTTTTTTAAAAAATAAGAGGACATTGGCCGGGTGTGGTGGCTCACGCCTGTAATCCCAGCACTTTGGGAGGCTGAGGCGGGCGGATCACGAGGTCAGGAGATCGAGACCATCCTGGCTAACACAGTGAAACCCCGTCTCTACTAAAAATACAAAAAATTAGGTGGGCGTGGTGGTGGGCGCCTATAGTCTCAGCTACTTGGGAGACTGAGGCAGGAGAATGGCCTGAACCCGGGAGGTGGAGCTTGCAGTGAGCCGAGATCATGCCACTGCATTCCAGCCTGGGCGACAGAGCAAGACTCCATCTCAAAAAAAGAAAAAAAATTAAAATTAAAAAAAATAAGAGGACATTATTAGCAACTTTATGCCAGTAAATTTGGAAGTTTTGATGAAATGTATAAATTCCTAGAAAAGTAAAAGTTACCAGAATGGACACAAGAATAAATAGAAAATCTTAATAATTAAATACAGCATTTAAAAACCTTCCCATGGCCAGGCGCAGTGGCTCACGCCTATAATCCCAGCACTTTGGGAGGCTGAGGCAGGTGGATCACGAGGTCAGGAGTTCGAAACCAGCCTGGCCAATGTGGAGAAGCCCCATCTCAACTAAAAATACAAAAATTAGCTCGGTGTGGTGGTGCGCACCTGTAGTCCCAGCTACTCAGGAGGCTGAGGCAGAAGAATCACTTGAACCCAGGAGGCAAAGGTTGCAGTGAGCCAAGATCGTGCCACTGCACTCCAGCCTGGGTGACAGAGCGAGACTCCATCTCAAAAAAATAAAATAAAATAAAAAAATAAAAACCTTCCCATAAAGAATAATCCAGATCCAGATGGCTTCTTAAGTGAATGCTACTAAACATTTATGAAAGAAATATCATCAATTTTACATAACTCTTAGAAAACAGAGAAAAGATTCCTCAAGATTTCTATGACACCAGAAGAACCTGATTCCCAAATTTGATAAAAACATTACAAGAAAGGAAAATTAGAGACCCATTTAATTCAAAGAGATAAATGCAAAGATCCTAAGTAAAATATTAGCAAACCAAAATAAAGTATTATGTAAAAAACAGAATACATCACAACCAAATTGGATTTATTCCAGGAAAGCAAAGTTGATTCATCATTGAATAGTTCTATTTTCTTTTTCTTTTGTTTTTTGAGGCAGAGTCTCACTCTGTTGCCTAGGCTGCAGTGCAGTGGTGAGGCCTTGGCTCACTGCAACCTCTGTCGCCCGGGTTTAAGCAATTCTCCTGCCTCAGCCTCTCAAGTAGCTGGGATTACAGGCGCCTGCCACCCCGCCCGGCTAATTTTTGTGTTTTGAGTAGAGACAGGGTTTCACCATCTTGGCCAGGCTGGTCTTGAACTTCAGACCACGTGATCCACCTGCCTTGGCCTCTCAAAGTGCCGGGATTACAGGTGGGAGTCACAGCGCCCAGCATCATTGAATAATTCTTTACCACATTAATGGAATAAAGAAGAAAAACACAGTTTTCTCAATAAATGTGGGAACAGCATGTGATAAAATGCAACATGCATTAATAAAACAATTCTTAGCACTGGTAATAGAAGGGAACTTCCTTAATCCAATAAAAATGTATTTATTTTTAAAATCCACAGCACGTGTATAAAGGTGAATTTTTGTAAATGTTTCTTCTAAGAACAGAATAAGACAGAGACAGATAAACTATTAGATTTAATAAGTGAATTTAGGCTGGGAGCAGTGGCTCACACCTGTAATCCCAGCACTTCGGGAGGCCAAAGCGGGTGGATCACCTGAGGTCAGGAGTTTGAGACCAGCCTGGGCAACATGGTGAAACCCCATCTGTACTAAAAATACAAAAATAAGCCAGATTTGGTGGTGGGCATCTGTAATCCCAGCTACTCAGGAGGCTGAGACATGAGAATTGCTTGAACCCAGGAGGCAGAGGTTGCAGTGAGCCGAGATTGCGCCACTGCACTCCAGCCTGGGTGACAGAGCGAGACTCCATCTAAAAAAAAAAAAAGTGAATTTAGCAAAGTTGTTGGAAACAGCCAATTAACAAAAATCAGTTGTATAAAACTACAATTATGAATTACATTTTAAAAGATAAAACTTAAACATCTTACCTAACAAATAATTTTGTTAGAAATAAATCTAACAAACATCTTCAAGAATTCTATGCTGAAAACGACAAAACATTATTAAAAATATAAAAGAAAGCCTGCAGGGTGGCTCACGCCTGTAATCCCAGCACTTTGGGAGGCCAAAGCGGGCAGATCACCTGAGGTCGGGAATTCGAGACCAGACTGGCCAACATGGGGAAACCCTCTCTCTACTGAAAATACAAAAATTAGCTGGGCGTGGTGGTGAACCCCTGTAATCCTAGCTACTCAGGAGGCTGAGGCACGAGAATCTCTTGAACCCAAGAGGTAGAGGTTGCAGTGAACTGAGATATTGCCACTGCACTCCAGCCTGGGCAACAGAGTAAGACTCTGTCTCTAAGTAAATAAATAATAAAAATATAAAAGAAGACCTAAATAAATGGAGAGATGTTTGTGGACTAAAAGTTCAATTATCTCAAGATGTCAGTTCTCAAATTGATCTATTCCAATGCAATGCAATCTCAATAAAAATCCAGTAGGTATTTTGCAAAAATGCAAAGTTGATTCTAAAAGTTATATGATAATGCAAAAGGTCTCAAATAACCAAGCAATTTTTGAAAAAGAACAAAATTGAAAGGATTTCTCAACTGGATGCCAAGCCTTCGGAAAGACTTCAAGGTGGTATTGACACAGGAGAGGCAAATAGATGATCAGAACAAAACAGAAAGTCCACAAGACCCACACATACAGGAACACTTGATTGGTGTCAAAAGCACCACAGCAGAGCAGCGGGAGACAGGATGGCTTTTCAACAAACGGTGATGGGTAAAATACAATGAAACCTGGTCACTACCTTACACCACACATAAGAATCCATTCCATAAGTAGAAGAAGCCAGACACAAAAGGCCACATTTTGTATGATTCTCATTTGCATGAAAGCTTAAAAATTGGCGAAACCAAGATGTGGTGTTAGAAGCCAGGATAATGGTTACCTTTGGGAAGGAGTGATGGGTAGTTGTGGAAAGGGCCGTGAGCACAGCTTCTGGGGTTACATGAGTGGTTACACGAGTGTATTCACTTTGTGACAACTCACCAAACTGTACATTGAAAGTATGCACATTTTTCTCTATACATGTTATATTTTAATTTAAAGTTAAAATTTTTTGACCTTGCCACTTACAGCTTCATAATGGTGGAGAAGTTATATAATTTTCCTAGGCCTCCTTTTTATTTTTTATTTTTTTGTAGAATGGGGATTATAATAATCTCCACTTTGTAGGTTGTGAGAATAAATATGTTTCATAAATAAGCACTTTGTTCAGTGACTGGCCCATACTGGAGGCTTGATAAATGTTCCATGTTATTAGCTGCTAAGGTCATTTAGATAGTGGTGGAACTGGGATTAAAATTAATCCAGACAAATATGTTTTCTATCACATATCCTCTGGCACAGGGCTGCTTATTAGCTGGGCTTGAATGGAATGCTGGATTTAAATAGCATTTGCTATGAGTTATCATAAATCGTCTTCATTCTCAATTTTATATTTTGCAAAATGTCAAGTGTATTAATTCCTCCCTCTTCTCAATTCCTATGAGTATACTTTGGAATCTCAAGTATTTTAGCGTATCTCTTCCCACTAAAGATGAAAGTACATTCTAAATAGTCCAATCACCATGTTAGAAAACTGTTTAGAATTGTTGGCTCCATCAGGGCCCCAAGAGGGAGAAGAACATCCGGCTGACCTGGGGGCTGTGGCCAGGGTTGCCCAGCCACTAATCACCTTTCAAATGACTGTGTTTATAGAAGAGCATTGTAGAGCGTGGCTCCCTTGAATCAGATTGTAACCAAGACCTCATTAAGCGGCACAGAGAAAAAAAAAGTTAAAGGACACATTAGTTTCCAAAAGGAATGTTTGGAAAAGTACTCGAAGATGAAGCAGCTGAAAAAAGAACTGTGTGTCTTATTAATTAGCACATCAACAGACTTCTGTCCCGTGGATTTGATCACAGTGAATGCACTTTTGGATGTGAATCAGCAGTTCTTGAATCTTAATGAAACCAGTCGGCAAGAGTTAATCACAGCTGGTTCCTGAGCTTATGTGTAATTAAAATATCCAGCCAAAAGAGAATGTCTTAAAAAAAAGGATAGTTTATCACTTTATCATTTTTAAGAGTGTGAGTTAAGTATTTTGTGATATAAAATTTTGAAGGCAGACTGCAAACATCTAAGTACCATATGATGGCACCAACGTGGAAGTGTTTATACACGGCAAAGAATGGAAGACATATACAGTGGGGAAAATCGTTATGGTATTAGGATAGTGAGGTTAGGACTGCTGACTAAAATTTTACTTTAATGCTATTGTGTTGTCTGTATTTATTTACTTATTTTCTTGAGACAGGATCTCTCTCTGTCACCCAGGCTGGAATGCAGTGGCGCAATCTCGGCTCACTGGAACCTCTGCCTCCTGGGCTCAAGTGATTCCCCGACCTCAGCCTCCCAAGTATCTGGGACCACAGGCACATGCTACCATGCCCGGCTAATTTTTGTATTTCTGTAGGAACAGTGTTTCACCATGTTGCCCAGGCTGGTGTCAAACTCCTGGGCTCAAGTGATCTGTGCCCCCTTGGCCTCCTAAAGTTCTGGGATTACAGGCATGAACCACAGTGCTTGGCCAAATGTTATTGTGTGTTTTGTTTTACTTTTTAAAATAAAACAATCTTTAGAGGGGCCCTGGTTTCTTGTTCGTCTTTGATGTACATCTTACTGTCCCATACTGATAGTAAAAGTCACTGAAAAAGCACTTCCTCCAGCATGATTTGTTGATTAGATAACACAGCTAACATCTATGCAGACATTGTAGTTAAAATCTAAGGTCAGTGAATTGAAAAGTGAATCTTCTGGATAAATTATTCACAGTTTTATTTATATTAATTTCTACTCCACCTCCATTGTAAGAGGATATAAAGACTGCAGAATTTTCTAATATGGATAGTTAATTCTTTAGGTATTAGCAGTAACCATGTGTGCCCGAATTTAAGTATATCTACAGTTGTAAAGTCTACTTTATTTAATGTGGAATTGTTATTTTTACCTAAAATAAGTAAGGCTTTTAAACATGGATATACTGTAGCATGGCCAGAAATAGAACTAAAACTAGATTCCCTTGTACAGAACTTAACAGTTAAGAAGAAAAAGAGGGGGTGGAAAGGCATAGGTCTCCTTCCAAAAGCATCGTTATCCAGAGGAAGGAGCTTTCTAATTGCACCTGACATCATAAGGGACAAAACATTTGAACTCCTGGGTAGTTTCTAACAAAATACTGAGATTACTTTTGTTTTTCTCTCATATCCTAGTTTGAGTTCGTTCTGAGTTTTTACTCAACATATTTAATGAGATATAGATGCCATGTCACTGTGGGTAGCTCTTACATATTAGAAGTTCATTCATTCCCTTAGCTGGCTAACAAATCCCAGGGAGCTAAATTGCATAATGCAATGCCTAGCATTTCATTGCTGACATCCACTTAGCCTGAAATCTCTTGTTGGTCATGAGGAGGAACAGAATATAGTCACAGCCATGGTCAGTAAACTTCTGTGTATTTTGTCTCGGCCACTGTTGGATTGCTTGAGCCCAGGAGTTTGAGACCAGCCTGGGCAACATAGTGAAACCCCATCTCTACAAAAAAGCAAATTTAAAAAAGCTGTCCTGGTGCAGTAGCTCAGGCTTGTAGTCCCAGATACTTGGGAGGTTGAGGTGGGTGGATTGCTTGGGCCTGGGAGGTAGAGGCTGCAGTGAGTCACGATCGTGCCACTGCCCTCCAGCCTGGGCAACAGAGCGAGAGCCTGTCTCAAAAAAAAAAAAAAAAAAAAAGATTCCATTCATCTGAACTGGACCCATCTAGATCTCAAACATATTTTTGCATGGCCCTGTTTATAAACAACTTGATTAAAGATGTATTACAAGTTTCATGGGCCATATAACTTTTAATGATTTATCAACAAAGATTTAGAATCATTGGTAGAAAAGAGAGGCTTGTCTTTGTGAATCCTGCAGTTAGGGCACGTGAGGAGTCTTCGTAATGTCTGGCCACCATCTCTTCCTGCTCAGGTCCAGGAGCCATCGTGTCAAGTTCTTTATTGTCAGATGTGCCTTGGCTGGGTAGTTTCACATTTCTCATTATGAGGAAAAAGTAGCAACGCTGTTATTGCTCTCAATGCTGTGGCTTTTTGGGACCTGTTAATATTGAAACTATAGATCAACTTGCCTCTGGAGTTCCCTGATGTCATTTGTTTCACGCTAGGTGCATCATTACTAGGACACCGCATCCTCCATCATGGCCCTGGTGAATATTGGCTTCCAATGTCTCCCTAAAGGCTGTCACCATAATTCGTTTATGATGACCACAAATGCAAGTCTCGCCCAGAGTGTGCGGGAAAATGTTTTCTGGTCATCTTAAACTTACTGTCTAAGGTTTTGCAGCCATGTCTTCTCTTGATTACCTTATGCCATGATTACCGCATTCCTAGAATATGGTCTCTTTCAGTGCTGACCTCACCGTTTCCTTTCACAAACCATCACTAGTGGGGAGGCTAGGCGAGGGGCAAAGAGTGATCCTATTCACCCAGAGAAGGTCCATTCCTCATCAGGCACACTTCCCTACCACATGGCATAGCTTAAGACCAACCTATGAAAACAAATGTCACCACATGATCAGAGGCAACAGAGTACATCATTCCTAAAATGGAGGCAAAAGAGGACATTGATCAGAAGGGCTGTTGACAATGTGGAACAAAGGCCTCAAAGGCCCTTGGAGGAGAGAGGTACTGTTCTCCCTAGAGAATTGCCCTACACGTGGTACAGACCTGCAGAGAGAATGGAGTGGCTGCCCTGGCTGCCAGCCACAGCAGGTGCACAGGTAAAGAACACCACCACCCCCTGCCATCCATGATGCTGTAGACCAGGAGCCAACAGACTATATGTGGTTGGAACATAGAAAGGCATGAGCCAACCTATGGGCATACAGATGTGGTTCAAGCACAAGTGCCTGCCATGTGCTTAGTAGTTCAGAGCCCTGAGCTTGTCCTGTGTCCAGTGCAAGTGCGAATCAACCAAAGTCAGCACGTCAGCACAGCACCATTCTGGTCACCCATCTCAGGATCCCATGAAACATTGCGCTGGCCAGCTAGAGCGGTCTATTTTTTGTGCTGTTGTCCTAGAACTTGGGCCCTGGGGGACAACACCTTCAATATGAGTCTTGACGCTCCACAGGGCATCTGGTCAACCTCACATGCAGGCTGGAGGGTTGAAGAGCAATCTGAAGGGAAGAAATGAGGACAGGGCCCACACTATCCCTGGTCCAGGCTCGGGGCATTCTTCTTGGTTAGCTCTGCATATCCCGATCAGTCCCAGGCACTGAGGGGACAGAAAACTTTGAAGAAGGCACTGCAAAGCATGGAGTCCCTAGAGGCTCAGGTAAGGGCTCCATTTGACCAGATCTAAGTGCAGTACTTGCTGCAGTTTCCTTGTAACTGGACTCCCAACCCACACATGCATGTATTGTCACTAAACACTGGGTGTTTGCTAATGGTGTTCCCTCTGCCTGATAGCCCTTCCTGCCATCCCAGCCTTTACCCGGACAACCCTTATCATGATTTAAGATCCAGCTCAGGCATCATTGTCTTCACCAAGCCTCCCCTAAACCCTCAGCCTGGGTGAGGCACCTCCTCCTCTGTGTTTTCCTTCATCACTGCACTCAAACCACCACGTGGTATCCTAACAGTGTCTGTGTCTGTTTTCCCAAGTAATTGGTGATCTCCTTAAGGTCAGAGATTGTTTGTATTCATCTTTGTATTTTTACTCACCTGCAGAGTAATGGATAGATAATTGGTGTTCGACAAAATGCCTGCTGAATAATAAGTGACTAAAGGAATGTGTGAAGGGCATGAAACTCCTTAGTAATAATTATAAGGGTATTTGCACAGACCCATTATCATTTTGAAACATCTAATTTTAAAGGTTTCTTCCCCAGTAAACATGATGTACCTTTCAGCTCTCATTATCCCTACTTGAATTGTCCTGGGTTTGGGAACTTCCTACTGCAGTCCCTTCCATGGCTTTTTCCTATATAGAATGTACATTATGCCATCAAGACAGTGATTGCCATACTGTCAGTGGGCAATACATCAATCATTATTGTTGGAAGACTTGAATTTTAATTTCTCTTTATAGTGGGCTATTTTTCAGCCCAAACACTCCTAATAAAAACAACTAAAAATGTTAGGTAAATTATTATTGGGCACCATTTTTTTTTAACCCAGCACATACTGAAGCAAGCAACACGTGTGGGAACCATCTGAAAAACAGACAACAAAAACAAATCTGGGAACACTTGAAATTATTGGACATGGACTATAAAATAACTGTGCTTACTGTGGTGGGTTGAATCATGGCTCCTCAAAGATGTCCACATCCTAGTCTCTGGAACCTGTGAAAATGTTACTTTATATAGTAAAAGGAACTTTGTGGATATGATAAAATGAATGATTTTGAGATTGGAGAGATTATTCTGGATTATCCAAGTAGGCTCATTGTAATCACAGGTGTTCTATAAGAGAAAGGCAAGAAGATGTGAGAGAAAAAAATGTAAGTATGTAAGCAAAAGTCAGAGAGGAGATAAGATCTTACACTTCTGACTTTGAAAATGGGGGAAGGGCTCACAAGCCTAGGCATGTACATGGCTTCAGGAAGCTACAAAAGGAAAGGAAATGGATTCTCCCCTAGATCCTCCAGAAGAAAGCAAGGTCTTTCAATACCTTGATTTTAGCCCAGTGAAACTGATTTCAAAATCCTGACCTCTAGAACTTTAAGATAATAAATTTGTGTTGTTTTAAACCACTAAGTTTGTAGTAACTTGTTATAGGAGTAATAGGAAACTAATACATTTATTATGTTTAAAAAAGTAAAGATTAGCTTAAAGATATCTCGGAAAAGATGAAACTACTGTTAGATTTCAAAAATAACTAAATAGTACTTCTAGAGATTAAAAAGACAATAGCCAACATTTAAAACTCAGTGGATGGGTTCAATAGCCAATTCAACACAGCTGAAGAGAGAATTGATGACCTGGAAGTTAAATCAGAAGATATCTAGGATGCAGCAAAGAGAGACAAAAAGATATACAGTAAGTTAGAGAGGCTAACATGATAAAGTCTAAATTTAATCAGAGTCAAGAAGGAAAAGAGTGGATGGAAAAAGAGAGTATCTCAAGAGGTATGGGTGCCTTTCTCACTTTCCACCGTCTTGGTGACTGCTCTTGGTTGGGGGCCATCCCACACCTAGGCAGGAAGATGGTAGCCACAAAGAAGATGAAAAAGTCACTGGAGTTGATCAACTCTAGTTATGAAAAGTAGAAAGTACATGCTGGGGTACAAGCAGACTCTGAAGTTGATCAGACAAGGCAAAGTGAAATTGGTCATCCTCTCTAACAACTGCCCAGCTTTGAGGAAATCCAAAATAGAGTACTATGAAATGTTGGCCGGACTGGTGTCCATCACTACAGTGACAATAATATTGAATTGGGCACAGCATGTGGAAAATACTACAGAGTATGCTCACTGGCTCTCATTGATCCAGGTGATTCTCATATTAGAAGCATGCCAGAATAGACTAGTGGGAAGTATACTATGCAAAATTTTTCTTTTTTCTTTTCTTTTTTTTTTTTTAAGACAGAGTCTCGCTCTGTCACCCAGGCTGGAGTGCAGTGGCGCGATCTCGGCTCACTGCAAGCTCCGTCTCCCGGGTTCACACCATTCTCCTGCCTCAGCCTCCTGAGTAGCTGGGACTACAGGCGCCCACCACCATGCCCAGCTAATTTTTTGTATTTTTAGTAGAGACGGGGTTTCGTCGTGTTAGCCAGGATGGTCTCGATCTCCTGACCTCTTGATCCACCCGCCTCGGCCTCCTAAAGTGCTGGGATTACAGGTTTGAGCCATCGCGCCCGGCCTCAAAATTTTTCTTTAATAAAACTTGCCAGAGCTTGTTTTTAAAACATTTTTAAAAAGGAGTATTGGCTGAAATTTTCTACTGCCAATGAACAACATCAATGTGCAGATTTAAGAATCCCAATCAATCCTGGATATTTTGGGGTGGCTTTATAGAGGCAATATAGCATAGTGGTCTAGAACAAAGATTTTTAAAGTTTGTAAGCATTATTGAATTCTAGTTTTGCCACTTATTAGCTACGTAGTTTTGGGCAAGTAAATTGACGTCTCTGAGCCTCCATCTCCTGATATATTAAAATAGGGATAGTATCTGATTTATTGGTTGGTTATGAGGAATAAATATGTATAAATGTGATTAGCATAGTAATAGGTCCAAAGTAATATGCAGCACATAATTGGTGATATTTTCAGTAGTGTTCAAAGGAAATTTTCTCATGATGAGTTGAAGTCTGCTTTCCGATAATTTCCATTCATTCATCTTTTATTGTTTTTAGACAGGGTCTCCCTCTGTCTCCCAGGCTGGAGAGCAGTGGCATGATCTCTGCTCGCTGCAACTTCCACCTCCCAGGCTCAAGCAATCCTCCCACCTCAGCCTCCTGAGTATTTAGGACCACAAGCAGGGATCACCACACCTGGCTAATTTTTGTATTTTTGTAGAGACGGGGTTTTGCCATGTTGCCCAGGCTGGTCTTGAACTCCTGGGCTCAAGCGATCCTACCGCCTCGGCCTCCCAAAGTGCTAAGATTACAGGCGTGTGCCACCACACCTAGCCTCCACTCATTCACCTTAATTCTGATTTCTGGAGAAGCACAGAACAGGTCTGCTTCCTAGTATATCTACACATTCAGTCTTTAACTTTTTATAGCTTGGTAACTGCAGAAGAGCAGGGCCAGGTGAACATCAGGACTCCCTGACACTGGTCATGATAAGCCAGTGTTTCATATAGTTGCAATAATTTTCTTGGCAGTGTGGAATCTCTCAAAGACAACTGGGAGTCTAAGAATTCTAGAGTGTGAGAGCAGCAGTTGGGTGTTAGAATCCAGCAAGCTCATTCTGCAGGTGAAGAATAGGAGGTGCAGGGAGTGGAAGTGACTTAGCTAGACTCAACTGGTGGTTGAGCCATCCACCTGCCTCAGCCCCCAAAAGTGCTGGGATTATAGGCGTGAGCCACCATGCCTGGCCTCTGCTCTGTATTTAGAGTAGACTTTACATCTGCCTGGTCAACCAGACCATGATCCAGGGCGCAACATATATTTTCTTTGTAGCTTGATGATGGATTTTCTAAATTTGAAAATCCTTTCATTTTAATTTCCAAAAGTCCTTTCTAAATTTAACTGAATTTGTATAGTGCTTTTTGGCTCTTCCAAGAATTCCCTTCCCATGGGAGTTGCTTTAAGTGGGCCTGGTGCTCATTCACTTGCTGACGTTTCTGACTCCGCAAGCCTCCATTTTTTAATTTGCCTGAGTTTCACCACTTCCTTTTATCAAGTTCTCCTGGTTTTGTTTGTTTGTTTGTTTTGAGACAGAGTCTCACTTTGTTGCCCAGGCTAGAGTGCAGTGGCACGATCTCAGCTCACTGCAACCTCCGCCTCCCAAGTTCAAGCAATTCTCCTGCCTCAGCCTCCTGAGTAGCTGGAACTACAGGCACACACCACCACGCCTGGCTAATTTTTGTATTTTTAGTAGAGACAGGGTTTCACCATGTTGCCCAGGCTGGTCTCAAAGTCCCGACCTCAAGTGATCCACCTGCTTCGGCCTCCCAAAGTGTTGGGAGCTCCCAAGAGCCACCTTGCCCAGCCTCAATTCCCTTCTGAACTCTATATTCATTTATGTGTTTCATATATTCATATTATTTGCCTTATTTCTTTCTTTTTTTTTTTTTTGAGATGGAGAGATGGAGTCTCACTCTGTCGCCAGGCTGGAGTATAGTGGCACGATCTTGGCCCACTGCAACCTCTGTCTCCTGGGTTCAAGTGATTCTTCTGCCTCAGTCTCCTGAGTAGCTGGGAATACAGGCGCCCACCACCACGTCCAGCTAATTTTCGTATTTTTAGTAGAGACGGGGTTTTGCCATGTTTGCCAGGATGGTCTTGATCTCTTGACCTCGTGATCTGCCTGCCTCGGCCTCCCAAAGTGCTGGGATTACAGGCATGAGCTACCGCGCCCGGCCACCTTGCCTTAATTCTTAGCAAGTTAAATTATTTGCTCTTAAAAGTGGGCTTGATGGGGAGGAGATAAACCACAGCAATATTCTTTTTTTTTTTTTGAGACAGGGTCTCGCCCTGTTACCCAGGCTGGAGTGTAGTGGTGTGCTCTTGGCTCACTGCAGCCTCAACCTCCCAACCCCAGGTGATCCTCCCGCCTCCCGATCCTTCCGAGTAGCTGGGACCACAGGTGCACACCACCATGCCCAGATCATTTTTTGTGTTTTTGGTAGAGATGGGTCTTGCTATGTTGCCCAGGCTGGGTCCCAGCAATATTCTACCAGCAATTCAGTAACGTGTAAGCACCACCCACTTTCGCGTGCTTCTCAAACCCCCACTGATCAGCTGAAGCACAACATATGCCTCTCTCAAGGTGTGAGCCTTTATGAAGACTGGCTATTTTATCTCCACGCTTTTTTATGTCCTAATAATAGTGGCTGAATTATCTGGGAAGCTTATACACATTCCTAGCCTATTAGGGCATACATCCTCCCAAGATGGCCATTTATTTAGGCTTTTAATGTCTCTGTTTATAGAATGCAACTTCGGTGTTTAGGACCTAATAGCTTTTGAATTACTCTAGGCTTCATGAAAACAGCACCATTTCATTTTTACCACCATTTTCTGAAATATGCTGGTAAAAATGAAATGGTGCTCTTTTCGTGAATCGAGTTAACTGGGGTCGCACTGTCGGTAGTACAAGTTCCATACAGCCAGGACTGGGAGGAATAATTTATGTCTTTTTTTTTCCACAGGAAAAATATAGGCCTTTCAATGCTGTAAGAGAAATTTTGTTTAATGCATAGGAAATTACTTTGGCATACAACCCAAAACTATCTGTGGAATAATTTTCAGTATCACTCATGATAATTTTTAATGTGTCAAAGTGGAAAATTGGACTCACAACCCTTGGAAAGCCTCCTGTCTGAGAACTTTTGAAAGCAGCACTGGAATGAGGTGAATGTGTAACTATGCTTCATGTCAGACCCGTCCTGCCATCTTCTGAACTTGCTGGTCACGTGAACTGGCTTGTTCTGTGAATTTCATGTTGTGGTGCCATCAAGGTTAGTAGAGTGAGGGTTGGTGGAGCCAGCTGGCTTATTCAGTAAACATCTGCCTTTCTGAAAGGAAAAGAGAGTGAAGAGGCTCATTCCTTGTGTGCTTGTGAATTTCAAATGGGCTGCCTACAGACATTGTCTACAGCATGTGGCCTAAACAGCCAGGATGAAGGAAAAATTCTCCTGCAAAATCCCTAACCTGAGATCCAATAGCCTGAAACAGTTCAGTCTTTTCCCCACTGTCGTCTAAACCTCCAGACATGTTATCACAAAGGGACAGCAATGTGATTGATGGACACAGTAATAAGAGGTTATAAACTTAATTTAATGGCAAAGGGTAAAAAATTGCATAGAGGTTATGATATAAGGCAGAAGCTAAACAGATTCCCAGAACCCCAAGGGCTAACCAGCTAATAATATCACTGCCCAGCCTGAGGACTCCACCGGGGAAAAGTAGCTTGTCTTTGCCATTCACGTGGGGAAGCCATGATTTAAATTCTCATCCCCCTGTGCCCACGTGCACCTGACTTTGGGGACTGTTTACATGCCTCCCTCCTCACCAGATGCAAGGGATTGGTACAAAACACACCCAGCACATACAGCCTGTTTACTGTGGCTGAATTAATCAAAAGTCAATTCTCTGCACAACTTATCATATCATACCACTGAGCAGAACTAGACCTCAGGCTGGAGGTCCATTCCTGTATGTCAGTAGAAATCATTTCCCTGTTGTCAAAAGACAAAATTAGAACAAATTCAGTTTAAAATATATAGATATTTTTGATTGAGACAGGGTATCCCTCTGTTGCCCAGGCTGAAGTGGAATGGCGCAATCATGGCTCACCGCAGTCTTGACCTCCTGGGCTCAAGTGATCCTCCCACCTCGGCGTCCCGAGTAGCTGGGACTATGTGTGTGTGCCAGCACACCTGGATACTTTTTTTATTTTTTATTTTTTTAGTTTTTTTAGAGATGAGGTTTTGTCATGTTGTCCGGGCTGGTCTTGAACTCCTAGGCTCAAGTGATCTGCCTGCCTTAACTAACCAAAGTGCTGGGATTATAGGCATGAGCCAACACACCCAGTTGTCTTAAAAATCTTTTTTAAGATCTGGCATTTATTTGCAATTCTACAATTGGGGCAACACCTCATTCTATAAGATAGAGTGTTTCGATGAGCCAAGCACAGGAGATTGGCTTTATAGACAGAAAAGGCCTAAGAAAACAGAAACAGAAAACAAAAAGCAGATTGGTAATTGCAAAGTTACTCTTCCTTGTAAAGCAGAGGGAACTTCTTTACCATGTTGATTCAAACTGGCCTGTTTGGGGATTTGGCTATTATCTTTCTCTGTCTCCTGATTTTTTGGAAGGTCAGATAAACAACTTAGTTTCAGTTGGAAACTCCAGCGTGAGTCACCCCAGTTTGGTTTGGTCTGTTGAATCTAGTGCAGGAGCTCAGTTCTATCCTAGAGCCTCCTATAAATTGTACTGAACACTATCAAATCCCTTTTGGGCAGCAGAGCACCTGTAGCCTAAAGGATTCAGATCATTCTGAACTGAGGGATGGGGCTGTAGGGGCAGAAAGGGACAATTTCTTTCCTCCCCATTTATAAGGGCCACACCCAACATACTAATACCAAAGACAGGTTAACAAGAGAAAAGCGCAAGTTTATTTGATCATAGTTTTACAAGACGTGTGAGCCTTCAGAATGAGTGACCAAAAGATACAGGGAAAATGATCTATTTTTATGCTTTAGTTCAATGAAGTACAGACAGGCGTGTAGAAAGGGGATTGGACAGGAAGGCTATGGTCTAATGCTAATAGACTGACGGGGGAGACCCAGCGAGGCCTGTCTGTTCAGATTCTCCGTGGCCCCTCTGTGCAGAATTCCTTCCTCTCTGGTATGGGGAAGGACCCTTCTGGGATGAGGGTCTTAATTTCTTTATGGCCAGTATCACACAGAAAGGCAAAGGGGTTAGGGATTCAAGTCATAGTTTTGGACTTTATGGCTGGCGTTGGGGGAAAGGGGTTTTGGTTTTTATGACCCACCCTGGGGAAGAGGGATTCTGGTTCCTATTGCTTGCCTCAGGACAGAATCAGGGACGAGGGACAGGAGGGCAGGAGAAGGTCAGGGAGAGACTTTGTGTCTGAGGCTGCTTCTTAGGCCTTTACTTAGAGTGTCATTTTTCTGGGCCCCAGCAGGGCCAAAATGTCTTTGCTCTGTCCCTTCAACATACAGTCAAAAGGAGCTGGAGTATTCGAGGCTCTAGTTTCTATCCCCAAAACACATCCCTGTCTCCTTTTCCTTGGGAAGGCCACTGCTCAGCTTCTTTTGATAAAAGCACAGGACAGAGACAGCCATCAAGATGTCAAATAGCTACAACTGCTATGGCTGCCAGGCAGTAGATAAACCTGAGTAAGAAGATTTCACCCACAGATACTGAGTCCTTAAGGCAGAGGGGATATTACTAAATAACCCTTTCAGTTGTGACCGCCAGCTCAGGTTTTGAGGCAGCTAGGGGTGAACCCGGTCTGCATGGACAACTGCTGGACACCAGGCTAGCTGTGAAACAACTCGTGTAGAAATGTAGCTTTCACTCTTGGGAGAAGGATGACCTCATTACCAACTTCAAAGGATGGGGTATAATGACTGATCCAGTCTCGTGATGTGCCAACCCCTGTAATCAGGGGTGTGAGTCTGTTACCATGGGAGGGTAAGAGAGGCGTTCCAGGCAGAGAATAGCCATCAGGTGTGGGTGGAATTCGAAGCCTGTTTTTCTGCCTGCAAACATGGCAGGTGTCCATTTCCATATGAATCCACAAGGACAACATATCACCTGGTGTAGGGTATTCTCATTATCTGAGCAATCATTATTCAAGTCACCACAGTTTTTTGTTTGTTAGTTGGTTTGTTTGTTTTTGAGATAGAGTTTTACTCTTGTCGCCCAGGCTAGAGTGTAATGGCACGATCTTGGCTCACTTCAACCCCTGCCTCCCGGGTTCAAGCGATTCTCCTGCCTCAGCCTCTGGAGTAGACTGCCACCATGCCCAGGTAATTTTTGTATTTTTAGTAGAGACAGGGTTTCAACAGGTTGGTCAGGCTGGTCTCAAACTCCTGACCTCAGGTGATCCACCTGCCTTGGCCTCCCAAGGGGCTGGGATTATAGGCGTGAACCACTGTGCCCAGCCGTCACCACAGTTTTTGTTGTTTTTAATTAATTATTTTTACAATTTCAGCTTTTATTTTAGACATGGGGTACCTGTGCAGGCTTGTTACCTGGATATATTGCACCCAGGCAGGATGCATTGTACCCAATAGGTAGTTTTTAAACCCATGCTTCCCCCACCTTCCTCTCTAGTAACACATGGTGTCTATTGTTCCCATGTGCCACCATTTTTTAAAGACTATACCAGGAAGCCTTTTTTTGTTACATGAGGAAATATTCATTAAAGAACTGACCACCTGTGAAATCAGTCCCCATTCAAATGTCACTCCAAATGTCAGATGAACACTAGTTAAAAGTGTCTAGATTTTGTTGCTTATTTCCTAACACCGTAAGTAAACAGGTGTGCCGACTGAGGTTACCAGGTGAAGTTAATAAACCTCTTAAGGTCTGCAGTGCTGTAGAATGCCAGTTTTATTTTTGGCTTTGCCACTAACTAGCTTTGTGAACTTTCACAAGTTACTCCTCTTCCCTGGGCCTCAGTTTCCTCATCCACAAAGCTTAGAAGTTAAAACAGATCAGTATTTTGAATCTAGTTGGACACTAAACTCACCTGGGGGGAGGTTTAATATGTGTTTTCTTTTAAAAGCTCAGAGTGCCCCTCCCTTGTTCAACTAAATCAGAATCTCAGGAGGTGCAGCCCTAACAGGTGCAGAGTTCAGATTCCCCAGGTGATTCGAATTCAGTTAAGAGTAGAAATCAACTGGCTGGGCGTGGTGGCTCACACCTGTAATCCCAGCACTTTGGGAGGCCGAGGCAAGCAGATCACCTGAGGTCAGGAGTTTGAGGCCAGCCTGGCCAATATGATGAAACCCCGTCTCTACTAAAAATACAAAAATTAGCTGTGCATGGTGGTGGGCACCTGTCATCCCAGCTACTCTGGAGGCTGAGGCAGGAGAATTGCTTGAACCCAGGAGGTGGAGGCTGTGGTGAGCCAAGATCGCACCATCACACTCCAGCCTGCGCAATGAGCAAAACTCCGACTAAAAAAAAAATGAAAAAAATAAAGAGTAGAAATCATGGAACGTGGGGATTCTTAACATTCATTCCATGTGTATTATTATTTGTTTTTCTCACAGCTTAGCTTTAGTCCTAGGGATATGTATAGGTGCAAAGGAAGTGTTTCTATAACCCCATCCCATTCCTATTAGGTTTTAAGCCTTTTTCATAAATAGCTTTCTGAGAAACAGTAAAGTCTTTGGGGAAAAAACACACCACCCCTGTTTTTGCCACATTTGCTGTGAACACAGCATTCTCACCTCACACAAATCCATGTTCCAGAGAAACAGGGTGCTGCTGCCTTCCCAGAGAAATGTCCCACAGCTGCTGCGACTAAAAGGAGGTGACAGACAGAAAAGGAACAGATATGGCAACCGTCTGGATTGAAATAATCTTTGGGCTTTTCTTGGCCAAGGTCAGCCTTGGGGTTCCCATGTTGTCTAACTCCTCTGCGTTGTCCAAAATGGCCTGAAGAACTTCTGAACATGGACAATTGTCCAGCCCAGTCAGGTCCAAGGCCACCGCTGCTTGGGCTGTGCCATCCGCTTGACCTGGGCACCAGCCAACTCCAGGCATGTTTTCCTGTTTTCTTGGTAGAGCGTGCAGGTCATTAGCCTGAAATATTGGACTGCCATCTTTTTTCCCTCTTGGAAAATGAGACTGTTTTAAGATTATTTGCAGAGGAATTGAAATAAATTGAGTGATAAAGATTTCACAACAGCTGCTTGTCATGATTAATTATCACAGAGAGTCTGGGTGACAAAGATGCTCTCCTTGGCCACATTTTAGTCAAGCTCCTCTGAGCCCTGTTTTCAATGAGGCTTTGTTCTTGACCTTGTCTTCGGCTTGCCTGGACCAGTTTTAGCAGGAAATCCAGATTCATTGCCCCTAGTCCTTCAGCTAAATCCCTCTGTTAATAATCAATAACAATAAAGCAGCAAATATTTATAAGCCTCCCACTACAATGTCTGTTTTATGCTCAGAAGTCATATTGTATTAGTTTGCTAAGGCTACTATAAACAAGTACCATAGACTGGGTGCCTACAGTATATGTATATATACCATATGGTGGATCCACAGAAGAAATCTATTCTGTCACCATCTAGAGGCTGAGTCTGAGATCAGGGTATCCACAGGGTTGGCTTCCTCCGAGGCCTCTCTCCTGAGCTTGTAGGTGGCTTTCTCCCTGTGTCTTCACGTGGGGGTTTCTCTGGGTCTGTGTCCTAATCTCCCCTTCTTAAAATAACACCTGGCATATTGGATCAAGCCCACCCGAATGACTTTATTTGAACTTCATTACTTATGTGAAGACCCTATCTCCAAATAAGGTCACAGTCAGGTACTAGGGGTCTGGACTTCAACACATGAATGGTGGGCGGTGGGGGGATAGGGGGGCGATTCAGCCCATAACATATTGGTAGCATAGAGATGTATTTGTAATTTGATGTAGGATGGAGATCTATTGATATTTATCTTCAATTTGTTTTTGTTGCTATCGACCCATCTGGAAGAAATGAAATACTTTCTCTCATCCTCTGGAAGCCTGAGCTCTCCTTTCCCTGGGAGGGAGAGCCACTTGTTTGCTTTACTGTTTGAAAGAATAGAAGAGGATATTCCAGGACTGAGTTGGACACCCTAGAAATGATTCATTCAGAGTTTTGTGTTTAAAAGGTCTATGCCCTGAAGGGGATTTGCTGTATGTCCAAGAAAGGAAGGACTTAGAGTCTGGAGATTAAGGATTTAGGAAGGGAATGGTTTTGTGAAGTGGATTCTTTGAGGCTGGGAAGGGCAAGCAGGAAGTAGGGTGTTTAGGAAAGAGGACCTCCCTTGATCAACTGAATCAGAATCTCAGGGGGTGCAGCCCTAACACGTGCAGAGTTCAAATTCCCACGATGATTTGAATCCAGTTAAGAGTGGAAATCGACTGGCCAGGCGCGGTGGCTCACACTTTCCTCCCTCCCTCCCTCCCTCCCTCCTTCTTTCCTTCCTTCCTTCCTTCCTTCCTTCCTTCCTTCCTTCCTTCCTTCCTTCCTTCCGTCTCTTTCTTTCTTTTCTTTTCTTTTTTTTTTTTTCTGACACAGCGTCTTACTATTTTGATTTCAAACTCCTGGGCTCAAGTGAGCCTCCCACGTCAGCCTCCTGAGTAGCTGGGACTGCAGGGGTGCTCCTCTGCACCGGCCCATTCTCCTTTTCTTGCATGTAAGGATAGAACCTCTGAGTGTTAGCAGGGCACATGGCCACCCAACTAGACCCTACAATTCCAAGCCTTCTTACAGCTAGGTGTGGCCACGTGACTAAGCCTGAGCAGACAGGACGTGAACAGGAGTGCTCTGAATGGCCTCTGAGTCATCCTCTCTGAGACAAAGTGAAATGACCTGAAGTTTCTCTCTCCTCATCTCCAATAGGCCAGAGCATGAACATGAATGGAGGTGAGTCAGCTTCAACCGTGCCATGAGGACCTCACCCTAGGAGGTGGCAGAGACACCGGAGGAATGGAACCCAAGTCATGGAATAACCTCACATTGCAGAGCCACCTTGCTAATCTTGGACTGCTCACCTCTGGACTATCACTGGAGAAATAAATACACTTTTAAGTTGTTAAAGCCACTGTGTTTTAGAATCTTTTTATTACAGCAGCTTACCCATATCTTATACCTAGCAAGTAAGAGCTTGAGTCAAACTTTCTATAGTGAAGAAATTCAAATCAATTATACATGCTGATAAAGAATGCTAAAACAACTTCTTCCTTTAAAGAATCTGTTATAATTGATTTTATTTTAAAATCCATGAGAACCTTTAAGTAAATTATATTTCAGTGAGGGATGGCATCTTCTTTAGGACTATGAAAGCTTTTGTATATGAAAATCTTTTTGGTAGAGGGAGGATAACACTTTTTTTTTTTTTTTTGAGGCAATCTCGCTCTGTCACCCAGGCTGAAGTGCAGTGGCCCAATTTGGCTCAATGCAACCTCTGCCTCCCATGTTCAAGTGATTCTTGTGCCTCAGCCTCCTGAGTAGCTGGGATTACAGGTGTGCACCACCATGCCCAGCTAATTCTTTGTATTTTTAGTACAGACAGAGTTTTGCTATGTTGGCCAGGATGGTCTCGAACTCCTTGCCTTAAGTGATCTGCCTGCCTTGGCCTCTCAAAGTGCTGGGACCACAAGTGTGAGCCACCATACCTAGCCACGTTATGCTTTTTTTTTTTTTAATTAATACACTGTGGAAAACTTGAAAATTAAAAAATGAGTAAGAAGAAAAGTAAAATCAACTCAGTGGAACCCATCATCAGTATTTCGTGTTATATTCTTCAGGCTTCATTCTATACATACAGGGAATTTTATTTTTGAAATTGGATCATCTGCATATACGGAATTGCATACTGCTTTATTCCCTGTAACCTCATAGCATGAGTATACTGTATTTCAAAATCAGTAGAAATCCTTGGAAAACATATTTTCTTCTAGTTTCATATTTTTTCTCATGGCTAGTTTGCATTTTGTTTGACCATGGCCTTTTACTGAACATTTAGGTTGTATCCTAGTGTCTTTGCTATTATACATTGCAGTGACAGTCTATAATGGACAGGTGTCAAAGATGTAGAACATCTTTGAACACCATTCCTATATTTGGATAACTTGGTAATTTCCCACTTTCTGAGTTCTACCTTTGCAAGGCAGAAGCCAGAAGACTCTCATTCACAGATGCCTTTGGGCTACAGTTACAAACTTGGGACATAGATTCAGATACACCCAGTGACACAGCCTCAGAGGAGGTGGGTGACATAAGTAGGTCACCATGCACAGGGGTGTGTGTGGGTTGCCTGGCAGGGGTGGAAGAGGCAGCATATGGATTTCAAGGGCTGTGGTGGAAGAACACCTGTGTGCAGACCTCATGTTGAGCAATAGTGTCTGTCACATTTTGCTAGAGCAGTTTCTACGGCACAGTGGGCATTATTCCTGGCAGTGAGCCACAGGGCCTAGGATTTAGTGCTCCCAAAGATGAGTTCTCTGAGCTTTCTGCTATCCTGTAATAACGTCACATTTGGTTTAAATAGCCAGAGTAAATTTTGCTGAAGAGGATGTGAATCAACAAGAACTCTCATTCATCACTGATGGGAATGCAAAATGTTGCAGCTACCTAGGAAAACATTTTGGCAGCTTCTTACGAAGCTAAACGTGGTCTTACCTTGGGATCCACTAATCACACTCTTGGGTATTTACCCAATTGATTTGAAGACTCATATCCACACATGTACATGAATGTTTATAGCAGATTCATCTAAAACTGGGAGCAACCAATGGCTTTCAGCAGCTAAATAGATAAACATAGTATGGTATATTTATACAATGGAATGCTATTCTGAAATAAAAGGGAATGCATTGTTATGCCATGCAAAGATGTGGATGAATCTTAAAGGAATATTACTAAATGAAAGAAACCAGTCTGAAAAAGTGATATATAACTCTACGTATATTCTGGAAAGGCGAAACTGTAGAGATGGTAAAGAGATCAGTGGTTGTCAAGGATTCAAGTGGGTTGGGAGAGTTTAAAAAGATGAAGCACAAAGGATGTTTTTAGGGCAGTGAAAATATCCTGTATTATACTGTAATGATGGATACATGATATTATGAATTTGTCAAAACTCATGGGGCTGTACAATGCAAAAAATGGACTTTGATATATGCAAAAATCATTTAATAGATCATGGGATCTCAAGATGGAATACAGAATGTAAGAAAAAGAATATAACCATAATACATGTATACGAAGGAATTTCACTGAAGGGCTGGAGGAAACAGGTGGTGATCTAAGTAACTCTGGAAACAAGTGGAGTATCTATGAATAAAGGCAAAGGGAACTGTACATAAATACTGTATTCTTGTTGATAAAGTTGTTTCCTATAGGGGTAGGGTAATAATTCTGATACTTCTATCCATGTATACTGGAATTGAATGATTGAATAAGTAGATGACATAATGGGAGCCAGGTTTCTCACTGTTAGAGTGGGAATTTACAGATAAGTAAGGGGAGGAGGCTAGAATGATCCCTGGGGTATTAGAGTAGAGTTGGAGACATCAGTATGAACTTATGTTTAGCTTAATATTAATACAGATTGTTACATACAGAAATATTTATAGCTAAATGTATTTACATAGTTTAGTATACATACATGTATTTCCTTGCTCTGTTGGCTGAGAAAGACCCTAGTAGTAATGAGCATACTTAGTGCCCAGATATTGGTTTCTAATACCATTTTTCAAAAAAAGGATTCCTAGGGGGATTCTAAGGGGAGAGGGCTCGTTCTAGAACTGGGCAGAAATATACAAGATGATTCTGGAGTATCTGATAATGCTAGAAAACAAGGAAGTAATAAAAATAAAAGCAAAAAACCCACATTGATGGGGGTATGTCATAGTGACATAGGAGCCAACTGAAAGAGCCCCCAATGTCCAAAGCTGGAATAATTTGAGCAAGAAAATAAATAAAGTAACATTGGATTATAACCCTATGTATAAAATAAATATCCATGGATCCATACTGATATAAGTAAATGGTCGAATAAACAAGAGACAAATCTTCTGTGCAGAAGAATTCCAAATAGTTACATACATATATATATATAGCCCTCAAAGAGGTGGAGCATAACTTCCTACTCTGTAATTGTGGGCTGCATAGAGTGACTTTCTTCTAAAGAGTACAGCATGGAAACAGGAAAAAAGGGCAATTTTATAGTGGAGAAACTTGACAAACAAAACCTCAGCCAGGTGAGCAAGGTCAACATCAACCATGATAAATCATGTTTATGGTATGTATCCTTGATACGATGTGATGAAAATGACATTTTACTTGTATTGTCTTCCTCCCCAAAACCTAAAACCCCAGTCTAATCATGTAAAAAAAAAATGAGACAAATCTCACTTGAGTGACAGTACACAAAATGTCTGACCAGATCTTAAAACTTTTAAGGACTTTAAAAACAAGGGAAGTCTGATAAGTTTTCAGAGCAAAGAGGAGCTTAAGGACACAGGACAATTAAATATGTATAATGTGGTATCCTGGGTGGAATCCTGGAATAGAAACAGGACATTAGGTAAAAGCTAAGAAAATATGAATACAATATAGACTTGGTTAATAATATTATGTCAATATTGGTTCACTAATTGTGACAAACGTACCTTACTAATGTATGGTATTAATGGGGGAAACTGTGTGGGGTATATGGGAACCTTCTGTACTATCTTTATAATTTTTCAGTATATATAAAACTCCTCTAAAATAAAAGTTTATTTAAAAACAAAAATACACTTGTATGTTGCTGGTACTCATCCCATCAAAGTGTTGCAGTAGCTAGTGTTTAATTTATATTTGGGACATAGGTGATGTCTGCAAGATGGTGGAATAGGAGCTTTCTACCATCATCTCCCTGCAGAAGCATCAATTTTGACAATTACCCATGGACCTCTGTGAGAGTCTGAGTCCAGCAGAGATGTTCCAGCATACCATTGGAGCAAAAAATTCGAGAATAGATGCATTGAAGAGGGTAAGAAAAACAGTTTCACTTTACCCACATCACCTCTTCTCCAAGTGAGCACCCAACTCCCCCAGCCATGCAGGATGGTACCCAAGAGGCTCACTTCTTTCTCATCTCATCCAGAGGTAATCAGTACAGCTGAGTGGCCAGAAACACGGGAAGAGAGGTCAGGGACCCTATTGAGTGCTATGTGGAGTCTATTAGGAAGCCAACTACCAGCCACTTAGAACATTTCACCTGTGGACCCCCCACCTCAGCTGACCCACATCATCCCAAATGCTCCACATACCTTATCCCTCCCCCGGCAGGTTGGCTCCCTGAGTGTCCCCTGCAGATGGGAAGTGCAAGTGTGTCATATAGACCACCAGCTTGACTCTGCAGGATTGGGAGAAGGCACACAAACTTGAACATTTCGGAGCACTGCCCTAGGGAAAACAAACAGGAGGCTCTCAATCCCTGGCCTGGCTTTATGGGATCAAAACAAGGCCTATGACCCTAAGAATTTCTGCCTCATTTGTACAGGGAACAAGAGGTGTGGAGCAGATGCATTCATAGAAAAGGTCTAGAATCCCTAGCTCAGCTGATTGGTGAAGGCATTTCTCTCTCAAAGCCAGTCAGTAAAGACTGGAAGGGTAACTGATTCTTCTTCAGTGCAAAGAGAGCAATATAAGACTTCAAGAAACATGAAAAAAATCAAGGAAACATGACTCTACCAAAGGAAGACAATAATATTTCAGTAGCCAACCCCAAAGAAATGGAGATCTATGAATTGCCTACAAAGAATTTGAAGTAATTGTTATAAGGAATCTCAGTGAGCTACAAGAGAACACAGATAGACAAATCAACAAAAAATCAGAAAAACTAACACATGAACAAAATGAGAAGTTTAATTTAAAAAAAGAGAAATCATAAAACAAGAACTAAACAGAAATTCTGGAGCTAAAGAATACAGTGAATGAAATGAAAATGCACATCAAGTGAAAAAATGGGTTATTGGCTCTGGTTTAATATGCAGCGTTTTTCTTTTTATAATGGCTTATAACATGTGGTGCATCTTACCATTAATGAATCTTAGATTTGATTAAATACAATATCACCTTTTAAAAGTGTTTAAAAACTGATGGAAAAAAGATTTGTAATTTAAATTTGTAATTTTCTTTTGGGGATTAGTATCTTTCTTATTTGTACACTCTTTTAATACATTAGTAATATTAATTCTTCACCCCTCCTTCATGAGAAATATTTTATCCAATTTTTTTTTTTGCCTTTTAGTTTTGATTATGGTGTTTCATTATAGAGGGTCTTTCCTAGAACTTCCCACCAAGCAGGCTTTCATGGTTGGTGGGTTTTTGTTAAATGATTCCCAGGGAGCAGAGTTGAGGGAAGAATGGTGGACAGGGAAGGAGGGGAAGCCAGCACAAGGATGTGTTGTTGTGTTGACTGTGTAAGAACAAATACAAATTTAAAATAAGGGGCTTAGTTCTGTCTGTTGAAAATGAGGAAAGGGATTTTTCTTCCCTACCCCCTTTTCTTAGACACCTTTCCTTAGAAAATTTATAATTGTAAATTTATATTTTCCTCTCCTCAAAATGTATCCCTTATTAGACTAGATTGGGCTTTAGTCAGCTGGCCATTTTTGTTTTCAGCTTTATGATCCAGGAAGCTTGAGAGCCATCTTCTTGAAATGCAAATATCAAAAGAGATATCTCCTCTATCTCCTTTGGGAGGATAGGAGCCTAATTTTGGTGGGCACCTTGCTCTAATTTTCAAAACTGTCTCATGTTATAAACATATAAGAAATTAATTTTTCCACTGGATAAAGCTAATAAGCTAACCTAGATGGTTACCACAATTACCAGATGAATTTAAGAGGATGAACTACATGTGGCAAATGGTGCTGTCAAGTCCTTTTACTTGAGGATGATTTATTGTTTATCTTGAGAACATGTATGTGATGGGTCGTATATGCTTGGGTACATAAAGAGGTGAGCATTATTTCTGCCTTTGCAATCCTTATGGATTGCCGGTGATGCGCATGATATTCTAGTTTGTTTCTTATTCATTAGTAAAGGTGTTTTCTTCCTATATTACCACTGTAGAGAAGATTTCTGGTTTGGGAGATTTTGATTTTAATTATATTTCCCCAACAGCTACCACTAGAGGCAACCAGCTCCCAGTCTCATGGGATCACGACATGTGAGGATCATGAGACCTTTGAGGGAATGCATCTCAGGACTTTGCACAAGGTTCAAAGGGAGAAGCATGTATTTATTGGCTCCTGTACCCCACTGGTCTAGTGGAGTGTTAAGCCCCCACACTTGTGGGCTGTGCATGCCTGAATGAAGAGATTCTCACAGTTCTCGCCCACCAGCAAGTGATAGGCAGGAAGCGGGAGGTGAGACATGTGGGTGCTTTAGGTAAGACTTTGTCAGATGGTACCTGTGTGAAGCTAGTCAAAACGAGGGCAAAGTTGGTCTCTGCTGCAGTGGCTTGAGGAAGATGATTTGAAGTAGAGAATGAGGGGTGCCTGGCACACGTAGGCTTGTTTGTTTGCTTTTGAAGTAATAAAAATCTTAGAGTAGGTTTTTCTTTGACCTAGGATGCCACAATTTAACAACTGATGTTTCCTTATTTGGTAATGCTGCCTCTCAAGTATTTACTTACAAATGACACCAAGATGGTGATGGAGAAGCAAAAGAGCAGGAGTTAATCTACTACAGCATTGCATAGGATTTTAGAGTTTCTGTGTGCCTCAGAGAACACAGAATCTCGGTGCTGGAGGACACCATAAGCATCATCCAGGCATGGCATCGATCTGAAAGATGGATTCCCTTTTCAATAACCCATCACTTCTATCATTGGCTCTTTGCTGCCAGAGTTCTTTGGTGACAAAGGATTCCAAGTGATGGTAATGACAATGGTCTCCGTCTAATGTTAGTGTTTAAATTATTTTTTAATGTCACTAGAAAATTGAACAAGTAAAATATTTAGGGTATCATGCCAAGTAAACATTAAATTAGATAAAATAAATTTATAATAATATTAGTGTCTTGCTGCATGGATAAGGAAACCAGATATGTCTTATTTAAATAGACCAAACTATAGAACATCAAGATCAGCTGTTGCACAGCACAATGAGATAGATGTTATATAAATATATTCCATCAACTATAACGAGGGGTTGAATGTTTGCCACAAAAATAAAATAACATCACTCTGAGCTGAACATATTAAAGAAAACATGAATAAAAATATTCAAACAATGAAAAATAACCCTGCACCTACAGTGCATCAGCAGTAGAATTGCTTAAAGGAGGCTTGAATGAATTGATATCAGCTACTTTCATAAAAGAGAAGAAAGAAAAAGACTGTTAAAGAGAAATGCTCTGTACTTCTGAGACTGTGCTGCGCTATGTGTTCTTAGAGAAACCTAAGACATCAGTGGGAGTTGTCAAGCGTAGAACTGTTGCAGCAGAGATGCAGTGAGGCTGACAATATACCAGCCGAGAAAACCCAAATTACAGCTAAGTTAGACAAACAAATGATAAGGAGGCCTGTAAAATGGACCACTCTAGATAGCTGAATTAGATCCAGTCTAGTGATAATATTGGTACCAAAGAAATCAGAAACTGCAGTTAAGAAAACTATTAAAGAAAACATTCCAGGCATGTAAGACAGTTTATTTCTTGATATTTCTTTTTTTCTTCTTTCTTTCTTTCTTTTTTTCTTTCTCTCTCTCCTTCCTTCCTCTTTCTCTCTCTTTCTTCCTTCCACTCTCTCTTTCCTTTCTTTCTCTTCTTTCTTTCTCTTTCTTTCCTTCTTTCTTTCTTCTTTTTTCTTTCTTTCTCTTTCTTTTTTCTTTCTTTCTCTTTCTTTCTTTTTCTTTCTTCCTTTCTATCTTTCTCTCTCTCTCTCTCCTACCTTCCTTCCTCTTTCTCTCTCTTCCTTCCTTCCTTCCTCTCTCTCTCTTTCCTTCCTCTTCTTCCTTTCTCTTTCTTTCCTTCCTCCCTCCCTCCCTCCCTCCCTTTCCCTTCCTTCCCTTTCCTTCCTTCCTTCCTTCTTTCCTTCTTTCCTTCCTTCCTTCTTTCTTTCCTTCCTTCCTTCTTGCCTTCCTTCCTTCTTTCCTTCTTTCTTTCTTTCCTCCTTTTCTTTCTTTCTTGAAACAGGGTCTCACTTTGTTGCTCAGGCTGGAGTGCAGTGGTGCAATCATAGCCCACTGCAGCCTCCTATTCCTAGGCTTCAGCGATTCTCCCATCTGAGTCCCAAGTAGCTGGGACAATAGGCCTGCACCACCATGCCTGGCTAATTAAAAAAATTTTTTTTCGTAAAGATGGGGTCTCACCATGCTTCCCAGGCTGGTCTCACTCACTCCTGGGCTCAAGTGATCCTCCCACCTCAGCCTCTCAAAGTGCTGAGATTACAGGCGTGAACCACTGTGCCTGGCTGAGAGGGGTCTTTCTGAATGGAACAGAGGGAAGCAGGATTATTGTTCTGAGAGGATGGAGGGCCAGATTGAGAAATTAATTTCATACCTCTCAGGATTTTATCAGCTAATTTCCTGTGTCTAAAGCTAATGCCATGCTTAGAAAAAAATGGACATTCTGGCAAATGGCCTGGAGCTACCCATGTGATATGGGGAAATTTAGAACCTGAATCCCCTAAACTCTTCAAAGCTTCTTCCATTTGGAACTGGGATGCAATGTGAGATTATCACAAGGGCGAAGTCCTAAACCCGCATAACTCATTATTCCCCAGCAACGTTCTTAGGCTAACACTGTCAAGAGAAGGAGAGGCTGGGTGCGGTGGCTCACACCTGTAATCCCAGCACTTTGGGAGACCGAGGCGGATGGATCACCTGAGGTCAGGAGTTTGAGAACAGCCTGACCAACATGGCAAAACCCCGTCTCTACTAAAAATACAGAAATTAGCCAGGTGTGGTGGCGCGTGCCTGTAATCCCAGCTACTCAGGAGGCTGAGGCAGGAGAATTGCTGGAACCCGGGAGGCAGAGGAGGCAGAGGTTGCAGTGAGCCAAGATCTCACCACTGCACTCCAGCCTGGGTGACAGAGCAAGACTCCGTCTCAAAAAAAAAAAAAAAAAAAAAAAAGAGAGAGAAGGAGAATGCTGGTAACTGATCGAAGACCAAGATTGCTGAGTCACAGGAGCCAAGAAAACATGGTCACCTTGTTGCTGTTTCTAAGAAGCCTAAAAACATAACAATAACAACATAGTTAAAAAGTGTTCCTTTTTTTTTTTTTGCATTTGCCATGCATAAGTCTTTTGCATGCTCTATTTACAAATGACTTTATGTGAGCACTTTTATTACCATTTTATAGATGTGGAAAGAGGGTGAGAGAGTTAAAACTTGTACAAGATTGCATAATTAAGAAGTGCCAAGCTTCCAAAACAGGTCAATCTGACTTCAGAGCCTATATTCTTTCTTTCTTTTCTTTTCTTTTTTTTTTTTTTTTTTGAGACAGAGTCTTGCTCTTGTCACCTGGACTGGAGTGCAAGGCTTGATCTTGGCTCACTGCAGCCTACACCACCAGGGCTCAAGTGATTCGCCTGCCTCAGCCTCCTGAGTAGCTGGGATTACAGGCATGTACCACCACGCCTGGCTAATTTTTGTATTTTTAGTAGAGACAGGGTTTCGCCATGTTGGCCAGGCTGGTCTCAAACTCCTGGCCTTAGGTGATCTGCCCGCCTCAGCCTCCCAAAGTGCTGGGATTACAGGCATAAGCCACCTTGCCTATACTCTTAACCATTACATTACATGGCCCACTCAGGCTTTTGAATATGGAGAGTCTCAAATCCAGGTGATGAAATCACTGACATTGCGTATAACAGAGTCTCCCCAGATGAAACTGACAGACATCCCACTCTGGTTCCCTAGGATTTGCTTCCCCAGAAAAAAAAAACAACCCAGTCCTGGTGAAAAGAGATCCTTGCCGGTTTAAATAGAAAATTTCAGCCTCTTTAGCCATCCCCCACCCAGCTGCAAAGAATGAGGGCAATCAGCAGACGAGATCTGCCAGGAATATGTCCAGACACAGGCACACAAACAGACACGCACACACACTTCCCAAGCCAAAGAGCAGTTCTTTACTTCATAATTCTCCTTTCAGATGTGGTATTTAAGCAAACCAGGAAAAGCAAATCTTCCTAGTGGCCAGAACATGCTGGGGAAGAGAAGCTCGACAAACTGATGCTTAGGGGATTTTCTGGCTCAAACCAAGGGCCAGTGTATGGTACTGCTAAAGATCTCTTCCTCCATGGCCGCCCTCCCTTTTCTAAATGGGGGTATTTGTTGTGTTACCTTGTTTTTCTTCCCGAGAAAAGTCAGAAGTTATATATACTACATTTGCAGAACATAATCTAATTTTAAGATGCTCAAGGTCATCTAGTTTGATTAAATTTAATCATCTATCAAAACACATTATCTATTACTACCAAGTGTGCCCGTTTGCTAGGGCTGCCGTAACAAAGTGTCACAGGCTAGGGGGCTTAGACAACAGAATTTTATTTTCTCCCAGTTCTGGAGGCTAGATGTCCGAGATCAAGGTGGTGGCAGGGCTGGTTTCTTGGAGGCCTCTCTCCTTAACTTGCAGAGGGTCATCTTCTCCCAGTGTGCCCACATGGCCTTCCCTCCGTCATATCTGCATCTTAATCTCCTCTTCTTATAAAGAAGCTCATTAACATGAAGGCCTACCCTAAATACCTTATTTTAACTTAATTATTTCTTTAAAGAACTATTTCCAAATAAGGTCACATGCTGAGGGACTAGGGATTCGTACTTCCATATATGAATTTGGGGGAACACAATTCAGCCCATAACACAAAGCAAGATTTCTATGATAGTCTGACTCCATTTCCGATGTGTGACTGCTGGTACATTTCATGCCCCACACCATTCTGCCCCACATCTGGGCAAGCTGATCAGAAAGCTCACATGCTCCCTCATTTGGCACTGGCAGCAAGTTCAAACAACATAAGCCCCAGCCCATACGTGGGCATCCTCACCTCTGGCTCAGCCTCGAACCGCAATGAAAAACCAAGCCAATCTCCTTTCCCTGCTCTCTCAAGCCATTGCTGTACCTGCCTGGGAGCCTGCCCTGCTCTTCCCAGAAAGCCTCATTATGTGAGTGACAACTCTCAATATCCTCTTGGAGTGTGTGTGGTGTCATCAGTCTCAACATCCAAACCAAATTTTGCAAAGGAGAGTTCCATCCTACTGCTAAAGGATGACCCAAAGAGTTTGCTTCGAATATATGACTAAGATAATACTTACAAAATCAACTATATAATTCATAATGTTAACATAAAACATATCATCATTTTATTTATTTATTAAACTTTTGAAGAGTGCTGGTCAAAAGTTTCAGTTATTTTTATCAGTATGGGTTCATGGATATTTATTTTATGAGTTATAACTCATTGCTACCATTATTTATTTTGTTGCTCAAATTGTTCCAGATTTGAGTTTGAATATTTGGATTTAGTTTATTTTAGAGTAGAGGTCTTGCTCTGTTGTCCAGGCTGGAGTTCATGGCATGATCATAGCTCACTCTAACCTCGAACTCCCAGGCTCAAGCAATCCTCTTGTCTCAGCCTCCCAAGTAGCTGGGACTACAGGCATGCAGCTAATTTTGTAATTAAAAAAAAAAAGCCTTTTTTTTTTTTTCTTGTAGAGACAAGGTCTTACCATGTTGCCCAGGCTGATCTTGAATTCTTGGGCTCAAGAGATCTTCCCATCTCAGCCCCCAAAGGGCTGGGATTACAGGCATAAGCCAACCCACCTGGCCCATATAATTCTTTTCACAGATGTCAAGAATCAATCTCTTCTTGACTAAAAACAAGTATATAAAAATAATAGGAATGAAGTATTCATTTCTTTACATTAAAGAATATATGTTTAAAACCAACTCAGCATTATACTTAGTGGAAAATACTAGCACCACTCCTCTTTAAATATAGGAACAAAGGTGAGATGTAGCCTATCATCACCCTCTTTAGTAAGTGTTTGTGCCAGTTATGAAGCCATTGTCTCTCAGCTCTAAGCCTACTTTTCCTTGTCCTGCTCTGTGACGGTGGGGCTGAGACTGCAGAAAGCATCCCTTTTTTGCCAGATGGCTCCATGTTAGGGTCTATCAGTAGAGGCACTACATGGGATTGGGAGGTGGGAACAGAGGGAAGGGAGTCGGTCCTTCCTGTTTTGCTCTTCCTGTTGGTTTGTCCTAGCAATGACTTTTCACTCCAGCAGTAGTGGTTGGTCCAATCTCCAGCTTTCTTCCTGATACATGCAGAGCCAACCTCAGCACACTCATTTAGAGATAGCCTACGTCTCTCCTCAGAATTCTGGGTCCCACTCTGCAAAACTTCTCCCCAGACTCCTGAGATAGCAGCAGCTGATGATGATGCTCCTTACTTAGAGGCCTGGAGCCCAACTCTGTAGATCCTCCTCCAAGTTTCTAGGTTCCAATTACTCCAATCTCTTCCCTTTATTCCCCCAGCTTCTTCCTGCAGTTGTAATCTCTATATTACCTCAGTGTTATCTTTTTGCATTCTTCATCCTTCAATGAAAATTTAACCAAAGGCAATCTTTGTGTTAAATTCTTTCTGTGGTTTCTGTTTTTCTGACTAGACCATGGCTGATACGGTATTATAAGTGCTAGACATAGCTACTTAAGAGTAAAAATAAATAAGAGCTATAAACATAAGAAAGGAAAGAAGCTATCATTTTATTTTATTTTAATTTATTTATTTTTTTTTTTATTTTTTGAAACTGAGTCTCGCTGTATCACCCAGGCTAGAGTGCAGTGGTGTGATCTCATCACACGGCAACCTCCACCTCCTGGGTTCAAGCGATTCTCATGACTCAGACTTTCCAGTAGCTGGGATTACACCCGCCACCACACCCGGATAATTTTTGTGTTTTTAGTAGAGATGGAGTTTCACCATGTTGGCCAGGCTCGTCTTGAACTCCTGACCTCAAGTGATCCGCCCACCTCTGCCTCCTGAAGTGTTGGGATTACATGTGTGAGCCACTGTGCCCAGTCAGAAACTATCATTTTAAACACAACTAATTTGAAGAAAATATACCAGAAAGTGAAAAAAAAATTTAAAAAGACTATAAAAGCTGCAGGAAAAGAAAAGTCTAAAAAATATTTTTGTTCTTATATATTTGATATACAATTAGAAAATACAATATAAAAGTCCAAATCACAGCAGCACAGAAAATATAAAGGGAGAAAGAGATTTTAAAAACCTCACCACATTAATAACAACCACTACAGCAGCAACGACAACAAACTCCTATTTAAACTGAGCCTGCAAACCAAAATTCCAAAACACAGAGAGAAATGCCAAGAAAGTTATCCAGCAAAATCAATAATGAAAATATCTCTCATAATTTCATATCATATGAAGTTAATTTTATGAAATAGAAGAAGTCTCTTAAAATGTTTAGCATCTACAAAGAGATAACTGAAGGAATAACATTAATATTTAAATACTTAAAAATTATTAAATAAAAGCTAGCAGAAATGATAAAGAAATAGGTTCTTATTTTAAAAGTGCTAATTGGAAAACTGAGAAAGAGAATTTTTTAGTTAAACGTACAGAGTAAACTCTAGAGGGATACTGTCAAAAAAAAATTCCATGAATTGACAGTTATTACAGAGGAGTTCACCTGGAATAAATCACAAAGAGGCAAAGGCATAAAAATATGAAATAACAATAACCATGGAGGATAAACTGACAAGCTAAAATACATGTCTCATATGAGTTCCCAAAGAAGAATTTTGAAGAACCAGCAGAGAAGAAATAAATAAAACAACAGTGGCTGAAAATTTTCTAAAATGAAGAAATAAGCACAACCTCGGATTAAAAGTACACTCTGAATAATTTGCAGGCTAATTAAAAACAAATTCATTTCTAAACACACAAGAGCAAAAGTGTAGGATATTCAGGATAAAGAGAAAAACCTGAGAAGTTACCAGAGAATTACTAAGGTATCAAAAAGTGTTCACTTTCAATTTTATACCTAGTTATATAACCATTCTTAACTGGGCTTACAATTAGGACATTTTTCAGACTATACAACTCTACAACAAGTAATATGAGAATATAACACCATAGTAGAAACACAACTTCTGAGAGATGAGACGGGCTATAAGAAGCAAAGATGAGCAAAGAAAGTGATATATAAATATATATATATAAATATATGTATATATATATATATATATATATATATATTTTTTTTTTTTTTTTTTTTTTTTTTTTTGAGACAGGGTTGCCCAGGCTGGAGGGCAATCGTGTGATCTCCACTCACTGCAACCTCCACCTCCTGGGCTCAGACCATCCTCCTACTTCTGCCTGTTGAGTAACCAGGAATATAGGCCTGCACCACCATGCCTAGCTAACTTTTTAAAAATATTTTTGGTAGAGATGGGGTTGGTAGAGACAGAGTTTCACCATGTTGCCCAGGCTGGTCTTGAACTCCTGAGCTCAAGTGATCTTCCCACCTCGGTGAAAGTGATAAATTTTTAATAAATTTAAATAACTTGGAAAGATAGTGATTACTATTTTTTTGTAAAAAAGTAGAAAAACAATGACAAAGTGAATGCAGGGTTAAAATTTTGAAATAACTGTACACTGTATTAGAGAAATTCATAGTTAAATATTTACGTCAAAAAGTAAGCACAATCACTAACAGAATAGAAATGCAATTGACATCAATACCAGTAGAAAAAAAGATAATGGATTTTTTTTTTTTTTGAGACAGAGTTTTGCTCTTATTGCCCAGGCTGGAGTGCAATGGCATGATCTCGGCTCACCTCAACCTCTGCCTCCTGGGTTCAAGCAATTCTCCTGCCTTAGCCTCCTGAGTAGCTGGGATTACAGGCATGTGCCACCACACCCGGCTAATTTTGTATTTTTAGTAGAGATGGGGTCTCTCCATGTTGGTCAGGCTGGTCTCCAACTCTCGACCTCAGGTGATCTGCCTGTCTTGGCCTCCCAAAGTGCTGGGATTACAGGCATGAGCCACCATGCCCAGCCAATAACGGAATTATTAAAAACTTATTTTAACAGAAGGCAGGTAAGAAGAAAAAATAATGAAGCCAAGAAAAATGACAAATGGAAATCCAGACCTCTGAGGAAGGAGCGCTGCTCAGCTGGAGCTGGGATCTTTGAGCTTTGACTAGGGGATGAGAAGAGACAATAGAGCTGGTTCTGCAGGCATTGGAAAAATTGCAAACTGGATCAAGATACTTCCGGAAGGAACTACTGCTGTTAGGGTGAGGAAGTATCTTTGGGATAACATTCACAGGAACAGAAAGCTGACAGTAAGTCACACAGGAAGTAGAAAGGAAGTCATATAGGAAGTAGACAGGAAGTCACACGGGAAGTAGACAGGAAGTAGACAGGAAGTCACAGGAAGCAAGTTGGAAGAAATAAATCCCTTCTTTCCTTCCAGATTTATAAACTTCCGCTGGTACCCCTATTGATGGAGTCAAACATGGAGCTGTTGGCAAAGCAGAAATGTCGTTTGCAGAGTTTGAGCCCCAGTATCACAAAGCAGAATGTAAAAGCCTGAATTTCAAGCTAATGGATAATAACCCAACAATTGGCACACATGTTTCTTCACTCTGTTTCTTCCAGCACTATTTAATGAATTATTGTCTTGTCCCCATAGGTTTTTTTTTTTTTATGGTGAAAAACAACTTACAAGCAGAAGATACTATGACTTTACTGAAAATACTCATAACAATCTTTCATGTAAGGACTTTACTGGCTATTCCTTTACAGTGCTTTACTTTGCTGAACTTGTACATACACCAAGTCAATTTACAGTTGGGGAAAAGCCTTGTAACTATTAAATCCTCCGAACTCACCTTCCAACTCCCAAGTACATAGGGGTTATGTCACCATCCTAAGGATGTTATGGGGACATTAAAATGACAAATGTGCTAACTAATGTCAAAGATAGACATGGTTATATAAAATTTAAAAATGAAAAAAAAAACCAGAAGACAACATCTTAGGTGTCCCTTATATATGATAATGTAGATTTTATAGATGTACATGAAAGGATTGGAAGTAAAATTAGAATAGTGTAAATTAAATTGAAATAAGTCATTGCAGCTCAATGTTCCATTTTTTCTTCCCATAAAATTATGCAAGTTCATGATTGTTTTTTAGTGGAAAAAATGTGAGAAAATTTGCTCATTCATGTTTCCCAAACTGCTTCTCTCTCTAATCTCCATGTCCCTTTTAATGTTTTTTTTTTGTATCTTCTTTGAACAAATAAAGTAATGTTGGTTTTGTCTGACTTATACCCCCAGCTTTTTAAACATTTTATGCTTTTACAGCTGCTTATTCTAATATTCACAGACTGAGTGGAGTTCACCCTCTGAATTAATTCTCAAAATAAGATTGAGATGTACAACTGAAGAAAATTCACTATAAAAACGATGACTATCCATCATATAGTGTATTGTTGGCTCCCTTGGTTTTTAAAAGTAATAACATTGCCTGACTTTGTCCTGCTTTGTGCAGAATAAGACACAATGAAGGTATTTTGTGTGCTGACAATAAAACATAGTGGAGAGGAAAATGAAAAAGCTGCTCCTGGGAAAATGTTTTCCTTCAGTAGGAAACTCTTTGTCCTTGGTTGCAGGAGCACAGAGAGAACACAGACATGAAGACCCAGTTCTTCTCCCAATCACAAACATGCCTTTGGCACTGATCAAGGTACCCCAAGGAATGAGGACTGAGACAAAAGACTGTTGAATTAGGATGATCTCAATTTTTCTTTTACTGCACTCAAGGCTGTTTAATAAATATTGTTGCAACCAACCTCTTTTTCTGCATCATTTCTTTTGTTCTTCTCTTTATTTTTCCATACATTTTAAAGGAGGGTTATTCTAAGAGTTTAATTCAATATAACAACTATTTATAAGGGAATTATTATGTGAAAGATATTCCAAGTTCTCTAAAAAAATTTCTTTTCCCTTTTAAGCTAGCTTGAGTTTATTATATGTAGCCAAATAATCCTAACATGCATGCTCATTTCTTGTAAAACCAAGTTTAGACTCCTAAGAACTGTTCAGAGCTCTATCTAACCCAGCCTTTATTCACTTTCTGAACCTTATTCCTTATTGCTTCTTAATTAAAACCTTTCTCTGACCAGCCTGCTGGCCTCTGTATTTGTAAACCCACCCGGCTCATTCCCCTACCAACCACAGCTTTGCGCATTTCAGTCTTACCTTCACTGTTTGTTCCCTTTTTAAACCCCAGCTGTCTTTCAAAACCCACTTATTTCAAAACTCTCCTTCACAGTGATTACTCTTCTTTGGATTATCTGTGGCCTTTCCTGTTTGTCCAATTTATTTGGCATTTGTCCTACACATTCATGAATCATTATTGCTTTTTTTCTGTGTATGAATAAAATTATAAGATCCATGGGCTCAGAAACCACATGTTTTGCTTGTGTTCTAAAGGAGAAGCAGAAACACTTTCTCATTCACTACTGCTGCCAGGTCACTTGCAAAAATTACACCCAAATAGGAGATTCCCCTTTTGCTCTGAGAAGTGAAGCTAACCCTTACACTCATTCACTAAATCCATGTTTATTGAGCACATTGCAAGTGCCAGGTACTGGCAACACGGATACACAAAGGGATCCGCCCTTGCAGGCCTCATAGCTGACTGCGGCACAAACAGGTCACATGGAGCCTTGTGCAGAGCCCAGAGTGTTTGGAACTTGGTCTTCAGGTGACCGATGGTGAGAAAGTACTGAGCTGACAGAGAGGGAGAGCATTCAAGAGTCCAGTCTTCAGTTGCACGTGTTCTGTGAAACCAGCAAAGCCCCACACCTGTTGATACTTTAGAGGGGATAGATACACAGCTTGCTCCAGAATATGCTTTCTTCTAGAATTTGAGTTCAGCTGAGATACAGACACAGAACCCAGCCTGATGGAGATAACAACTTGAATGCTGCAAAAAACCAGAATGAGGGTGTGACCTAGGTTTGTGGCAAGAGGAAATGCTATCATTCCTCTGAAATAAACTTACCCCACCAGTGGGAGGCCTCACCTACAGACAACATCAGCCCAACTAAGCTCACTGCATACCAGGAAGCAAACCGGGCTCTAAGGAAAATCAGCTTCTAACCCAGGTGAGAACTTTCAGAGAAACAGAGAAGATACTTCATAGTTCCCACACTCTGCTTCTGGAACCCCCGATGCATAATGTCATCTCCATCTTTCTCTCTGGGACTCTGGGGAGTCACAGAAGCAATGTCTGTCAACATGCTGCCATCTGGGAAGGCATCTGGAGGGGTGGGGAGTGAGAGAAAGCTCTGAAGGGCAATGTCATAGGAAATGCAAAATGACTTGGGTTTAAATGCCACTTCTGTCATTTATTCACTATAAAACTCTGTAAATAATTTCACTGAATGTCATTTTCCTCTTCTGTAAAATGGGAATTTTACTTCATAAGGTTTTCATTAAAAATGTACCTGGTATATTACAGATCTCAAAAAGTGCTTCTAAAATTTTTATTTTAAAGGTGACTTTTGGGGCCAGGTGCAGTGGCTTACGTCTGTAATCCCAGCATTTTGGGAGGCTGAGACGGGTGGATTGCTTGAGTCGGGGAGTTTGAGACCAGCCTGGGTAACCAGGTGAAACCCCGTCTCTACAAAAAACACAGAAATTAGCTGAGTGTGGTGGTGCACGCCTGTGGTCCCAGGTACTTGGGAGGCTGAGGCGGGAGGATCGCCTGAGCCTGGGCAGTCGAAGCTCCAGTGAGCCGTAATGGTGACACAGAGCAAGATCCTGTCTCAAAAAAAGGATGCTTTTTGGGTTTCTAACTTACCTCCTAATTAAGTAAATAATTTGTTGCCTAGTAATAAAAAGATAAAAGCAATAATTTGCTACAAAGGGGACATTGTTGATACTATGTCTATATATTCAAGCTTAGGGGAAAGAGTGAAAACACATCTAATTTGGTTTAATTTCTCCTCAGCACCCGATAAAATGTAAGTATTTGGGAGTTGCTGGGATGCGGACAGTTGATAGCAAATACATTTAAAATTATAGAAGTGCGGCTGGGCGCCGTGGCTCCCTGTAATCCCAGCACTTTGGGAGGCTGAGGTGGGTGGATCATGAGGTCAGGAGTTCAAGACCAGCCTGGCCAAGATGGTGAAACCCCATCTCTACTAAAAATACAAGAATTAGCCAGGCATGGTGGTGGGCACCTGTAATCCCAGCTACTCGGGAGGCTGAGGCAGAGAATTGCTTGAACCCGGGAGGCAGAAGTTGCAGTGAGCTGAGATTGCGCCACTGCACTTCAGCCTAGGCGGCAGAGTGAGACTCCATCACAAAAAATAAATAAATAAATAAATAAATAAATAAATAAATAAATACAGAAGTGCACAGATCTTATGGATTTGTCCAAATTTCATCCTGTAATACTGAATATTTTAGAAATTTCAGACGTGTTGACTTAATGTGGCATCAGAGGGATGGGTAGTCCTTATGGTGTGCAATCATCACCTGGAATGCCACACTGTCCTTCTCCTACATTGAACTCCAGGGTATGATTATTCCATGTGTGCCTACCCTCCTGTGTTAATTACTGTGATGGATTGTTTCACTCTCTGAGATGACATTCCTTTAATTTTTTTTCCAACAGAAAAACATAAAACTACTCAGTAGGAACAAGGAGCATTCTGTTAACAGAATATTTAATAATTGCTTTTGATATTTAACTCGATACTTATAATACCATTTAAATAAGCAGTCTCTGAATAAAACTACCGGTTTAAATTCAGGTAAATAAGGTAGCACGTAAAGCAATAAGATAATTTCGAAACCAGGAAAAAAGAAAATTGGTGATTTGCAATAGCAAAGACATGGAATCAACCCACGTGGCCATCAGTGATGGACTGAATAAATAAAGTGTGGTACATATACACCATGAAATACTACGCAGTCATAAAAAAGATCAAAATCACGTCCTTTGCAGCACCATGGATGCAAGCTGGAGGCGATTATCCTAAGCAAACTAATGCAGAAACAGAAAACCAAATACCACATGTTCTCACTTAGAAGTGGGAGCTAAACCTTGGGTGCACATGGACATAAAGATGGGATCCATGGACACTGGGGAATGTAAGAGGGGTGGGAGAGGAGGCAGGGGCTTCAAAACTACTGGTTGGGTACTATATTCACTACCTGGGTGACAAGTTCAATCGTGGTCCAAACCTCAGCATCACACAACATACCCATGTAACAAACCTGCATGTTTACTCCCTGAATCTAAAGTAAAAGTTAATAAAATAAAATAAAACTGGTGCTCTGTTGATTGAGAAATTAACAGCATCTTTATTTTATTCAACAAGATCTATTGACCGTCATGTGACCTCATGTAACCTCAAAGGAATCACACTCAAAAGCAGGAAACACACATACAAATAGGGACTTTCCAGAGAGAGACAGAGTCCCTGAATCACATCCATTTTTTGAGGTTCCTGATGTACCACAAATAAATAAATTAATTAAATAGTTATAGTTGGGAAACATGATTATAAAAATGGTAGTAGACTTTAAATGTTTGCACTTAACAACAGAAGTGGCGTGATGGAAAACTTCTTTTAATCCTGTCAGTGCATCTCGTAGCTATTTATATAACCTAGTCAGAGATAACATCCAACAGCTGACTCGGAGGCCCTTTGTAAATAGGCCCTGATATGCACAGATAATGCAAGGGCTCAGCCCTGGTCTTAGCGGCCACTTTTGCAAGCAAGATCTACAAGATTTCCGCTGACTGGAGTACTTTGGGTCTGTGTTTACGTGGGCCAAAAGAAACGAAGAGATGAGATGAATATCTGGCTAATTCAGGTAACATCCTCCTCCCCGAACATTACTTTTAAAGAAAAAGCGAGAGGCTTGAGCTGGAATGAGGAGAGATGGATGTAGAATAAGACAACTGTGCACCGGCCTACATGAACAGCTGTGGCCCCAACCATATCACACCTCATGCCTCTGCCTAGCTGCTTTTGTGATGCAGGCCCCCAAAGCCACACTGTGTCCCCATCCCACAGGTTGGACTCTCACCCACACATCTCTTCCCCCTAGAGTTTGGGACACCAGAGAGCCAGGCTGCCTGGCAGCTGGAGTCACTAGGATCCCTAGTCTACGCGGGAAGAGAGACAACTCTGGCTGTGGTCAACTCGATTTGAATCCTGTCTCCAGAACATGTGGCCTTCGTTGCTTCATCTCTACATTTCAGTGTCCTAAACTGTAAAATGGGGATAACCGCAATTGTAGCCACCTTACCAAGTTGAGGCGATGAACCCTAGATTGTGTAGCTCCTCGTACGTGTTTTCTCAAAGGTGGTGGTGTGTGGTGAGACACCCACAACTAGTTTGAGCACTCACTGATGATTCTTGCCTAAATCAATTATTGGTATGATAGTTGCAAAATGGCAACCAAGTTCAGCATTCTCTCTAAACTTATTAATTATACTAGAAGATCTTTCCATTCTTCCATTCTCTTGTGTACTTATTTTTGTTTAATCAGTGTGGATTAACGGATTCTTATTTTACCCAACGGGTTATAATCCATTATTATTATTATTGATCTTGACGCTCACGTTTCCCCAGACTTTGATCAGTGAGAGCTTCTGCAAGCTGTTCCCCATGTCCTTTGAATGTATCCTTTTTTTTTTGAGTACTTTTTTATTTGTTATGGCATAACAAAGCATTCCAGGCTCATAGTACATTTTCCCTGCCCCACTCTTATAATTGGCTTTTTTTTTTTTTTTTTTTTGGAGAAGTGCTGCTTCTTTTTACTGGGAAACAGTATATAGAATCTGACATCTGGGTGCTAGGCATGTTTATTGCTTTTGGGTATCATTGTTTCTAGGCCGTTTCAGCAGAAAAAACTAGAGAATACACACAAATATTCACAAATGTAATTATATCTATACAGTATTTAGAAACCATGAATTCCAATTCAACACCGCAAGGCTCTTCTTAGCCTTTTACCATTATGTATTAATATTTTCCTTCTCAACGTCATCAATACGTGTACTCATTTGTTCACTCCTACATACATAGCAAGTTGTTTAGAATTGCTAGCCCACAACACTGCTAAAATAAGCCCTACTTAAATACAGTTCAAGATTTGCTTGCAATAGGCTTTTTCCTTGTAGTCGAAATACTGTGTTAAAAAGTTCCTCAGGGTGAGTTTATTTTTTAAAAACAAAGTTATTTGTGTTAGTTCCCCTCCCTTTTACTGTAGTCACGCTCTCTATTTTAAATACCATTGAGTTCATTTGTTTCTGTTTGTGTTACATCTTAGGACTTCCCCTCCTCCATCTTATTGACATAGTTTAATTTAATTTTATTTAATTTTGGTGTATGTAAACATTAATGTGGTTCTGGAAGTCCATACTATACAAAGAGATATTCTTTTCACAAAAATAAGCTAATATATATATATATATATATATATATATATATATATATATGTCTAACATCTATATCTGTATGTCTTTCATACACAAAAGATACCAATATATGTACTCCTTTGTTCTTTTATTATTATTATTATTTTGCTTAACAACATGCCGTAGAAATGATTCCATATCAGTTCAGATATATTCCTTATTTTTTATAGCTGCATAGTGCTCCATTGTGTGGATATACCATACAGAGTTTTAATGGATTTTCACATCTCACTTTATCTTTGCAATGCCCTGTGAGGGAGAATGTATGTTATTATCCCCATTTCATAGTTGAGAAAATAGATTCAGAGAGGTAACTGATGAGTACTGACAGGGTGGGAGCTGAGACTCAGTCTTGAGTTTGAGGCCAGCCCTCCTCTGACTGCTGTGCTGTTAGTCTCGAGATCTCTCATCCCTCTATGGCAGTGGTCCCCAACCGTTTTGGCACCAGGGACCGATTTCATGGAAGATAATTTTTCCAGGGGCTGCGGGATGGTTGCGGGATGAAACTGTTCTGCCTCATATCGGGGCATTAGTTAGATTCTTATAAGGAACGCGCAACCCAGGTCCCTCACATGCACAGTTCACAGTAGGGTATGTGCTCTTATGAGACTCTAAGGCTGCCACTGATCTGACAGGAGACGGAGCTCAGGCAGTAATGCTCGCTGGCCCGCGCTGTGTGGCCTCTTGCTGTGTGGCCTGGTTCCTAACAGCCCACGGATCAGTATCCGTCCGTGGCTTGGGGGTTGGGGGTTGGGGACCCCAGTCTACACCTTAAGGTAATTCAGTGTTTGTGGGCTAGTCTGGAATGGTGACCACTATTTATAGTGTCTCTAGGTTTAATTGTAATAATAATGTGTTCTGAGTTCTAAACAATCATTAAAACAAAATTTAGTAAAGTATCCTACATCAGGGTCCTGAGTATGTTCCAGCTTGGTAATTTAAGAGGAGTTAGTAAAGGACCTTGTTGTTGCAGGGAAGTAGAAATTAGAACAATAGTGAGACACTATTTCCTAACCATCAGATTGGCCACAATTAACAAGCCTGACTATACCAAGTGTTGAAGAGGACATAAAAAAATAGAAATGCTTATATACTATTGATGGGAGTATGGATTCAGTCAATCACTTTGGAGAACAATTTGGCAATATTTTAGAAATTTAAGACTATACATAGCTTTAATGTAATTAACATATAGTGGGTTTATTAGTGATTTTTAAATAAGTTAACATATATTTTAAGATTTTCTCAGTTTTAATCTCTACTATGATAAGTGTTGATAGCTATAACACACATACACAAATTTCACTGTGTTCCTAAATAAACGTCGGCAGGATGAAGAGGTACTGAGACAAAAATGTCTTCAAACTGCCGTCCTAGAGAAATGCTGAAATATGCACATAAGGAGAATTGTTTAAAAACATTGTCAGATTGTTGATAATAGTGAAAATGTGAACACAAACGTCCACCACGAGAGCATAGACAAATGGAGTGCTGTATATTCATACAATGGAATTTTATATAGAAACTAAAATGAATCAACTTGGATAAATCTCAAAAACCATGCTGCATGAACAAAACAAGTCGTAGAATGTTGCATGGAGTATGACATATTTTCTTTAACTTAAAAAATTTGCAAACGTGCAGTGGCTCATGCCTATAATCCCAGCACTTTGGGAGATTGAGGCAGGTGAATTGCTTGGGCTTAGGAATTCGAGACCAGCCTGGGCAACATGGTGAAACCCCATCTCTATCAAAAATAAAAAATCTTAGCCAGGCGTGGTGGTACACATCTGTGGTCCCAGACTTGGGAGGCTGAGGTGGGAGGATCACTTCAACCTGGGGGGTGGAGGTTGCAGTGAGCTGAGATCACACCACTGCAAACCAGCCTGGATGGCAGAGTTGCAAAACAATTTCATGTAACATGTAACATGCATACATCCATGTATGTGTAATGAAAGCTTAAAAACACTCCTGGGAATGATGTATTCCAACTTCAAGATAGAAGGCTTCAACTCTATTATATGATGTTTTAAAAAAGATATATCTGAGATAAATATGCGAAAATATTAAGATTTTGTGGGGGTATAAAGGTAATGGTTACTATTCTATGTATTTGAAATACAGAAGAGGAAGGAAGAAGAGAATGAAGGTTACTTAGATAATTATTGGAGATGGAATAATTATCTGAACAGATTATCAAAGATCCCTTGAAGCAAGAAGAAAGAGCACACAATAATATGAAATCATGCTGTGGAAGATTCTAGGTTCTTTGAGAAGGAAGGAAGGAAGGTTGTTGAAGTACTTAATAAAAAGTCAGAAGAAGGAAATGAATATTTATTGGATGGTTCTTACGTGGTTGACACTATCTCATACAATATTTTACTCAACCTATAAAGAACCCAGCAAGGTGTAATACATAGCTTTTGGGATAATAATACATTATCTCAAATTTACAGACGAGCAAATCAGAGCTCAGAGGGGTGGCCCAGGGTAAGTACACAGAGGAAGCCGACTTTGAGTCCAGGTCTTCTTGACTCAAGAGAGCTTTGCACTATTCGATTCTATGTGTGCCTCCTAAGGAGAAGAGAACACAAAGAGAAGAGATTAGAGGAGACAGCATTTCTCTTTAATGATACTTCGTATTTACGGTAACTGAGGGGTTCAAAGAATTCTAGAGCCATCACGAATTAATTCTCATAAATTATGCTGACTGTATATGAGAACCTTTACGAAACATGAAGTTTCATCATGATCAAGCAATTTCCCCTCGATTAGGACATTAGTTGCAATGTGTGGAATATAATTCTGTTTTTGTTTAGCAGAATAAAATAATCACACTGATCACATCTGCCTTTTGGGGGAATCTTGATCTTGTTTTTTTCTTTGAACCATGATTCATTTCATTTTGAACCAATGAATGAATGAAAAAGACATTTGTCGAGCACTTTTCTGTGCTGTGCTAAATGCCTTCTTACACATGACCTCATGCAATCATCACAGCAATTGTTTGAGGGTTTTTTTTTATCACCCCCATTTTATAGATGAAGCAATGAAGGCTCGGAAGTCAGAAGAGACTTACTCAGAGTGACCCAGCAAGGGGTGCACATGCTGTTTCCAACTCAGGCCTATCTGGCTTTTTCATGTTATGCTTTTGGACAATTGTTAACCAACCATTCTTAGGATAAGACCTTAAGCTGACTTTGAAATACTTGTAAATTCTTAGGGGCTGCAAAGCTCTCCTTTGTGAGGAGAAACCAAGTGAGAGCCACACTGCCTGCTGCTCATTGAAGGCTTCCAACAAGCGCTTTGCACGCTGCCCACATATTTTGCTGGCATTGCCCCTTCTTGATGAACCATCGCCTGCTGCTTTAGAAGCCAGGCTTAAGCAATAGTGGAATTATTCATATTATTACTATTGTAATGGTAGTCATTTCAAGCATGAATTCAAAATGTTTACTTTTATTGAAGTAATAGTGGTACATAGTTAAATGTTTCCAAAAGGCTTAAAACGTTCATAATCAAAGAGAACAGTCCCTTGCCTATCTTCCCTCCACAGTCCTGTTCCCAGAAGGAACTGCTGTAACCTTCTGGTTGTGCCTTCAGCAATATAGCTCCACGTTTAAAAATAATTTGCAAACCTGCATTCTTTTGATCCATAAATTTTAGACAGAATGCACTGAGGTTCAATAGTGGTAGACAAGGATTTAGCTCTGTTATCATCCCTCCCATCCTTCCATCTTCCTAATATTTTTTCTTTCTTTTTGAGATGGAGTCTCACTCTGTTGCCCAGGCTGGAGTGCAGTGGCACGATCTTGGCTCACTGCAACCTCTGCCTCCTGGGTTCAAGCAATTCTCTGCCTCAGCCTCCCGAGTAGCTGGGATTACAGGTGCCCACCACCATGCCCGGCTAATTTTTGTATTTTTAGTAGAGACGGGGTTTCACCATGTTGACCAGGCTGGTCTTGAACTCCTGACCTCGTGATCCACCCGCCTTGGCCTCCTAAAGTGCTGGGATTACAGGCATGAGCCACTGTACTCGGCCAATTTATTTTATTTTATTTTATTATTATTATTATACTTTAAGTTTTAGGATACATGTGCACAACATGCAGGTTTGTTACATATGTATACATGTGCCATGTTGGTGTGCTGCACCCATTAACTCGTCATTTAGCATTAGGTATATCTCCCAATGCTATCCCTCCCCCCTCCCCCAACCCCACAACAGTCACTGAAGTGTGATGTTCCCCTTCCTGTGTCCATGTGTTCTCATTGTTCAATTCCCACCTATGAGTGAGAACATGCAGTGTTTGGTTTTTTGTCCTTGTGATAGTTTGCTGAGAATGATGGTTTCCAGTTTCATCCATGTCCCTACAAAGGACATGAACTCTTCATTTTTTATGGCTGGTAGTATTCCATGGTGTATGTGTGCCACATTTTCTTAATCCAGTCTACCGTTGTTGGACATTTGGGTTGGTTCCAAGTCTTTGCTATTGTGAATAGTGCCGCAATAAACATACGTGTGCATGTGTCTTTATAGCAGCATGATTTATAATCCTTTGGGTATATACCCAGTAATGGGATGGCTGGGTCAAATGGTATTTCTAGTTCGAGATCCCTGAGGAATCGCCGCACTGACTTCCACAATGGCTGAACTAGTTTACAGTCCCACCAACAGTGTAAAAGTGTACCTGTTTCTCCACATCCTCTCCAGCACCTGTTGTTTCCTGACTTTTTAATGATCGCCATTCTAACTGGTGTGAGCTGGTATCTCACTGTGGTTTTGATTTGCATTTCTCTGATGGCCAGTGATGATGAGCATTTTTTCATGTGTCTTTTGGCTGCATAAATGTCTTCTTTTGAGAAGTGTCTGTTCATATCCTTCGCCCATTTTTTGATGGGGTTGTTTGTTTTTTTCTTGTAAATTTGTTTGAGTTCATTGTAGATTCTGGATATTAGCCCTTTGTTAGATGAGTAGGTTGGGAAAATTTTCTCCCATTTTGTAGGTTGCCTGTTCACTCTGATGGTAGTTTCTTTTGCTGTGCAGAAGCTCTTTAGTTTAATTAGATCCCATTTGTCAATTTTGGCTTTTGTTGCCATTGCTTTTGGTGTTTTAGACATGAAGTCCTTGCCCATGCCTATGTCCTGAATGGTATTGCCTAGGTTTTCTTCTAGGGTTTTTATGGTTTTCGGTCTAACATTTAAGTCTTTAATCCATCTTGAATTAATTTTTGTATAAGGTGTAAGGAAGGGATCCAGTTTCAGCTTTCTACATATGGCTAGCCAGTTTTCCCAGCACCATTTATTAAATAGGGAATCCTTTCCCAATTTCTTGTTATTGTCAGGTTTGTCAAAGATCAGATGGTTGTAGATATGAGGCATTATCTCTGAGGGCTCTGTTCTGTTCCATTGATCTATATCTCTGTTTTAGTACCAGTACCATGCTGTTTTGGTTACTGTAGCCTTCTAGTATAGTTTGAAGTCAGGTAGCGTGATGCCTCCAGCTTTGTTCTTTTGGCTTAGGATTGACTTGGCAATGCGGGCTCTTTTTTGGTTCCACATGAACTTTAAAGTAGTTTTTTCCAATTCTGTGAAGAAAGTCATTGGTAGCTTGATGGGGATGGCATTGAATCTATAAATTACCTTGGGCAGTATGGCCATTTTCACGATATTGATTCTTCCTACCCATGAGCATGGAATGTTCTTCCATTTGTTGGTATCCTCTTTTATTTCATTGAGCAGTGGTTTGTAGTTCTCCTTGAAGAGGTCCTTCACATCCCTTGTAAATTGGATTCCTAGGTATTTTATTCTCTTTGAAGCAATTGTGAATGGGAGTTCACTCATGATTTGGCTCTCTGTTTGTCTGTTATTGGTGTATAAGAATGCTTGTGATTTTTGTACATTGATTTTGTATCCTGAGACTTTGCTGAAGTTGCTTATCAGCTTAAGGAGATTTTGGGCTGAGACGATGGGGATTTCTAAATATACAATTATGTTATCTGCAAACAGGGACAATTTGACTTCCTCTTTTCCTAATTGAATGCCCTTTATTTCCTTCTCCTGCCTAATTGCCCTGGCCAGAACTTCCAACACTATGTTGAATAGGAGTGGTGAGAGAGGGCATCCCTGTCTTGTGCCAGTTTTCAAAGGGAATGCTTCCAGTTTTTGCCCATTAAGTATGATATTGGCTGTGGGTTTGTCATAGATAGCTCTTATTATTTTGAGATACATCCCATCAATACCTAATTTATTGAGAGTTTTTAGCATGAAGGGCTGTTGAATTTTGTCAAAGGCCTTTTCTGCATCTATTGAGATAATCATGTGGTTTTTGTCTTTGGTTCTGTTTATATGCTGGATTACATTTATTGATTTGTGTATGTTGAACCAGCCTTGCATCCCAGGGATAAAGCCCACTTGATCATGGTGGATAAGCTTTTTGATGTGCTGCTGGATTCGGTTTGCCAGTATTTTATTGAGGATTTTTGCATCGATGTTCATCAGGGATATTGGTCTAAAATTCTCTTTTTTTGTTGTGTCTCTGCCAGGCTTTGGTATCAGAATGATGCTGGCCTCATAAAATGAGTTAGGGAGGATTCCCTCTTTTTCTATTGATTGGAATAGTTTCAGAAGGAATGGTACCAGCTCCTCCTTGTACCTCTGGTAGAATTCGGCTGTGAATCCATCTGGTCCTGGACTTTTTTTGGTTGGTAAGCTATTGATTATTGCCACAATATCAGAGCCTGTTATTAGTCTATTCAGAGATTCAACTTCTTCCTGGTTTAGTCTTGGGAGGGTGTATGTGTCGAGGAATTCATCCATTTCTTCTAGATTTTCTAGTTTATTTGTGTAGAGGTGTTTGTAGTATTCTCTGATGGTAGTTTGTATTTCTGTGGGATCGGTGGTGATATCCCCTTTATCATTTTTCATTGCATCTATTTGATTCTTCTCTCTTTTCTTCTTTATTAGTCTTGCTAGCGGTCTATCGATTTTGTTGATCTTTTCAAAAAACCAGCTCCTGGATTCATTAATTTTTTGGAGGGTTTTTTGTGTCTCTATTTCCTTCAGTTCTGCTCTGATTTTAGTTATTTCTTGCCTTCGGCTAGCTTTTGAATGTGTTTGCTCTTGCTTGTCTAGTTCTTTTAATTGTGATGTTAGGGTGTCAAATTTGGATCTTTCCTGCTTTCTCTTGTGGGCATTTAGTGCTATAAATTTCCCTCTACACACTGCTTTGAATGTGTCCCAGAGATTCTGGTATGTTGTGTCTTTGTTCTCGTTGGTTTCAAAGAACATCTTTATTTCTGCCTTCATTTCGTTATGTATCCAGTAGTCATTCAGGAGCAGGTTGTTCAGTTTCCATGTAGTTGAGCAGTTTTGAGTGAGTTTCTTAGTCTTGAGTTCTAGTTTGATTGCACTGGGGTCTGAGAGACGGTTTGTTATAATTTCTATTCTTTTACATTTGCTGAGGAGTGCTTTACTTCCAACTATGTGGTCAGTTTTGGAATAGGTGTGGTGTGGTGCTGAAAAAAATGTGTATTCTGTTGATTTGGGGTGGAGAGTTCTCTAGATGTCTGTTAGGTCCGCTTGGTGCAGAGCTGAGTTCAATTCCTGGGTATCCTTGTTAACTTTCTGTCTTGTTGATCTGTCTAATGTTGACAGTGGGGTGTTAAAGTCTCCCATTATTATTGTGTGGGAGTCTAAGTCTCTTTGTAGGTCACTCAGGACTTGCTTTATGAATCTGGGTGCTCCTGTATTGGGTGCATACATATTTAGGATAGTTAGCTCTTCTTGTTGAATTGATCCCTTTACCATTATGTAATGGCCTTCTTTGTCTCTTTTGATCTTTGTTGGTTTAAAGTCTGTTTTATCAGAGACTAGGATTGCAAGCCCTGCCTTTTTTTGTTTTCCATTTGCTTGGTAGATCTTCCTCCATCCCTTTATTTTGAGCCTATGCGTGTCTCTGCACATGAGATGGGTTTCCTGAATACAGCACACTGATGGGTCTTGACTCTTTATCCAATTTGCCAGTCTGTGTCTTTTAAATGGAGCATTTAGCCCATTTACATTTAAAGTTAATATTGTTATGTGTGTATTTGATCCTGTCATTATGATGTTAGCTGGTTATTTTGCTCATTAGTTGATGCAGTTTCTTCCTAGCCTTGATGGTCTTTACATTTTGGTATGTTTTTGCAGTGGCTGGTACCGGTTGTTCCTCTCCATGTTTAGTGCTTCCTTTAGGAGCTCTTTTAGGGCAGGCCTGGTGATGACAAAATCTCTCAGCATTTGCTTGTCTGTAAAGTATTTTATTTCTCCTTCACTTATGAAGCTTAGTTTGGCTGGATATGAAATTCTGGGTTGAAAATTCTTTTCTTTAAGAATGTTGAATATTGGCCCCCACTCTCTTCTGGCTTGTAGAGTTTCTGCCGAGAGATCCGCTGTTAGTCTGATGGGCTTCCCTTTGTGGGTAACCCGACCTTTCTCTCTGGCTGCCCTTAACATTTTTTCTTTCATTTCAACTTTGGTGAATCTGACAATTATGTGCCTTGGAGTTGCTCTTCTCCAGGAGTATCTTTGTGGCGTTCTCTGTATTTCCTGAATCTGAATGTTGGCCTGCCTTGCTAGGTTGGGGAAGTTCTCCTGGATAATATCCTGCAGAGTGTTTTCCAACTTGTTTCCATTCTCCCCGTCATTTTCAGGTACACCAATCAGACGTAGATTTGGTGTTTTCACATAGTCCCATATTTCTTGGAGGCTTTGTTCGTTTCTTTTTATTCTTTTTTCTCAAAACTTTCCTTCTCGCTTCATTTCATTCATTTCGTCTTCCATCACTGATACTCTTTCTTCCAGTTGATTGCATCGGCTCCTGAGGCTTCTGCATTCTTCACGTAGTTCTTGAGCCTTGGCTTTCAGCTCCATCAGCTCCTTTAAGGACTTCTCTGCATTGGTTATTCTAGTTATCCATTTGTCTAATTTTTTTTCAAAGTTTTTAACTTCTTTGCCATTGGTTTGAATTTCCTCCTGTAGCTCAGAGTAGTTTGATTGTCTGAAGTCTTTTTCTCTCAGCTCGTCAAAGTCATTTTCCATCCAGCTTTGTTCCATTGCTGGTGAGGAGCTGCGTTCCTTTGGAGGAGGAGAGGCGCTCTGCTTTTTAGAGTTTCCAGTTTTTCTGCTCTGTTTTTTTCCCCATCTTTGTGGTTTTATCTACCTTTGGTCTTTGATGATGGTGACGTACAGAAGGGTTTTTGGTGTGAATGTCCTTTCTGTTTGTTAGTTTTCCTTCTAACAGACAGGACCCTCAGCTGCAGGTCTGTTGGATTTTGCTAGAGGTCCACTCCAGACACTGTTTGCCTGGGTATCAGCAGTGGTGGCTGTAGAACAGCGGATCTTGGTGAACCGCAAATGCTGCTGCCTGATCATTCCTCTGGAAGTTTTGTCTCAGAGGAGTACCCGGCCATGTGAGGTGTCAGTCTTCCCCTACTGGGGGGTGCCTCCCAGTTAGGCTGCTCGGGGGTCAAGGACCCACTTGAGGAGGCAGTCTGCCTGTTCTCAGATCTCCAGCTGCATGCTGGGAGAACCACTGCTCTCTTCAAAGCTGTCAGACAGGGACATTTAAGTCTGCAGAGGTTACTGCTGTCTTTTAGTTTGTCTGTGCCCTGCCCCCAGAGGTGGAGCCTACACAGGCAGGCAGGCCTCCTTGAGCTGTGGTGGGCTCCATCCAGTTGAAGCTTCCCGGCTGCTTTGTTTACCTAATCAAGCCTGGGCAATGGTGGGCACCCCTCCCCCAGCCTTGCTGCTGCCTTGCAGTTTGATCTCAGAGTGCTGTGCTAGCAATCAGCGAGACTCTGTGGGCGTAGGACCCTCCGAGCCAGGTGCGGGATATAATCTCCTGGTGTGCCGTTTTTTAAGCCTGTTGGAAAAGCGCAGTATTAGGGTGGGAGTGACCTGATTTTCCAGGTGCCGTCTGTCACCCCTTTCTTTGACTAGGAAAGGGAACTCCCTGACCCCTTGCGCTTCCCAAGTGAGGCAATGCTTCACCCTGCTTCAGCTCGTGATGGTGCGCTGCACCTGCTGTCCTGCACCCACTGTCTGGCACTCCCTAGTGAGATGAACCCGATACCTCAGATGGAAATGCAGAAATCACCCGTCTTCCATGTCACTCAGGCTGGGAGCTGTAGACCAGAGCTCTTCATATTCGGCCATCTTGGCTCCACCTACCCAATTTTTTATATGTAAGTTTTGTTGAGAAATAATTCACATACTATGCAACTCACCCTTTTGAAGTCTACAATTCAGTGGTTTTTAGTATATTCACAGAGATATACAACTATCACCACTTCCAGTTTTAGATCATTTTCATCACCCCAACAAGAAACATTGTACCCCTTAGCAGTCACTCCCCATTCTTCCCTCCTTTCAGCCCTAGGCACCCACTCATCTACTTTCAGTCTCCATGGATTTGCCTGTTCTGGACTTTTCATATAAATAGAATCAAACAATATGTGGCTCTGTCTGTATGGCTTCTTTCACTGATCATAACATTTTCAAGGTTCATTCATGTATCAGAATTTTATTCCTTTCTACAACTCAGTAATATTCCATTGCACAGATACACTACATTTTTGTTTATCCATTCATCAGTTGATGAGCATTTGGCTCTGATATGGTTTGGCTGTGTCCCCACCGAAATCTCATCTTGAATTGTAGCTCCCATAATTCCCAGGTGTTGTAGGAGGAACCAGGTGCAAGGTAATTGAATTATGAGGGCGGGTCTTTCCCATGCTGTTGTTGTGATAGTCAATTAGTCTCATGAGACCTGATGGTTTTATAAAGGGGAGTTGCCGGGCACAGCTCTCTCTTGCCTGCTGCCATGTAAGGCGTCCCTTTGTTCTTCCTTCGTCTTCCACCATGATTGTGAGGCCTCCCCAGCCATGTGGAGCTGTGAGTCCATTAAATGTTTTTTCTTTTATAAATTATCCAGTGTCAGGTATGTCTTTATTAGCAGTGTGAGAATGAACTAATACAGGCTCATTTCCTCTTTTTGGCTATTTCAAATATTACTGCTATGAACATTTGTGTACGGGTTTTTGTGTGAGCATATGTTTTCAATTCTCTTGGATATATACCTAGGAGTGAAATTGCTGGGTCATACATTAACTATGTTTAACTTTTTGTGGAACTGCCAAACTGTTTTCCACAGCAGCTGTACCATTTTATATTCCAACTTGCAATGAATGAAGGTTCCAATTTCTCCATGTCTTTGCCAGCACTAGTCTGTCTTTTTTTTAAAATCTAATCTTCTCTTGTATATGCAGTGGTATCTCACCATGGTTTTGATTTTCATTTCCTTAATGACAATGATGGTGAGCATCTTTTCATGTGCTTATCGGCCACTTATATATTTCTTTGGAGAAATGTCTATTCATCTCCCTTACTCATTTTTAAATTGGATTACTTGTGTTTTGTTATGAATTGTATGAGTTGTAAGACTTCTTTATATATTCTAGTTACAAGTCCGTTATTAGAGAAATTATTTGTAAATATTTTCTCCCATCCTGTAAATTGTCTTATTCTGTAAATAGCAATTTATAGAATGGGAGAAAATATTTGTAAATAATTTATCTGATAATAATGTTATTTTGTTGTTTCTTGAGGCACACAAGCTTTTAAAATTTTGATGTAATCCAATTTATCTATTTTTTCTTCTGTTGTTTGTGCTTTTGTGTTATATCTTAGAAACCTTGGCTTAATCCAAGATTGTAAGAGCTTATAATTTTAGCCCTTATATTTAGGTCTATGAACAATTTCCACTTAATTTTTCTTGTATATGGTATTAGGAAGGAGGTCCAAGTTTATTCTCTTATATGTGTATATCCAATTGTCCCAGAACAATTTGTTGTAAACCTTACATAGTTTTACAACAAATTGTTATTACATCCCTATTCAGTATTTACACTCTTATGTATGTGTAAATGTATTCTGTGGTGAGCCAAACAGTATAGTTATTGTTTCCTTTCTTGTAAAAAAAAAAACAAAACAAAACCCACAAATCTTGCTTTTCCAAGAGTTAACAATAGCCTCATTGCCTCATTTTAATTGTTGCTGTTTCTTTAATTTCCTTGAACTTATGCCTGTATCTTTCCATATTCTCCAATAATCTCTCCTTTCACAAGGGCAAACCTATCAGTTGATGTATCATTTCCCAATTTCTTCTGGAGACATTCCTTTGGGGTGTCTGTTTCCCTGCACCAATCTACACTTCTTGCTCCTAAGAATAATTCCTACTCAAACTCTCTGCAGAACTCTGATTGCTTAGACACATAATCTCCTTGTCGCGTTTGTTAGTTAGTTTGCTTGTTTTTTGTTGGAGATGCTCCTTGAGCCCTCACTCCTCTTGTTCCTGTCTATGTTGGCTAGGACATCTCTTCAATGAGTCTCAGAATTACCATTGCCTCTCTCTTGTCTGTTGGTTCCTGGATCTAGTTTCTCCTCTGTTTTAATTTACTCCCTCATTTTGCTGGACTACAGACTCCGGGAACTTTCTGAGAAAATGCACAGGAAATTGTTATTTTTTACTTTATGTGATTCTTTATTTCTGCCCTCACATAAGTAGTTTGGCTGGGATTAGAATTCAAGTTTAGAAATCCTCTTCACTCAGCACTTTAAAGGCATTCTTCCACTGCCTTCTGGCTTTCAGTGCTGCTTTTGAGAAATCTGTGCCATTCTGATGTGTGGTCTGAGTCCTTGGTATCTGCTCCATTTCATCTCTCCAAAAGTTTTTTTTTTTTTTTGAGACGGAGTCTCGCTCTGTCGCCCAGGCTGGAGTGCAGTGGCTGATCTTAGCTCACTGCAAGCTCCGCCTCCCGGGTTCACGCCATTCTCCTGCCTCGGCCTCCCAGGTAGCTGGGACTACAGGGGCCCGCCACCACCCCCAGCTAAATTTTTTGTATTTTTAGTAGAGGCGGGGTTTCACCGTGTTAGCCAGGATGGTCTCAATCTCCCGACCTTGTGATCCGCCCGCCTCGGCCTCCCAAAGTGCTGGGATTATAGGTGTGAGCCACTGCGCCTGGCCCTTCATCTCTCCAAAAGTTGTTATGACCCGATATTCTGAACTTTCATTATAAAATGTATTGTTGTGAATTTGGTGTATATTGTGCTGAATACCTAATGACTCCTTTCATTCAGGGACCAATGTGTTTTATTATTATTTAATTAATTTATTTATTTATTTTGAGACAGAGTCTTGCTCTGTTGCCCAGGCTGTAGTGTAACTGTATGATGTCACCTCACTGCAACCTCCGCCTCCCAGGTTCAAGAAATTCTCCTGCCTCAGCCTCCTGAGTAGCTGGGATTACAGGCCCACACCACCATGCCAGGCTAATTTTTTTTTTTTGTATTTTTAGTAGAGATAGGGTTTCACCATGTTGGCTAGGCTGGTCTCGAACTCCTGACCTCAGGTGAACCACCCGCCTCAGCCTCCCAAAGTGCTGGGATTATAGACGCGAGCCACCACGCCCAGCTGACCAATGTGTTTTAGTTTGAGGAAATTTCTTTATGTTACTTCTCTAATAATTTCCTCCTCACTCTTTTCTCTTTGTAGAATTTCTGTTATCCAGATGTTGGACATCCCAGATGATCTCTTACATTTCTTACTCTTCTTCTCTTCTTGTCCATCTTTATCTCTTCATTTTCCTTTTAGAGGGATTTCTTCAACTTTATCTTCCAGTCCTTCCACTGATATGAAACACATTTTTTTTTTTTTAGACGGAGTTTTGCTCTTGTTGCCGAGGTTGGAGGGCAGTGGTGCACTCTCGGCTCACTGCAACCTCCGCCTCCCAGGTTCAAGCAATTCTCCTGCCTCAGCCTCCCAAGTAGCTGGGATTACAGGCATACACCACCACGCCAAGCTCATTTTTTTGTACTTTTAGTAGAGACGAGGTTTCTCCATGTTGGTCAGGCTGGTTGCAAACTCCTGACCTCAGGTGATCCACTCACCTCGGCATCCCAAAGTGCTGGGATTACAGGCGTGAGCCACCGCGCCCAGACTATTAAACACATTTTTAGGCTATTTTTAATTCCCAAGAGTTGAAATCTTTCTTGTTTCTCTATGTCTGTTTTAAAAGATTAAATTTCTGTTCTTGTTTTGTGGATACAATATCTTTTCTCATCTCTCCAAGGATATTAACATGTTATATCTTCATGTTAAAATTGACTTATTTCCTCATTTCCTCTAACCTGTAAGGTTGAAGTTACTTCTATAACATAGCTGGCCCAGAGAACAATGCTACCTCCAAAAAGCAGACAATCAAAAGAAAGATTGTTATCCAACTGTTTTAATTGCACCCTTACTAATAGATCAGATGTATTTGGATGATGTTTTTCTTTTTTTTTTTTTCTTGGTTAGCTTTTAGCTTCATGTTTTCATGTGGAAACATTTCCTCAAATGTCCAGCAACCCTCAGATCTCATATTTAAGAGTGAGACACAGAAAAACTGAATGGAAGGGGGTGTGTGTGTGTGTGTGTGTGTGCACATGCTTGCACCTGCGTGCGTGCATGCTAGGGTGGGGTAGGCCTGGGAGTAGGAGTTGTGGATGGTTGGGCCTCACCACAGTGTAATCAGGTGGCAAGCTATTTTTTGTGGGGGATGTGGGGGGAAGAGCAAAATACCTATATCTACACTTTTTGCTAGAGTGGCTGAATTTCCCAGTAAAGAACCATCTAGTCTCCTGTGAAGAACAGCAGGGAGTAGCTAGAGAGTTCTGCTAAAACAGTGCTCATTGGGAAGTTTGAAAAAACACAAATAGATCCTCAGGTGCCCCCTTGCCCCTATCCACCCGGTTGACAGGGGCTCCGGACTCTAGGATACCACACACAGGGGAAGGTGGGGGTAATTGATTAAAATCTGTACACTGCATGATTACAAGCCCCACCCCCATTTCCTGAGCAGTTCTCAGAACAGCAGCAGCCAGATGGCTCACAGCTCCCTGACTCCCCGCCACCTCTGGCATTCGGTTCCTGGGTCCTTCCCAATGCTCTGCAGGGAAGCAGGGCTATTTCGCACCACTATCCCCTTCCAAGTCTCACCTTTCTCCACACTGCTAAGGAACCAACACTCCTCTCTGCATTATCAGGCTTCATATATTAAGGTTTGGGGTTTCAGAAATCTCTTGACTTTATGAAAGATGGGATTTGTGTTTCCAATTTTTATTTTCCTTTGTTCGTTTCTGGGTAATTTTCAAGAGGAGAAGGAGGTAGGAATGTATTTTAGTTTACCATCTTAAAACAGGAAATTCCCTGCCGAATTGTTTTCTAGTGTTTCCTAAAGTGAGGAGACTGGCAAAAGAGAATAGAGGCCCAATGGAAGAAAATCAGTATACAAAAAGCTGTGAATTTTCTGGTGTCTATTTTCAAGACTATGTTAGCATAAGTGACAGTCACACAACCAGTGTAATGAGTAAATACAGGATTTTATCCTCCTGGGAGAGCAGTCTAGCACATTTCACAAATCTTTCTTGAATCAGAAATCACTCTGAACTACAGGTGAAAATGCCACTGGGTTTTCAGTTATCTCGGGCAGAGTTCCACATTGTAGCAAAAAGAGACAGATCTTTCTGAGTCTTTTGAGTCGCAAACAAACTCCTGAAAACTGATGACATCTGAAACATAGAATGAAGTACTTGGAAGGTCAGATAGTATTATAGACAGGAAAACCTCAAAAGCTAGAGTTTAAAATGACTGTCCCAAATAATCAATAAAACTTGGCAAACAAACTGGCAAGGAGAAAGAGGCTGTGTAATTCAACAAAGCATTTAGACAAGCAGGGCTGCTTTATGGCTTTCTGGCATGCAGAATCCATTCAAGTGCCAGCTTTCTCTACAGGTTTGAGAATTATTTCTCTTGGTATAATAGTTTGAGTTTCCAAAGTAGTCCAGATGGTAGCATAATGTGTCTCCAAATATCATCCACTTAAAACCATGGATTATAGTTATTATTTAATTAGGGTATTGGTTAGCCTCATACATTCATTTCAGAGATAATATTTGCAGGCTTCATCGAGATAATCTCACCTACTTAGTAAACCTTGCAGTTCCCTTGCCTATTTACAGACTTTTTGTACTAAGAAATGTGTGTGAGCTTCAGACTCATGCCAGTAAAAGTGACTTTTGCAGCTTTGTCCCCATCAGAACAGATCCGTGATGTCACTTCCTAAGTTAGTCAAGACGTCTCTAGGGATTCTATGTGCTTTACGAGGAAATTGTCCAAAGGCAGAATTATATATATATGGTGTGTGTGTGTATGTGTGTGTATTTATATATATGTGTGTGTGTGATCCAGAAAGATCTGTCTCTTTTTGCGGCAATATGGAACTCTGCCCGAGATAACTGAAAACCCAGTGGCATTTTCACCTGCAGTTCAGAGTGATTTCTGATTCAAGGAAGATTTGTCGAATGTGCTTGACTGCTCTCCAAGGAGGATAAAATCCTGTATTTACTCATTTTACTGGTTGTGTGACTGTCATAGTCTAAAAACTAAATTTTCTATAGGAATGCCATAAACATAACTTGACCCATGAGATAAACACTTTACATATGATGCAGCCAGGGTGCTGAGCTATGTTGAGATACTGGATGGCAGATGCTACACAATTTGGATTTGGAAGAAGGTTAGAATGATTATACTTCCATAACATAGCTGGCCCAGAGAAAAATTCTACCTCTAAAAAGTATCTAACCAAAAGGGAAGAATGTTTATCCAACTGTTTTTAATTGTATCCTTAAGAATATATCAGACACCTCTGGGTGATATTTTTCTTTTCTGTCTTTCTATATTTCCACATATTATATAATGTCTATGTATTTCCTTCATAATTGCATTAGGATAATGAATTCTGCTTTGAATCCCTTATAATTCAAAAGATATCAATGAATTTTTGGGAATTTACAACAGTAAATATTTCTGATACACTCACAGAGAGTAAAACAAATGATCATCATCTAGTTAAAAATAACAAGAAGTTCCTCTGATGTTTAACTTAGTCATTCTACCCTCAATTATGTGATGATTTCCTAAAGGTAAATATTAGAAACCTCATCTTCTCTCCAGACACTTATGAAAGAGAAAATCACATACTCTATAGAACATACACTGCCCCACCTTCATAAGAAAATCAAATGTTCTCCTTTAACCAGAGTCTTTCATCTTTCAGATCATATTTTGAGGGTCAGATTCTGAACTGTATCTTGGAATTTCCCCTGACCCTTTTCTTGGTGAGATTCCAAATTGGCAGGAAAGATTTTGTTTGTTAACCACCAAGTAATTATTTCTTCATAAGGCTCACGAGAGAAGGAATGTCTATTCCCCCTTCTTTGGAGAGGCACCTTCAAGAAAGATTCAAACCCATTACACAAGGGATGGAAAAATCCACAGACGCATGAGACTTGAATCTGGCAGGAGCACAAGACGCCTTTGAGATATTAGATTTTCCAGTTGCATTGCCTAGCAGAGTGAGAGCTGCCAAACTTGGAGAGACCAGTATGTTTTTAGTATATGTGAATACCGTATTGTTCACAGGATTGACCAAGGCTGGGGAAGTCCTATGTTGCAGATGAAAGAATATCTTGTGAAATATTTAGGTCTTGGACCAATTGCTGTAGATTGTATATAAAATTTTGGGAAAAAATCCCTAAATACAATTAGAGCTCTGTGCCTTTGACATGAACCTATCAAAATCTGCTACTCTGAATCCTCTTAGATATTGTCGGAAAAGAGCACTGTGTTAGGAGTCAGACCTTCAGGCTCTGGTCCCATCTTTGTTGTGTACTGTGTAGCAATGGGTTCTAACTTAGTTTCCTCATCTATAAAATGGGAATAATAATTCCCGGCTACTTAATAAGTTTAATAATCATGAGATGATACATTTAAAAGCATTTCACAAATTATAACATGTTATAAACACATAAGGAATTATTAGTAAACATACTGCATGTGAAAGAATTTTCAATTGTGTCAAAAATCTTATACAAATACTATTATTGTGCCCTTTACTAGTTGTATTATCAAAGCTTGAGAATCCAGAGAGCGTTTCCTACCGCTCTACCTGCTAAAGCCAAGGTAATAAACTCTGTAAAAGGTGTGGTCCTTGGGGACTTGTCCCATGCTGGTTACATCATTGGGGAGCGCCACGTGGCATGGTGGGAAGAATGCCTGACTTGGATCAGGAGACCTCAAGTTGCACCTGAATTTGGTTTGCCAACTCCTTATGTAACCTTTAGGAAGTTGCTGAGCCTTGATTTCTTTGTCTCTAACGAGGGGTTGAAATAGATAACCTCTGCGTTCTTATCCAGTTATAAAATTCTATTATATTATAATTGCCTAAAGTATCAATTGCCTTTCAGGGTTCACTAGAGTGATTCAGTCTTTGTGCCACACATTATATGAGGGGCTGCGAGTGAAACTGTCCTGAGCTACCAAAACACAGGATTAGGGAGAGGTATTTTTGTTTTACTGCCCAGAGTTGACCCGGCACAGCTGGGTGCCCACTAACTATAATAGTAAACAACCTAGGAGCTCTCATAAAATTAATAACCACCAACGGTCCTACCTGCAGGGCTAGCGAGGCATGATTTGTTGTCATGGTGTTCCTAGGGGCAGCTAAAGGATAAACCTATACCAGGGGACCTGACTTCATTGCTTTAAAATTACCACCTGCCTTGGAGGGGAGTTGTAAGCCCTAAATCCCCAGGGAATTGAGGAATTAAATCAACCATTTTTGAAAATTAGATTTTTTTTGAAGCTGTTCATAAGCCAAAGCCATTTAACATAAAAAAATTTGCTTTTTTTTTTTTTTTTTTTTTTCTGAGACAGGGTCTTGCTCTGTCTTCAGGCTGGAGTGCAGTGGCACGATCCTAGCTCACTGTAACCTCTAACTCCTGGGCTCAAGACATCCTCCTGCCTCAGCCTTCTAAGTAGCTGGGATTACAGGCACATGCTACTATATCCAGTTAATTTTTTTTGTATTTTTAGTAGAGACGGAGTTTCACCGTATTGGCCACGCTGGTATCGAACTCCTGACCTCAAGTGATCCGCCTGCCTCGGCCCTACATTTGTAAAACATGTAACTTTGAGCTAGACTTCATTTGGGAGGGTTTAGTACAATAAGGTATTACAAACCAACCTCCCGATCATTTGAATAAGTGAAGTAGATCATTTCACTTTATGAAGTAGAATTGTTGGCATTCACTATCTGAATGCTAAATAGATGATTTTGACTTTGAGGTAACTGATAACACGCTGTTCTTCTAGGAAGGAACCAAGAGTATAAGCAGCTTCTAGAAGCCAGTTCTGCGATACAATAAATTCCTGCCATCAGCACATAAAATGGTGCTTTTGTCTTTTTATCTTGTGTTCAAAAACAGACTGATATACCTCTGATCGGACCTGGGCTAAGTTGATAACATGGAAATGGTAAAGAAGAAACATTTTTTCATTTTATTAATGATAAAGGAATTGACAAAATGACAGATGAGTTGGAGAATTTGGAAGGTGTCAAAGGTTGAGTTAGTATAGAAATTTTCTGGAAGTGTGGAGAAGTGGAGAATCGAGCATTTCCAGTACAATGAGCCTGGTTTTCTAAGTGTGAAGTTTCAGGCATCACAGAGACATTCAAATGCAGATATTCCAGAGGAGAGTTGAGATACGATAAAATAAATACCAAACATTTCCCCATCTCTGTCTCCTCGGGGTCATTCTGCTGCCATCAACCATCCCACGTGCTTAGAAAAAAGATAAATACTTCAAAGACGCAACATCTTTGCTTTTCCCAGCTACCTCTTCTCAGGCAAATCTTCTTTCTCACTATGCCCACCATAATCCAGTTCAAATAGTTTGTTAAAATGCACCTCCATGCTATGAAGGAAGTTAGACGGTATCACTCTAAAAGTTGAACGAGGCCGGGCACAGTGGCTCATGCCTGTAATCCCAGCACTTTGGGAGGCCGAGGCAGGTGGATCATCTGAGGTCAGGAGTTCAACACCAGCTTGGCCAACATGGCGAAACGCTGTCTCCACTAAAAATACAAAAAATTAGCAGGGCGTGGTGGCATGGGTCTTCAGGCCCAGCTACTCGGGAGGCTGAGACAGGAGAATTGCTTGAACCCAGGAGGTGGAGGTTGCAATGATCTGAGATTGCTCCACTGCACTCCAGCCTGAGCAACAGAGTGAGATTCCATCTCAGAATAAATAAATAAATAAATAAATAAATAAAATAAAATAAAAATTAAAAGTTGAACAATATACTGGATGCTGTGGTATAGTGTTGAGAGCTTAGACTCTGAAGGTGAATGTTTCTTGAATCCTAGCTCTACAGTCTACCAAAGGCATGGCCATGGTCAAGTTAGCCTGGCTGAACCTCAGTTTTCTTCTCTGTAAAATGTGTGTAACAAAAATTCCCCACAGTGATTAAATGAGATAGTTCATGAAAAGTGCGCAGCCTAGGTCCCGGCACATGGTAAACATCCAGTAAATGGGAGCAAGTATATCCCACGAGTTCTACTTGTCCCACACTTAGCCCAGGAGATGCATTCCTGGAAGTGGGAACTGTAAGTAAACCAGCACCGTTAGGGATTGTGGGCAGTATTGCATATTCCCTGTGAAGATGAGTTCTGGAATTATACATCAGCAACCGCTCTTTTGTTCTCTTCAAACCCTTAGAAGTCACTGCGTGCTCAGGCCATGGGCATCTCCAGCCACTATTCATGTACTTGATCATTCCTCCCAGGCTACTTTACGATACCCTTGAAGATTTTACAGGACTTCTAACGATCCTTAATTACCTGCTTATCATTAAGCTCTCTCCACTCCACCATATTTTTCCTCCTCAATATAAAACTTGATTTTAGTTTTGTTTTGTTTTTTGCTTTTTGAGATGGAGTTTTGCTCCTGTTGCCCAGGCTGGAGTGCAATGGCGTGATCTTGGCTCGCTGCAACCTCCACCTTCCAGGTCCAAGCCATTCTCCTGCCTCAGCCTCCCGAGTAGCTGGGATTACAGGCGCCCTCCACCACACCCAGCTAATTTTTGTATTTTTACTAGAGATGGGGTTTCACCACGTTGGCCAGTCTGGTCTCGAGCTCCTGACCTCAGGTGATCCGCCCACTTTGGCTTCCCATATTGCTGGGATTACAGGTGTGAGCCACAGTGCTGGCCTAAAACTTGATTTTTGACATCCAGCTTGAAATGCTTCCATGACACTTTGGAAATAGGTGCAGCACTGACCCCATTTGTGAGCAAATGTGTTCACCAGAACATGAAATATTGGCAGAAGGCAAGATCACAGCCATGTCATGAGCAGATAGGCGAGCACATTTCAAAATAAGGAAATCTCCTTGACGGGCAGAGTGCCATGGAGTCCCTATCGTGTTGTAAGTTACATAGATGTTTGGGGATGGACAGGGATAAGGTGAGTCAGTGTGGTACGAGGGGAGATTGAAAGAGGAGGCTGCCCTCAGCCACGTCCTAAACCAAAGGGTTTCCCCAGAACATGATTCACATTAGAAAAGGACCCCAAATTCAAAAAGGACTGGGAAACCCTGGATAAATAGTAGGGCTCTCAAGATACTAAAGACTGAAAGTAAAGAAACCCTTCTGGCTCTGTTAAACCCATACTTTCCTGAGTATACAGACCACAGAACACTTTTTGGTGCAATAAGTAGAAAACCCGCACCAAATACCCGCTTGCAGGCACTTCCTGCCCCACTGCAATTTGGTCAGATGATTGTCCTTCTCCTGGACCTTGATCCTGATGGTTACAGTCCTTGTAATTAACACACATTACTTCTACCTCTACCTCCAAATGAACTACCATTTTAACCATTTTTTGTTTTCTTGTTAGACCAGAATCCTTTCTCTTTGAGTCTCAGGTATATTCTAATTGTCATCAGTTCCACTAATCTGCATAGCTATGACTTTATAGATATTATTTCTTATGGCAATAGAGCATCGATTTTATTTCTTGGAGCAGTGCTGTCCAGTAGAATTTCCCATGATGACGAAAATGGAAATCTCTCCCCTCTCTCTCTCCGCTGTATCCAGTACTCTAGCACTAGCCATGGGGAACTATTGAGCACTTTATGTGGCTAGTGCAACTGAATCTTAGTAGAATGGATTTTTTTATTTTAATCAATTTGAATTTCGATAGCCACATGTGGGTAATCACTCTCATATTGGAAAATGTAATTGTTGGGAAAACTCCCTGCCAGAACAGAAAACTGCCCTCTTTAAGCAGAGAGCAAGCTCAGACCAAAGAAAGACGTAGACCACTCCGGTCTGGGAGGTCGTCAAAGATTTATTCAGGGGGAACTTACATGTGAGGCAGTCCAGGGTGGCAGCAAGACAAGGCAGATCTTGCAATGCATGCTGTCTGTTCTCTTACACCATGAAAAGAAAAGGGAAAGGGGAAAAAAGTCACTGATGGTGTGTCAAACCTTGTGGCTGTTTTCCTAATCTATTTACTTTCTACTTAAAGGGATTGTTTGAGTTCCCTACAATCTGGACAACATTCCTAAACAGGGCTGTTTCAGGGGGAAGCAGTTATCTTGTTCCACCGGTTGCTCTATCCTACAACTCACACTGTGGCCACATACCCAGAATACATTTTCACAACAGCAATCTTAGTGGATCCTGTATACGTACGTATCTGATCCAGGAGAGAAACAAGATAATAGTTAGAAGTCACGTGAATCAGATAAAGCCACAATAACCCCTACAAGGCACAAAACATTGCTCATCACCAATCATCTCTTCAAAATACATCATGTTGAATATTCTCTTGATGTACCATTTGTATAATTTTAAACAACAAGAGCATAGATAATTTTTTGTATAATATAGCGTATAATATAGAGAAAAAGCACTATTGGAGTATAATAAATGAAACCACTTATTGGAAAAGCTAATATTAATTAGACTAAAGATAATTTTTGGAAAGATACACTTTAAATAATGATGGAAAGGTTGGAAATAACCTCCAGGGATATTCAATGTGGATCCACTCTGATGTAAAATTGACTTTCAAATGTTCCAGTGGAAAAAGCCAAATCTGAAAAATAAGAAATCTATATGACCAAAGTATTTTCGTGTGTCTATGGCCAATTCCAGAGTGGAGGGGGCAGCCTCCCCTCTGGTGAGAGTGCAATGCAGACGCCTCAGTGTTCACGAAAGGGTGCTCTGCTGCTTACGTATCTGGCAATGGGAGCATGTGGCTTTCCCTTCAGTTACAATATTGGTTATCTGACCTTCAGCTACATGTTAGAGACTCAACTTATGAACTGTCTGAATATAGCTCATTTCAAAACTCCAGCTGAGACAAATGTCATTTGCCAAGGACCCTGTTCCTTGAAGTTCCCTGAGTTTTAGCCCTGTGTCAAGATGAGTCTCTAGAAAGCTTGGACCCAACCTGTATTCCCTTCATCACAGAAGAAAAACTTCGCAGCATGGCTCAGCTTCATAAGAAACAGTCACGAGTAGAACTTTTGGGCCATTCTTGTGAGACTGGGGGGACACTGTCCGGCGTGCTACTTACTAAATCCACCCACTTGAGAAGTTGCTCACAGACAGGAGAGCCAGAAAACAATTGTTTCATGATGGACTGGAGTGTTTCATTTTCTAAGACACTGAAAAATATGTAATCAGTGTGTTTCCCTCTTTGTCTTCATCCCCAAGAAACTCAGAGCCAATTATGTGCTTATTTGCAGATTTTCTCAGCCCAAGATTTATTTATTTATTTATTTATTTATTTATTTATTTATTTATTTCTTCTTCTTCTTTTTAACAAGGCCTTTTTTTTTTCACTTCCAACATCTGGAGAAAACACATAAGGAAATGTTAATAAATAGTTACAGGAATTGATAACATTGAAATATATGTACTTCCTTATAGAGGGAAAAATAATCAGAAAAGATAGAATCTTTTAAATCAGTTTTACACAAAGAATACCAAAAAATTTAATCATAAAAACAATCTCATTTAAGAGGATTCAGTTTACTTCCTTTCCTAGGGTCAACCAAATAACTAATGTCAAATCCCCAAAGCACATAGGTACAATATTTCCTCACAAAAGAATGACCTAGGATTTCAATGTTCAAATTTTCAAATTTTCCACTTTTTGAAAAAATTGTGTTATATTTAGATTCAGGAGCCCATGTGCATGTTTGTTACATGGTTATATTGTGTCATGGTGGGATTGGGCCTCTAGTATACTCATCACCCAAACAGCGAACATTGTACCCAATAAGTAATTTTTTAACCCTCACCTCCTCAACCCTCCCCACTTTTGGAGTCCCCAGTGTCTAGTGTCTATTATTTCCATCTTTTTGTCCCTGTGTACCCACTAGTTCACTCTCACTTTTAAGTGAGAACATGAAGTATTTGATTTTCTGTTTCTGAGTTAGTTCACTTAACATAATGGCCTCCAGCTCCATCCATGTTGCTGCAAAGGACATGATGTCATTCCTTTTTATGGCTGCATAGTATCCCATGGTGTATATATACCACATTTTCTTCATCCAGTCAACCGTTGATGGACACATAGGTTGGTTCCATGACTTTGCTATTGTGAATATTGCTGTGTGACGAATATACAAGTGCAGATGTCTTTTTTATGTAATGATTTCTTTTCCTTTGGGTAGATACCCAGGCATAGGATTAATAGGATTGCTGGGTCAAATGGTAGTTCTATTTTTAGTTATTTGAAAAATTTCCATACTGTTTTCCATAGAGATTGAACTAATTTACATTCCCACCAACAGTGTATAAATGTTCCCTTTTCTCTACATCCACACCAATATCTATTGTTTTTTGACTGTTCAGTAATAGCCATTCTGACTGGAGTAAGATGATATCTCATTGTGGTTTTAATTTGCATTTCTCTGATGATTAGTGACATTGAGCATTTTTTCATGTGTTGTTTTCAGCCCAAGATTTCTTTTTTTATTTTTTTAATTTTATTTTTTTTATTTCAATAGGTTTTTTGGGGAACAGGTGGTGTTTGGTTACATGGATAAGTTCTATAGTGGTGATTTCCGAGATTTTGGTGCACCCCTCACCTGAGCAGGGTACACTTTTACCCCTCACCCCCCTCCCACCCTTCTCCCTGAGTCCCCAAATTCCATCATATCACTCTTGTACTTTTGCATCCTCATAGCTTAGCTCCCACTTCTAAGTGGTGTCTGCCACCATGCCCAACTAATTTTTGTATTTTTAGTAGAGATGGGATTTCACCATGTTGATCAGGCTGGTCTTGAACTCCTGACCTCAGGTGATTCACCCACCTTGGCCTCCCAAAGTGCTGGGATTACAGCCGTGAGCCACCACGCCCGGCCCAAAAAGATTTTTTATAGGATTAAAAGGACCATCAAGTTTATGATGTTTCTACATAAAGTTATATTCTGACATCTTTGCTGAACAGCATTCAAATATGGCCAGACAGTTTGTATCTCTGGCATTCTTAAAGTGCTGCCATGCCTCTATTATGCACTTCATATGATAATGATCTGTTAGCATCTAACTTTGAGCTCCTGAAGGGAAGGGCTATGTCTTATTTCATTTTCCCACTAGTGGTCCATAGCACAGTATTTTTTGCACACTAAATAAAAAATGGATTTTCAGGAAGATCATTTTCCTCATTTGCCACTTTAATCAATATTCTATTTATGTTGAAATACAGTACTGGTTGTTTTGTTGCTGTTGTTATTCTGCCCTTACCAAAAATGGGAAACAATGTTATAAAGAATCAAAAAAAGAATAATCAAATTCCTTTCCCTAGCTACCTACCTTTCTGCCCCCAATCTCTGATTTTTCAAGCTTTCCTTATGGATAATTTCTTCTTAAAAAATCATTACTATGTATCTACCTTGGAACTTGTCCAGATCCTCAATTTTATTTAGTTTGGAATTTTAAATTTTTGTTTTTTAAGATACCTGTATAAATTATTCCAATAACTTTTGAATATTTATCTTCATCTTTCATGTTGACAACTTTCATTCAATGTAGTGAACAAGAATTTATTGATCACTGAGGGCACTGTTCTGTTAGAGGTCAAATAAAATTCACATAAGTCTTTCTCATTCAGCTATCTGAAAATCCCCATTTTTTCCTTCGTATGTTGGAACTTAAAAACTACTAATTTACTTGCAGAAATGGAAAGGGTAAAAGGAGGGTGTGGTTGACTGCAAAGATGGCCAACAAGAATCCTGCCCATCCCTATGCATGCATGCTTCTCCTTCTACCAAGAGGTGCAGTGCATTTCTCCTCCCTTGAGATTGGACTAACCTGTGACATTTTGATCAATGAAGTGACACTGTACTAGTTCTAAGCCAAGGGGGTAAAAAGTCTGGCAGCCTTCTACTTTCTTTCTCTTGGATCCCTGAACCACAATGTGAGGAAGCCAGGCTATCCTGTTGGACAGAGAGGCCGCATGGAGGAACACTGTGGTGCCCCAGCCAACAGGCAGTGCCATGGTCCCAGATATATGAGTCAGGCCATCTGGCAACCTCTAGCCTTAATTCAGCCCAGCTGCCACCATGTGAATCAGAGAGAAAACATTCCACTGAGAGTTGCCCCAACTGAAGATCCACAGAATGGTTAAGTCAATATGTTTGGGGATAGTTTGTTACACAGCTGTAGAAAACTGATATAAAGGAGGTGTGGTGGTTAAATCATAGGTGTCAATGTGACTGGGTTAAAGGATGCTCAGATGGCAGGCAAAACATTGCTTCTGGGTTAGTCTGTGAGGGTATTTCCAGAAGTGATCAGTATTTGAGTCAATAGACCCAGTAAAAAGCCTCCTCTCTCACCAATTGGGCTGACATCATCCACTCCATTAAGGGTCCAAATAGAAGAAAAAGGCAGAGGAAGGGTGAAATCTCTCTCCTTCCTGAGCCAGGACATCCATTTTCTCCTGCCCTCAGACATTGGTGCTCCTGGTTCTGAGGCCTTTGGACTCAGACACACTGGCTTCCCTGGGTCTCAAGCTTGAGGGCAGACCATGGGACTTCTTGGCCTTCACAGTCATTTGAACCAATTCCCATAATAAATCTCCTTTTGTATATCTCTGTGTATTCCATTGGTTCTGTTACTCTGAAGAACCCTGATTAATCTAGAAGGAAAAGGGAAACCCTTTCCCTGTGCTTAGCATCTATATTCCTTTTCTGCATATGCTACAATGCTAGTTTCTATTCTCCCTACCTATCAAAATTCTACCCGTCTTTAGAAACTATACAAAGATCCAAGTATAGGAGATTGTGTTTTTCCAGATTATTTCCTCCCCCAGAACTAAGGCACAGTATCTTCAAGATGAGTCTGGAACTTATTGTTCCAGAAGTGGTCCATGCGCTAGGAAGTAAGAAAGCATGCCCACACACACACAAATTATAGGGACATTCAAGGGGATCTCACTGGCCAAATCTGTTACCATTTGCCACCAAAATTAAAAAGTACAGTAATGAATTATAAATAATACAGGAATTCATGAGTTTAGACCAATAATAAATATATATGAAAGAAAAGGAGGAAGAAGGAAAAAAGAGAGAAGGATATGTTGATAGATGATAGACAGGTAGATAGATAAATAGGTAGATAGATAGATAAACAGATAGATAGATAGATATAGAGGAGAAGGAGGGAGAATGAGGTAGGTCTCTTGCTTATACCAAAATGTCAAAGCCAAATGGAAACTATGGTGGGAGCGTTGGAGTTGGAAAATCCTAATTTTGTAACCATCACGTTCAATGTTGGCTCCAGCAATTAACAGCTGCTAAGTGTAAGGGAAATATTGATGAGAAGCAAGATATTTGTAAGTTCTTAATGTGCCAGTCTCTAATAAAACTCATTATTGGTTACAAGGGAGAAAAATAAATCATAACTATAGACTGGAAAGATCAGACAACACCTTAACTAGATGATCAAAATAAGCATCGCCTATGAAGGACAGGTGGATATCATGTGCTACCAGATGCGATACCCTGAAAAGAACACAACCTTGCCTGTGCCGTCTTCTGGCCAAGAACACATAAACCCAGTGTAACCACAAAGGAACAGCAGATAAGCACAAATAAGTACTGTTATCATGGTAAAAATAGTGGGAACTAAAACCATAGTCTCCAAAAGCGTCAGTGTCATGAAGGTCAAAGAAAGCCTGTGGTTTCAAGGAGGCTAAAGAGCCTCAATAACAAATGCAATATTTGACCTGGATCCTGTACTGGGAAAAGCGCCTTAAAAAATGCTACTAGATGAAGGGAAAAAATCGGAAAATGGATTATAGATTGATAGATTAGAGAAATGCGTTATGTATCAATATAATTTATGAAGTTGATAACTGTACTGTGGTTATTTAAGAAAAAATCCTAACCTTAAAAAATATACATTGAAGTATTTAGTGGTAATGGGCCATAATGTATGTAACTTACCCTTAAATAATTTTTTTAAAGTGTGTGTAAAAGAAATAAATAAATAAAGAGCAAGCATCTATGATAAAGCAAATGAGGTAAAATGTTAACAACCGGTGAATCCAAATCTGGATAAAGGGTATACAAATGTTCCTTGTACTATTTTTATTTTCGTAATTATTTTAAGGCTGAAATTATTTTCAAACAAAAGTTAAGAAGTTCTACCATTCTAAGATATAGCCCATGAAACTGTTTAATTCTCAAACCTAAATCATCTCCCCTTTCTAAATCCCACAGCGCTTTACTGTTTTGTTTGTTTTTGTTTTTGTTTAATTATCACGTACAGCCTTGTGTTGTTGGTTGTCGCAGGTTGTTTGGGGTGTAGAAGTCTGGATTTTGCCTTCTTGGTTTCATAGGAAGTCCTCCGCATGCTCTTTGTAACTCTCTCGTGTCCCTTGTAGAATGCTGGCACAGGGCAGGTGCTCTGCATGGGGTTTGGAAAGCTCTGGGTACCAAGATTTGGCTTAAAGTCTTTGCTCTGCCACTCAATTGCTCTGTGAACTTGGCAAACTAACATAAGTCTCTGTGCCTCAGTTTTCCTGTTTGTTAAATTGGAGGGCAGTAGGTGGCTTTTCCTGTTCTAAAATCAGTGGTTCAGTATTTGTGTGGTTATGTTTCAGCAGTTTAATGTTCTAGATGAAAATGTAAACAATTTTGGGTTAGGAAACCATTTTGAGATTTTTTTTTTTTTTGACAGAGGCTAGCTCTGTTGCCCAGGCTGGAGTGCAATGGCACCATCTCAGCTTACTGCAACCTCCACCTCCCTGGTTCAAGTGATTCTCCTGCCTCAGCCTCCTGAGTAGCTGGGATTACAGGCATGCACCACCACACCTAGCTAATTTTTATATTTTTAGTAGAAATGGGGTTTCACCATGTTGGCCAGGCTGGTCTGAAACTCCTGACCTCAGGTGATCTGCCCGCTTTGGCCTCCCAAGTGCTAGGATTACAGGCTTGAGCCACTGCGCCCAGCCAATTTTGAGATTTTTAATGTGTGTATATATGTCAATTGATATGATAACAGGTTTCAGCTATTAAAAAAGATTCAACAGCATGGCACTACATTGAGTTTCATAGAGACTGCGCCAGGAGCCCACGAGAGCCGGATGGGCATGGGGCGAGGCTGTGCCTTGCCAAGGAAACATAACTAACTATGGGCAAAGGCGATCCTAAAAAGCCGAGAGGCAGAATGTCATCACAGGCATCCTTTGTGCAAACTGGCCAGGAGGAGCACAAGAAGCAGCACCCAGATGGTTCCGTCAGCTTCTCAGAGCCTTCTAAGAAGTGCTCAGGGAAGTGGAAGGTCACGTCAGCTAAAGAGAAAGCAAAATCTGAGGACATGGCACAGGCAGACCAGGCCTGTGAAATGAAAGCGAAATGAAACCTACATCCCTCCCAAAGGAGAAATAAAAAAGAAGCTCCGGGATCCCAATGCATTCAAGAGGCCTCCTTCGGCCTTTTTCTTGTTCTGGACTCCAACATTAAAGGAGAACATCCTGGTGTGTCCATTGGTGATGTTGTAAAGAAACAGAGAGGTGTAGAATAACAGTGCTGCTGGTGAAAGGCAATCTTGTAAAAAGAAGACTGCAAAGCTGAAGGAAAAATACAAAAACGATATTGCTTATTGCTGCATACTCAGCTAAAGGAAAACTGGATGCAGCAGGAAAAAAAAGAGTCATCACGACTGAAAAAAGCAAAGAAGGAAGAGGAGGAAGATGAAAAGGATGATGAGGAGGAGGAAGATGAAGAAGATGATGATGACTAAGTTGGTTTTAGTGCAGTTTTTCCTTGTCTATAAAGCATTTAACCACCCCGTACATAATTCACTCCTTTTAAAGAAAAAAACTCTGAAATATAAGGCTGTGTAAGATTTGTTTTTAAACTGTACAGTGTCTTTTTTTGTACAGTTACATTACCAAATATGTCTTTAAATAACCCTGTCTTGGTGGTATTTTCAATAGCCACTAGCCTTGCCTGGTACAGTATGGGGATTGTAAATTGACAGGCAAATGTAAAGCAAGTCCTTGTTGGTGTACAGAACAAATTAGTTATATACAGGGATGGTAGCTTTTTCATCTTCAGTTGTCTCTGATGCAGCTTATAGGAAATAATTGTTGTTCTGTTAGCATTGTTGTTCTGAATACCACTCTATAATTGCAAAAAAAAAAAAAAGTTGCAGCTGTTTTGTTGACATTCCAAACGCTCCTAAGTTAAAAAAAAAAAAACAATAATTTTGGGGGGGTGTCCAAGAGTCTTAGAAGTGACATTTTGCACATATTTGTTGAACCATTCATAGATCCTTTCCTTATTTCATTTGACGAAATTTTTCTGTACCATAGATGTCGTGATAATGACTTTGGATAGAGGCACAGACAAGCTGAGACCCGGGACCCCAGACGCTTGGGTTGTCTTTTTCAGCGGTTAAGCTGGTTTTATATCAGTCTGTCCACACTCCACCCGTTTCCCTTGTGGCTCATGAAATACATTTGCAAGATACTTGGTGAAGGTAATTAAGTGTGCCCTGGGTTCCTGGAAGTTTAAAGTTCATTTAATAATTCTTCATTTCTTATGTCTTACCTTATTTTTGCCACTAATGATTTTGAACAAAGGCCCATAGAGTTTCAATCTTTTTTCTCCCTCCCCTTCAGGGCTAAAAATTGCAGAAATATAGTGAGAGAGTAATCAAAATTGTGTTTTCACATTGAAGCTATAAGAAGAAGTCTGGTTCAAATACACATTTTGTTACTGAAATATGAAAATAATGGGGGATTGGTGTCGTGGTTCACACCTGTAATCCCAGTGCTTTGGGAGGCCCAGACAGGAGGGTAACTTGAGGCCAGAAGTTCAGACCAGCCTGGGCAACAGGAAGAGACCCCGTCTCTACAAAAAAGAAAATTAAAAGCTTAGCCAGGCACTGTGGTGCCTACCTGTAGTCCCGGCTACTCAGGAGTCTGTGGCTGGAGGATCACTTGAGCCCAGGAGTTTGAAGTTACAGTGAGCTATGATTGTGCTACTGCATTTCAGCCTGGGCAACAGAGGAAGGGCAAAAAAAAAAAAAAAAAAAAAAAAAAAAAAAAAAGAAAAAGAAAAAAATAAACAAAATAGTGGACATAAAAGGAGTCCTTCTCTTTCATTGATTAAAGTAAGTTCTCTTTTAATTTGACCACTATTTTACACCTATTTAATGTACTATCACATCAAATTTTTAAAAGATTTCAGCTGTTTTTGAAAAGATTCAACCCACTGATGTAGGAATAAAATGTACCTTATGTTCTATTTATGATCTTTAGAAACATTTTAGATAATAAAAATTGTGTTGGAGCACCATGCTTCCCAATTGTCAGACCTTTCAGAGTGTGTATTAGAATGAAGTGGAAGTGGCATGTGCGTGGTGGTTAAACGTGATAAATGAGGTTTGTAGTTCACAGAAACGCTGTTCGATATGTTTCTATAATCTCCTCAGTAAACATAAAGATACTCCACTCTTTGGAGACCTGACATTTTTGTTCACTCTGATATTCCCAGTGATTAACACAGTATCTGATATTTTAGGAACTCAATAAATATTTTGTGAATAAATGAATCAGTGAATAATAATCAATACTTAGAGAAATTTTACTTTAATAAATTTTACATGCATTTAAAACTATTCTCCAGCAACTGAATGAGCCATCTGGTTATATTGTTGAGTTTATTTTATTTTGTCACCTGTGCAAATTTTAAAGACCAAAGCTGTGTCACCTAATATTATAGGACCATGAAAGCTAACTCTGCTTATCCATTCTGGTTGAATCAGGTTTGTTTTGTTCTCCAGATGGGGACATTCATAGTAAATTGGAATAGTCATGACCGCAGAAGGAATATTCTTCTTCTGCATAATTCTGCATCACTCTGGAGGCCTGGTCTCTCTCTACTGCATCACTGAGCTTTGCTTTGTATTAGTTGATTGAACGTGTATCAGGAATAGTGGAGAAGTTTCCATGATTGATCTTGTTGTTGTTTTCATTGCCATTTTTTAAAGGTTGATGAGAATTTTAGCTTGTGCCGAAGCTCTTACAGATATCAAAATAGCCATGGGTGAAAACATTGTTCAGAATTTCTGCTTTGTTAGCAACAAGGAGTGATGGTTCATCTGGCTCTATCACTATTACTTCTAAATAGAACTATAATTTTTGACACTGTGAATAGGACATCTGGGGAGGAAATGCTTGTTTGTATATATAAAATCAAATATATTACCCCGGCCATCAAATGAGACCACTGACCAGAGTCAAAGTCTTGTATTTTACTTACTACAGGAATATCATCAAAGGGGAGAAGCAATATTTTCTGAAATTTGTGAACACATTATAACCCACTGCCTACATTTCAGAAGCAGTATTGGCTTTTTTAAAACTAATGCATTTTCAACATGTTGGTGAATTTATAACTCACCCTGTCCCTTTAAATAAAGCATATGTCTTCGCTAGAAATGCAAGCTGTATTTCAACTTGGAAGTCCAGGGGCTTATTATGAGATTGCGTATATTTTTAAATGAAGGTCAATTTTTTTTTTACTAAATTGTTTGCCTGACAAAATGTTTACACCCCAAACCTTGACAAATATCTTTATTCAGAATAGGTTTATGTTTTCCCATCTCAAATTGAACATTAGAAATACTACTGTAAGTTTGTCCAATTTATACACATAAGATATATTTTTGTAAGAAAGCCTTGGCATAAATACAACTTAGGAAAAAGTAAACTTGGCTTAAAACTTAAATCTGAACATTGCTCATGTGTAACATGAAATATTTTAAATTATAAAAATGCATGTGTGTTTGTTTCTGTTTTATTTCTAAGTAAACTGTAAGTCTTAACAAGTGCATAAATATTAATTTGGGAATAGGTATTTGGAAATGCCTAATAGATAAAGTCATATTCTTTGATATCATGTTACGTGTAATGATATATAAAATTGACTTAGTGGACATTCTATTTAATTAGAACATGGTTTAAATGGATACTTTAATATGTGTAGGCATTACTCTTGCTGATATTTATTTGGTGTTATTTGTTATTCATGCTATTTTAATATAAGTTGCAACAAATTCTTCTTCTTCTTCTTTCTTTTTTTTTTTTTTAAGATGGAATCTCACTCTATTGCCCAGACTGGAGTGCAGTGGCATGATCTCAGCTCACTGCAACCTCCGACTCCTGGGTTCAAGCCATTCTCCTGCCTCAGCCTCCTGAGTAGCTGGGATTACAGGCGTGCGCCATCACATCTGGCTAATTTTTGTATTTTCTTTTTTAGTAGAGATGGGGTTTCACCATGTTGGCCGGGTTGGTCTTGAACTCCTGACCTCAAGTAATCCACCCACCTTGGCCTCCCAAAGTGCTGGGATTACAGGCATGAGCCACGACGCCTGGCCAACAAATTCTTCTTAAGTACAGTGAAATTCACTATTTCAGCAAAATCTGCTCAGCAGGTTATAAGAATTGTTTGCTTTTCACTTTGGAAACATTCAACATTTAGAGTTAGTGAAGATGGTATGAGTTTGGCACTGATATTGTGAAAATCAGAAACATGAGGTAGATCTCATATTTCTTAACTTACATTTCATAAGTGGTTGGTTGAGGAGTTACATAAACCATAACGTGCAGTGGGATAGCTGTTGGGAACAGTCTTTGCATAGACATTTGGATGTGTTCTGGGTGCTTGTTCACATTTATTTATTGTTTCTTTTATTGAACAAACCCCCTTTCTCATAACTTAAACTTTTTAAGGGTATGAAACATTATTTCATTCTTATTTCATTTTGTTACTTATATTCATTGCAGGAATTTTCAATGAGGGGAATGTATATATTTTTGTGAACAATTTAATGAAAAATATCTAAAGAAAATATTAGTAAATCAGGAGAAGGTTGGAAGATAAAGTTGAGAAAGTTATATAGAAGAAAAGATAAAGCTGGAAAATAAAGACAAAAGTTAAGTTAGAGGATTAACCCAGAAAGCCCACTATCCTACAAATAAGAATTCCACAAAGAGAGAACAGAAAAATGAAGAGAAGACAATTATCAAAGAAACATGAAAAACTTCCTGAACTGAAGGTCTTGTGTTTCTACATCCAAAGAGTCCACAAAATACCCAGCCCAATGAATAGCCAAGGCCCACCTAAGACAGATCACTACAATTTCAGAACATCAGCGATAAAAAAGAATATCTCTAGAGAGGGAAGAAAAATTAAAAACCAGGTCACATCTAAAGAATCAGAAATTAAAATGACATTTCTTAATAGCATCATTGGAACTTATAAGAAAATGGAGCAATGCCTTCAAAATTCTAAGTGATGAGGGTTTCAATCTGAAATTCTAGACCCATCTTGGGCAGATATCACAGACTGGTGCACTCAACACCCACTCCCTCATCCCCTTCCTAACAGCTTTCCTCTGTTTTAGACACTAGAAAGAAAAAACTGTATTTCCCAGGCTCCCTTGCAGCAGCAGCTCTGCATGTCACTGAGGTCCATCAGGCAAACTCACCCAGGAGAGATTTGGGCATTGGAGACAAGAAATGGTAACCACACAGAGGTAGTACATATTCTGGGGCACCTGCGGCAAAGGCTCTGCTATCTGTGTTTCTCATCCTTTTTTCTTTCATTATTGCTCCTCTGTGGAGCTTTTTTAGAAACATTTTCCTTTAACCACCCTACCCACGAAATTTGAAGATCATAGATATATTGTTTACCTATTTATGTACTATATAAATATCTATTACTCCCAATCTCCTAAAACCAATTTTCACCGCCATTGACAATGCATGTACTATCTGGTCCCTAGAGTTGTTACGTACCAAACAGCAAGTGGCGGGGGCTGTGGGATTACTATTAGAGCAGTCCTACGGTGGGACTGGGTGTTGTTCCTGGGTGTGTAACATCCAGGTGTCCCATTATGGGAGAGGAATGAAAGGAATCCCTCCATCACACCAAAGGAAAATCCTTGGCTGCAGGCTTGCTTTAGGGCTTAAGAGTGGCCAGGACAGAGTGAAGCAGAAGAACACAGGGGTCCAGGATACCCAGAAAAACACAGAACTAATAGATCACTCTGTGCACCTGGCCATGTTGATAGGAGTTCTAGAGTTCTGTGGTAGGATTTGGAAATGAATTCAAATTAATGATACTTACATAGAAAACTGAATGATTAAGGAAAGGCAACTGTTAGCTCCAGGAAAAACACGAAGTTGTAGAGGAATGAAAACATAATCATAATATACTATGTGGCTCCTCTCTGAATAATATCTATGAGTTCATAATAATGGAAACACTAAATATTTGTTTTGCCCAAAGTAGTAATATATTAGGAGAATCAGGTTGAAAGGAGAATGGGAAAATAATTCTATTCTCATCATCCACAGTTAGGTTGTCAATGTACAATGTTTAAAATGGAAAAGTCCTGAAATAGCACTATAAACATCTTTTTTTTTTTTTTTACCCCAGAAAATGTGAAGGTCAATTCCAATAGAAATAGTTAAAAGAGTTGAAAGTGTTGGCCAGGCAAGGTGGCTCATGCCTGTAATCCCAGCATTTTGGGAGACAGTAGTGGATCACTTGAGGTCAGGAGTTCAAGACCAACCTGGCCAACATGGTGAAACCCCGTCTCTATCAAAAAAAAAAAAAAAAAAAAAATACAAAAATTAGCCGGGTGTGGTGGCAGGTGCCTGTAATCCCAGCTACTCGGGAGGCTGAGGCAGGAGAATCGCTTGAACCTGGGAGGCAGAGGTTGCAGTGTGCCAAGATTGCACCACTGTACTCCAGCCTGGGTGACAGAGTAAGACTGTCTCAAAAAAGAGAGAGAGAAAAAAAAGAGTTGAAAGTGTTAACTATAGGAAGCAAAATTTAGGAATGAGAAAAGATAGAACAGGGACTTCTCTTTTTTTGCTAAAATCTTATAGTGCTATTTGCCTCTTAAAATTGTTTAATACAAATAAAGTGAAATCCAAACAATAAAAACAAGAGAAAAATGCCAGCCCTGTTCTAAAACTTCTTAATTGCTTCTTTTTTTCATTTTCTTCTTTGACAATTTTTGTCTGTGATTACTTTTCCTTCATAAAAGACCTTGGCTATACCATATGTATATTACTTATGAGTCTTCACCTAGATGAAGCTCTTAAAACTGAACACTGTGCTACATCAATTCCCTTTACTTCCAAATTCTCTTCCTGGTCCAAATGCTCTATCACTTGCATGGTGTATCCAGCCAATGCTGGCTCTCAAATGCAGGATCTCAAAGCTGGCAGGTTTCTGAAATTTGTAAGAAATCATAGCTACTCAGAAATATACAAGAATATTTATATCTTTATTACACATAATCAATAAGAACCCTGGACATTTGATTTTTATTTTATTTACATTAGAAAATGGATCTAGTAATGTTAGTTGTCATAGTTATTAGTACTGATGTATTGTTAGAGAATTTAACATTTTAACATAGAGAAAGGATTGTGGATTATTTGTAAATTGGAAAGACACAATAAAACCTAGTTAAATTATTTATTATGGCATATGAATCAGCATATATGAATTATTTTTCTATTTGCTTAATTATAATGAAGTTCTTAATAGAATACGATATATTAAGGGCCCAGGGCAATAGTTCTTAAACTTCAGTGGGTACTTAGGAATTACCCATGAACACTAATAAAATGCAGATTCTAAGGCTCTGACATAGAAAATTCTGATTCTTTATGTGTTGACTTGCCCAGAAATCTGGATTTTAAATAAGCATACTGAGTGATTCTAATAAAGAAGATCTTGGGACCCCACTGAGATACACTGCCTTGTTGAGTTGTATCAGACATACTTGAGTTGATTTTGTCTTTTGATTTATTTCTCAATGACACTCAGGCAACTCCAAAGGGAGCGATTTTAAGTGCTCTCTTAAATAAGTATCTAGGGACCAGTAGTGGAATATATTTCACACAAAGAGGAATAGAGTAGCTTTATGCAATAAGACCAAGTTCCTGGCTCCTGTCCTAGAATAATGTAGGATCATTTTACTGGTTACCAGCTGGATGCTAACCAAAAAAAGATAAATATTTGTGGATTCAGAGATGGTATTTAGAGAAATACTGTGCAGAGGGATGAAATCTAATGGTGCCTGGAATTTTCAAAATAATCAATCAGAGTAACAATTTTAAATGTGCCACAAAGTAATATGGTACTCCAAACTATAAATTATGCATTCAATTGCTTAGTTCTTATCCATGAAATCTTTATATGAGTTACTGTTTGTCCTTTTAAAATCCCTTTCCTACTGTGTAGGTTGTAAAGGTTCAGAATAGATACTAACAGTTAAAAGCAAAATATCTAACCACAGTATATTCCAGCATTTAAGAAGAAAATGTTCAAAACTAGTTGTCGCCCAATTTATTTCCGTTAAGTGCAAAACTCTGTTAATGCTTTCAGGTGAGGTAGGCCAGGAATTTATTAAATCACTTAACGTACTCTTTATACCCTATATTTTAGCCCTCAGTGTTTTTTCCCCCTCAATCTGGAGGAATAAGCTGACTAAAGCAACAACTTATGTTTTGTTTGTTTGTTTGTTAGATTTTGTTTTAAGTTCTGGGATACATGTGCAGGACATGCAGGTTTGTTACATAGCTAAATGTGTGCCATGGTGGTTTGCTGCACCTATCAACCCATCGCCTAGGTATTAAGGCCAGCAGGCATTAGCTATTTATCCTGATGCTCCCCCTACCCATCCCCCAACCCCCGACAGGCTCCAGTGTGTGTTGTTCCCCTCCCTGTGCTCATGTAACAACTTGTTTTTAATCTACCCTTCTATCTAGCATATGGTACCTATGATGATAAATGTAACCATATGCTGTAAGACATAATGGTGATGATGATGATGATGAAGGTGCTGCTGCTGCTGATGAAGGTGATGATGGCTAATATTTATTGAGCACTTACAATGTGACAAGCATTAAGTGTATTATTTGAACACCACAACAAATCATTATTACTCCCTTTTTATAGATGACAAGATTGAGGCCCAAGGAGGTTAAGTAACTTTCCCCAAATCAAATAAGAAGGCCTCGAACTTAAGGCAGTCTCATTTCTCATTCCAGTGCCCAACTTCTTTATCTATTGCTTTCTATTAATGTAACCCTCCCCACCCGATGCCTCAACAAAGTTAAGGACAAAACTTCAGATGAAGTATCTAATAAAGGACCCTCCTTTCGTGTTATTTCCACCTGATCTACATCTTCACTTTGGAAGTGGCAACCCATTATTTGTAAATTTAATAATAAATTGGTTTAAGCTTCCTTGGGAACAATATCTCTTTCATGATAGGTTTACCTTTAAACTTAATGTTTTGTGGTTTTAATAACAACTGTCTTGTGATAAACAGTATTTTAGGCCTAGATGAGAATGTAAATAAGAGGGAATAACTATTTGATTTCAAATGGAAAATAAATTAAAAGATAATTTGATGAGCTTGAAACCAGACTATCATCTGATTATAAGGCCATTCCTTAGCAGGTAACTCATGTTTATCCAGAGTCATCCATCCTGGAGAGCAAGTTCTTTGGCAAGAGAACCAGGTTAGATGTGGTAACCCCAGACATGATGGGAAGAGATGACTCTCATTTCTAATTTTTCACTGGCTAGAACTCTGACATTAGTTAGGACACTGGTATTGTAATCTGTGGACCAAAACCCAGCATCTATAAAATGACAATAAGGGAGGAAGGGTTTAGGCATAAAATACCCATAACAAAATATGCAGTTTGACACATTTACTTCTAAAGAGGGAATTCTGCTGAAAGTGATAGGCTGCTGGGGACTACACAAAACTCTTCAGCAGGCTGGAGAATAACTTACAGCTTTCTCTTTGTCACAGAGCTGGCAGCAGAAGAGGGTGGGTGTAACTCCTCCCCTAGTAGCCAGACTACACTGTTTAGCAGAACAGTGATATGTCAACATGTATCAGAAGGGCAACTCTTCTTACAATTATAGATAAACAGAAAGAACCTGGAATATTAGGCGAACTGAGAAAATGAGGCCTTCTTCCCCAGTGCAGTGACCCCAGCAGATGCAATAAATGCTGCTAGTGGTGACGGTGATTATGATGAACCCTGGGGAGGCTACAGCAATTTATATTTAAGGTGTTTCATAATTTGGACACAAAAACTATTATGCAGATATGCAAAAGCATGAAAAAGCTTGAACTTTATTTTTCTGTACCTAGGAATCAGGGGTTGGAGGCTGCATGCTCATGTTGTAATAAATAAGCATGAAAGGGGTGTTCTTTGTATTGAGATTTGACTCAATCATATAAAGATAAAAATGCCAAATAAATCTATGAGGAAAATAAAATGTTTCCCAAGATGCGCAGATATAAAACAGAAATCTTTGCAGTCCACCAAGAAATAATAGGCATTTTTAAGGAGAAAGACTGATTAGAGACGTAATACATTTGAGGTAGTCCTGGAACCTGTGGAATAATTAGAAAGCAGTGCTATTCCCAAACTGATGAGTAATAGTTTCATTTGCATCTTTTAGCCTAATTTAAACCTAGACTGTGGTCTCACAGAGACAGAGAAAGTCCCAAAAATTCTTGGGAATCATTTAATTTTAGAGGAAGAGGTGACAATTGAAATCATTTATTTAACAAATCTCTTAACATGTTCCCAATGAAATTGAAGATGAGTGATTTGTTTGCTGGTACAGTCCACGTCCGTGGTGGAGCCAGAATACAGTGGAGCCAGGACTTCTCCTACTGTGTTTGCTACCTCTTGTTCAGCCTACTTTGTGATTTCCTAATTGAACTATGTTAGGTCTTAAAGGGTGACATTCTCGTTCCATTTTCTAGTCTCAGGCTAAGGTTAGCTTGCAAGTGCTTAAAGATGCCCCTCTAGTTAACTTGGGTTGTTATTATGTGTATGGTTCAATGTTCTTCATCCATCAAAATTATTCCAGGGTATAGGAACATAGAATAGGCAAAATAATTGCCTGAGAGATGGAATTTCATGGCACATACTATTTTTACAAAACAAAAGCAGCTTGGCAGATTATTCATTTCTTCCCAGTGGTTTCTTCAATGTTAAAAATAAGTTGGGAAGGAAACATCTCATTTTAGCAATCTTTAATGATCACAGCGATTTTAGGAGGCGAGGGCAATGAACCCAGGACAAGAGCACTGCCGCACTGCCATCTTACCACACGTGGATGCTGCCTGGTGCTCCTGTGCCTTTGTCTAAGTAACTCTTGTTAACAATGTGGCTGCTATATTGAAATCCCTTTACTACTAGTTATTATTTCTCAGACTAACAGTACTAGTAACTTTAAAAATAATTGAGTCTATGATTAAGTTCATGCTCATAGTCACAACACTCCTATGAGGTAGGATGAACAGTTACCATTATTCATATTTAACAATGGGAAACTTAAGGCACAGAGAAGCTAAGCCAATTTCTAAAGTTCATAGCTATCTGGTGGAAAAGTTAGGGTTAAAATTCAGGTCTTTTAACTTCAAGCTAAGCTTCTTTCTTACAGACATATTCCTTTGATTTTAACATTAAAAAAAGAAACTTCCTTGATACTTTTCTTGTAACATGTGAATTTGTGAATACGACTGTTTTCTTCTTTTGATTACAGGCATCATTTATCCTTTACGTCACCCCACATAGCTCCTTGAACATAGTAAGTGGTCAATAAATGTTTTAACACAAGAATTGCTCTTTATAGGATGGATGTTACCCAAGGTAGGGCAGTGAGGCATTATATACAATTAGTTTAATTCTTTTCTCTTTTGTCTCCACTGAAGAGCTTCTGGTATAATTAGCAGATACTGGTCAGGCTAATTGTATGGCCTGCACACAGTTTATGCTACCATCAATGAGTTATCAGCTTAAAATGCCAGCTTCAATTCTTCATTAAAAACATGAAGAGGTAGTATATTTAATACGAAACAAATGGTTTCCATTTTCAGAATTATACTAAATTTCTTGGATTAATATTATGTGTCAGCTTGACTGGGCTAAAAGGTGCCCAGATAGAGCTATTGAAACATTATTTCTCAATGTGTATTTGAGCATGTTTCCTGCAGAGATCAGCATTCGAATTGGTACATTGAGTAAAGATTTTCTCACCCACGTACCCCGGCGTCATCACATCTGCTGAGGGCCCAAATAGAACAAAAAGGTGGAGGAAGGGTGAATTCACTCTGAACAGGGACATCCATCATCTCCTGCCCTCGGATATCATTGCTCCTGGTTCTCAGGCTTTTGGACATAAACTGAACTACACTGTTGGCTCCTGTGTTTCTCAGGCCTTTGGGCTTGGACTGGACCTACACTACTGGCTTTCCTCGGCCTTTAGCTTACAGATGGCAGATGATCGTGGGACTTCTCAGCCTTCATAATCTCAACCCAATCTCTCATAATAAACTTCTGTCTATCTATTTCCATATCTATTTATTATCTATCTATCTATCTATCTATCTATCTATCTATCTATCTATTCTATCTAGAGTTCTCCAGAGAAGCAAAACCATATCTATCTCCTATTGGTTGTGTTTCTCTGGAGAACTCTAATATAATCTTTCTTAAGTTTTATCATGCACCAAGCACTGTTCTGAGCTCTTCATATAAGTACACCTTTATAACCTCATAAACTATGGAGTTGGTGCCATTATTACGCTCATTTTTACATGAGGAAATGGAGACTTAGAAAGGTTAAATAACTTGCCCAATATCTTGCTGCTAATAAATGGAAGAGACTAGGTGTGTTTGATTCCAAAATCTAAGCTATTATTACTACTATACTATATTTTACCTATAGTTTTGTAACTCTGACACAGCAAAATTTTCCCAGATGGCTAAAATCTTCCCTATTCTCTCTCTCTCTCTCTCTCTCTCTATATATATATATAATTTATTTCTTTATATTTTTTGAGACAAAGTCTCACTCTGTCACCCAGGCTGGAGTGCAGTGGTGTGATCACGGCTCACTGCAACCTCCTCCTTCTGGGTTCAAGCAATTCTCCAGCCTCAGCCTCCTGAGTAGCTGGGACTACAGGTGCCTGCCACCATGCCCGGCTAATTTTTTTTGTATTTTTAGTAGAGACGGGGTTTCACCATGTTGGCTGGTCTGGAACTCCTGATCTCAAATGATCCACCAAACTTGGCCTCCCAGAAGTGCTGGGATTACAGGCGTGAGCCACCATGCCTGGCCTATTTATTTTTTTGAGACAGGGTCTCACTCTGTCATCCAGGCTGGGGTGCAGTGGTGCGATCACAGCTCACTGCTGGGATTACAGGCATGAGCCACAGCGCTCAACCATTCTAGATATTAAATAATTTCATGTAGTTACCCCAAATACAGATTATGTTCTGTCATGTCTGACTAAAATAAAAATTTAGCTTAAGGAAACTCCTTTCTGCAGACATTATTTGTTCTAGCTCTGAGATTGTATCTCCATGCTGCTTACTTTAGGTTGCAATATGTTCCCAACACCCACCTTTCAAGTTTTTAAAATGGCATTTCAATTTTTTCTTCAGTTTGTATGCTCAGCCACCTGTGCGCTTCCTCTACTTTTCTAAAGTGAAGAAAAGGAAAAAAAAATGGTTTCTTTCTAATATAATATTAATAGGTCTGGGTTTTTGGATTAATATACTGTAATAAGCAGCTCTCTAATTGATTACAAATCCCACTGGAACACTCCCCTGGGGGAATGAAGGTCCTGTTCTTTTTACTCTTCCTTTTATCCTCTATTCCATTTCAGCTGAGAATCCACCAAACTAGGATTGAGTCGACCAGTGAAAGGATTCTAGGCAAGACGGGATTGCACTGATGAGTTCCACTGCCTCCTTTTCAGAGAGACAAACGTAAGCCCACAGACTGATTACTAAGGCAGGTGTATTTTTATCTGTGCTGCCTTCTTATTCAAGACTCTAAGCTAGTCATCAACCCAATGGTATAACTGATAGCTGACGGGAGTTTCTGGAATGGGTGTTAAGTGTGAGAGAGATGAAGGCCTAGTGATAAGGTCGGCTCTAAATGTAGATTTACTTGGATTCCAATCTACTTACCAGCTGTGTGCCCCTGGGCAAGTTACCTCTTCTGTGACTCAACTTCCTTGAAGGAGGGTGTGTAAAAGTGTCTATTTCACACGGTTATTGTGAGGATTAAATACCAAAAGTATTAAAGCTGTGGTTAAACTCTCAGTAAACATTAGTTATTTCTACCAAAGTTAAACTGCCAAATCCTTGAGTCTTGATTTGTCCTCATAACTGCTGTGGCATTTCTCCTCTTTTAAAGTCTTCTGAACAGAAGTTGACGTTTGCATTTTAAAGGAACTCAAATGGCTTACTTTTACGAAGTTGGGGGGATTATATATACACGTGACCCGCCAGGGTATGTAAACCTGGCGGACTTCAACAGTCTGGGGGTGCCTGCGCTCAAGGGGTGAAGGGATGCTTAGAAACTTTCTCAGGAAGAAGGTGGGGCCTTCAACGAGGGCGGCTGGCTACAAAGAACTAAACTTTCACACAGCAAAGGGGAGCCGGTCTCCCTGCGCCCGCGGGCGTCGAACCCAGGCCCAGCTCTCACCACCCAAAGGCCCGGGTGCGGCTGCAGGGTGACGAAAGCGTCAGACCCCGGGGCTGCTCTCAGCTTTGGGCTTTCACCCGGCACTCTCCCAGACAAAGGGGCTTCTCAGCCAGGTCGCTGTTTTGGTTTGTCGTCCTCCCAGCCCCCACCTTCGTCCCCAACTTCCCCTGGCGCTGGCTCGGCGGCGTCCCTCACATCGTCCCTCCGGCCGCCACCCCGGGCCCCTTTGTTGTCTGCCGTCTCTCCCAGAGAGGGGTGGGGGGCCGCGACATTCCAGGGAGGAGAAACCGAGGAGTGAGGGGCAAAGACGCTCTTCCATGCTCTCACCCGAGGAGCGCGCCCCACGACGCTGGCCAGCCGTTCTCCGGCGACGGCCCGGGCCGCGCCTCGGCGCCCTCGCCCGGGTCCTCGGCACGGGGGAGGGGCGTGGCGCGGCCGGCGCTCTCTGATTGGCTGCGGGCGTCAGGGCGTCGCGCCGCGATTGGGTCGCGCAGCTGTCTGGAGCGAGAGCGCGCGAGGTGGGGAGGGGGCCGCTGGAAGCTGCTGGAAGTCGGGGGCGGGGGATGCGGCTGGGGCGCCGGGGCGGGGACGACGGGGGCGACGGCAGGACGGGCCGCGCCTGTGCAGGGCGGTCGGGGGCGGCGGGCGCGGGAGGAGGTGGCGGCGGAGGGGGAGGTGCGAGCCGGGCACCGCCCCCGGCCCCTCCCCGGCCTTCCCCGCGCAGAGCTCCGACCGCGGGCGGCCCAGGGGCGGGCGCGCCGCTGCATCCCCATCCTCGTCGTCGCCCGGCACAGCGCGAGCGGGCGAGCGGCGCGGGCGGCCGGAGCGCCGAGGCCCGGCCATGGCCACCACCAGCACCACGGGCTCCACCCTGCTGCAGCCCCTCAGCAACGCCGTGCAGCTGCCCATCGACCAGGTACCCCGAGGCGCCCTGGCGCCGGGCGTCGCGCCCTCGCCGCCCCTCCCCGCCGCGGTGCCACCCGACCGGGGGCCCGGGAGGAGGGTGGGGGCTGGGGCCGGGCGCCCGGTGCCCCCCTACCCGCCGCTCCCTGGAAGGGAGGGGGCAACAAGCCGGTTATTGTCCCAGAGCCCCCTCCCTCCTGGGTGCGCCCCCAGCCCGCCATCCCCGGGCCGAGCGGGAGGTGGGCCGGGCGTTGTTGCCGGCGACAGCCCCCGGGGAGGGTGGTCGTATGGGCGTGCGGGTGTGCATGCGGTCCCTGCCCTTCGCGGCAGCGGCGCTCGGATCCGGTGGTCGGGTCCCGGAGCAGCCCCCGGTGCGCATGGACCGGGTTGTGGAAAGGGTGCGGAAGGCTGCGCTTTGGGGAGCCTGGCGTGGTGCTGCCTGCCCCGCGCGCGCCTCTGAGCGACCCCCGGAGAGGCTGATGCATGGGTCTGGGTGTGCTGGGTGCCTTAGAGACGGCGTCGATGGGTGCTAGGGGCCCGGAGAGGCTTAAGCGCTACTGCACTTTGGGGACAGTTTGCGTTGGATTGTGGCTTAAGAGAGACAGAGGCAACAGTTTGTGGGAAGGCAGACAGGTTATGAAGAAAAGTCGGAGTTAATCCCAGGATTCTTGCTGACAAAGTGGCAACCTTGTAGATTGATGCAGCCACTTTACCTCCTTGCCCAGCCCTCAGAAAAGCTCTTGACAGTGTCTAGGGAAGGGTGGTATTTAAATGAGGCCAATCGAGTTTGATGGTTTAAAGGGCCTAACGATTACTGAGAAATAAACAGCATTGTGATGGGAAAAGCAGCGCCATTTTTACTGAGAAAAGAAAGTTTGGAAGTATTTTGTTGTGACAGTGAGATTTAGGGAAGTTGTTAATGAGGCGGGGGCTGGGGGGCGGGGGTGTATAGTTAGGTGATTGCTCTAGCCCCAGGCTAAAGGTAGTTAACTTTGGAAATTTTGCTTACAGTTATTTCAAGTGTACTTAACCTGGAAGTGTTTGGACTTCACACGGGATACTGGTTCACTGTCTTGAACTTGAAGGTGCTGCTGTCATTTAGTCTTCAGGGATTTCACTTCAATACGGGATTCCTTCTTGTCCAGACGGCTTTCCATAGCAGCAAGCTGGAAACCTGACATTAGGATACTAGCTGCTTTGTGCTTTACTGTTTTAAATAAAATCGCCTTAAGTATGTCGAAGGAGTGTTAAACAATTGTGGCTTCTGTTGAAATTCCACATCGCGGTCATAACTTCTGGTTAATAGTAAAGTACCTATCCCCCACCTGTCTTGAACAAGAGTTCTAATGGGTGTCTTGCTAATAAAGTATGGTAGTGAAATTAATCGTGTATTCGAAGAAAATATTCTTCTCTCTTTATTAATAAATTGACCAGAATTTAGGGTTTTTCATCCTCCCGGCCCCGCGGAGGATTCTTGCTGACATTTCCACACTGGTGTGCAGTGTATGACCTTTTAGCATATCACACTCCTGCCTTAAATAGGCTACTTCCAGTATATCAGCAAATGCAGGGTGGGTGTCTGTTGAAAAGTTCTTTGCTGATGAGGAGCAAGGGAGATAGGTTTATATATTTACATTTCTTTCAGAGAGATGGGCACATGTTCACGTTCCCTTTTTCTCTCCCCCATCTTTCTTTCCCTCCCGCTCCATGTCTGCCATAGCCCTACCCGTCCCTGCTATGCTGAAATATTTTCTTGACTATGCTAATAATACCTATTCATTTATATAATGCTTATAACTTTTTAAAGTGATTTGCTATTAATGAACGCATTTAAGCATCCAGAGAAAGTTCTTTTCAGTACTGAAGTAAGCAGGAGAATCAAGGGAAAGTGACAGGACTTAAAATTTTTGACATCCTTCTTTATTAGCTAAAGGTCTTAAGTTGGTACCTTGGGACTACTCTAAATTTGTACAGCCATGTGTAGCCCTGACTTTGTATAGCACAGTCGTGCACTGCATAGTGACATTTTGGTCATCAGACCACATGTCTGCTGGTGGTCTCGTAAGATTATGATGGAGCTGAACAATTCCTATTGCCTAGTAAAGCTGTAGTCATTGTCATGTCGTAGCACCACGCATTACTCATGTGTTTGTGGTGATGCCAGTGTAAACAAACCTAATGTGCTGCCAGTCCAAACCTACTGTGCTGCCAGTCCTATAAAAGTCTAGCACATTGTGTATACTACACAATTAGGTACAGTACGTAATATTTGATAATCCTAAGTGCATCACTGGTTTATGTATTTACTATACTTTTTATTGTTGTTTTAGAGTATACTCCTATTTATTTAAAAAAAAAATTAACTGTGGAACAGCCTGAGGCAGGGCCTTCAGGAAATATTCCAGAAGGCATTGTTATTGTAGGACATGACAGCTCCGTGCATGTTATTGCCCCTGAAGACCTTTCAGTGGGACAGGCTGTGGAGGTGGAAGACAGTGATGTTAATGATCCTGACCCTGTGTGGGCCTAGGCTAGTGTGTGTGTTTGTGTCTTAGTTTTTAATCGTTTTTTAAATTAAAAAAATTTTAATAGAAAAAAGCCGATAGAATAAGGATATAAAGGAAGAATATTTTTATACAACTGTACAGTATGTTTTACGCTGTTATTATAAAAGAATTAAAAACTTAATAAAGTAAAAAAGTTACAGTAAGCCAAGGTTAATTTATTATTGAAGAAAGGAAAATATATTTTATAAATTCAGTGTAGCGTAAATGTAGAGTATTTATGAAGTCTACAGTGGTGTACGGTAAAGTCCTGGACCTTTGCATTCACACGCTGGTCACTCACCCTCCTAGGCTGTACCATCTGGTCTAGGTGTGTAGCAGACTATGCCATCTAGGTTTGTGTAAGTACACTATGGTGTCCACACAGCAACAAAATTGCCTAATGATGCATTTTTCAGAACATAGCCTCATCATTAAGTGACACATGACTGTAGTTTGAGTTGTTTTCTCTTTGAGCAAGGCTTTAAAATATTGGATTAATACCACACAAGCCTTAACTTTTCATAGTGATAATAAGTTGTTCTTTGAAGCACCTTAGAGTTGACTTTCTTGTTGATGAAGCTGTTGGAATAACTAAAAACTCAATTTTGTAAAATTGGATGACTAAAGTCATTTATCCATTATTTTAAAGTTGAGCAAAATAAAAATTTTTATAATGTAAATCATTTATTCCAAGTTGAGAGAAATCTTATGAATTTGTTATAATCACATAGTGTGATTCAACAGGAAAAAGACAAATCAGGAAATGAAAAGTGTAAAAATATAACTTGTTAGTATGTTAATTTGGTATGTGCTAATTAACAATGTTTTGAAAAATTGGGAAATTATAAAAGCAGTTGTTTGATGTCCGAGGAAGAAAAGGACTTTAGTGTAAGAAAAACAATTAACTTTTTACTAGGTAAGTGTGGAATTTATGAGATGATAGAAATTATGGGTCTGCATGGAATGTAAGAATGCACCTTGCAGGGCAAGGTAGCAGAAAGGAGGAAGTGTTTTGTGGTTAGGCTGAGGCCAGGGAAGGAAAAGAAGCAAAATACTTTGCCTTAGACTCCTGGGTTGCTTAATTTTTACTGAGAATTCCAGAGGTATTGGAATTTAGGTAGCCATAGTATTTGTTCAATAGGCCTTAAATTTTAATAAAAATGTAGAATCTATTATCAAGTGAAGTTACATGATGCTTTAAGATAGGAAGTATCGGCATCTGATGTTTGCCTTTCTAGGCCTTGTTTTCCAGATGACTTTATTTCTAGGGTAATGTTTAGTAGGTGGTTATGATTAAAGGAATGTATGGAGAGTGGGTTTTGAGGAGGGAAATGGACTGAGAAAGAGCTGTGCCAAGAAAAGGCCCAAGTGTGCTGTTTAGACAACATCAGGAATCACTGAAGGTATCTGTGTTCTTTATTATTAATAGTTGCTGATGTGCTGGATTTTTAAGACTCGAAAGCGAGCACCAAAATGAAACAAAATAATTAAATGTCCCAGATCAACCTATTTTTTAGAGTGTTTTTATTTTTCAATCTTAACATATCCTGTACGCTATTACATTCGATTTGCCTAACTCCCGGTTACCAAACTGAGGTTGCTATCCAGCCTTTTCCCTCTTCCTCCCTCCCTCCCATCTCTTTCTTGCCTTTTTAACCATTTTCTGTCCTTATTTCTCATGATGCTGTAATTACTGCTATGAAACTAGAGTAAATTTCCCTAGTGATGTGATATCCAGGATGGCATACTTGGCAGAAGGCCAGTTAGGGATGAAGCTGGCCTGTATAAAGTCATTGAACAGCCATGTTTAGGGACAGGGGTCATTCATTGTTTTACAGATAATATGCTGAATTCCGGGCAGGGAAAGGGGCAAGATGGAGACTCAGGATCTTTTGAAAGGTTTGGACGGGGAAGGGGAAGGAGGAATGGTTATATGTTACTAATCCTGCAAAGTCAGATAATAATTATAATGTCTAACACTTAATACAGTTTTCAAAGCTGTTTCACACAGATTATATTATTTAATCAAATCCTCACAACACCTGGTGAAGTCAGATAAAGTTCAAGACCTGAAGTATTTAGCTTCACGGGTGTGTGTGTGCGTGCACGTATGTATTTACCATTTGAATAAAAAAGGTCAGGTTTAGTTTATGGTCTTAATAATATGTGGCAAATATTTTTGGTAGATCATTGTTTTAGATCATATTTTTGGAGGGAAAGGAGGAGAGCAACTGAAGGTCCCTGAAGTCGACACTGAAGGACTAGGGGTTGTGGTTGACACAGAGAAAATGATGATGTGTAAGGGAGAGAAAGCATTGTGGGCTTACGAGATCCTTGTTTCCTTTTTGGACAGTTCATTGACTGATCTTTTCTATATATTCCCAACCCCCGCCCCCCGCTCTTCCCCTGCACCGTGCAGATAACCAGTGAAGTGAAGTTGATGTTATGGAAAAGGGTAGTTGAAAACATTCACTTCTTTAATCTTCCTGCAGGTCTGTACTATGATGAATTCCATTTTATAGATGAAGAAACAGGTGAAGTTCTCAGTATTGAGCCTTCTTAAGAGTATGACTTTTAGGAAGAGAAGGTGAATGGCAACAAAACAAGCAGATCAAAGATTTATTTTCAACTTGCCATTTGAATGCTCTAGGTTTAGAACATAAATATTTAACTCATTTCTCTCTCCTGTCTACTTTTACACTCATAATGAGCATTAGTCTTCATCATGAGAACACTGAAAACCCGGAGAGTCTGCTGTGAACGATTCCTTTTCATCAGGAAGGCATATGGGACTGAGAATCTTGAATCTGTGTTTTAGCTCCTGTCAGTTAACGGTTTTAGATATGTTACTATACATGAATGAGTTTCCTCCTCTATGTGTGTTGGGCTTAGTTTTAAAATTCCATGATTCTCTGTTTGTCTTATTAACTGATAAAGCTGCCCAAATTCTTTTTGGACCAAATTGGAGAGAAAATAAATAAAAACTTAGAGGAGGAAAGTGAACTACTAAATTTTGAAGATGTTTTCAATAGTAAAGAGAGTTGAAACTGCCTCTCTGTTTAATTCAGAGCAGCTAAGCAAAATACCACGAGCCCTGACAATTGCAGCTAATGTAGGTTTCCCTGTATTCCATGTCCTTCATTAAGAGGAAGTAGTAGGGCAGTGGTGTAGTGGAAATGGCATGATTAGGTTGGCAGCCAGACTCTGCCAGCCTTGTGCTCTTTGGCAAAACACTAAATTTTTCTTTAAGCCGTGGTTTCCTTATCTGTAAAATAAGGATAATAATAAGTAGTAGTACCTATTTGTAGGTTATTGTGAAGATTGAAACCATAATCTTTGTAAAATGCCAGGCCTCTAGTAGATGTTTGATGCACAGTTCCTTCCTCTTTACAAATTATCAAATTTCTGGAATTTATTTATGTTTTTATTTTGAGACGTTAACATCTGTTCATATGTATTTCATTTTTAATCTTTAGGACTTGCTTTTTAGGAAGGGAAATACAAGGCTTGGGTTCGGTCGTATGCCCACACAGTGATTAAACTAGGATTAAAATCTAGTTTTGAATTTGGAGTCAAAAGTGGTTTTTCTGCTTCCTCACTGCTTCAAGAGCTCTTTGTCTCCCTGCTTTAAAAATGCTTCCTATGTTGTTACTGCCTCTGTAGGTACAAACAGCCTTCATCTCCTTCAACTCGGTTTATTGGGTCCATCAGGGCCAACTTTCCAGGGAAATAAAAACAACTCACACTCAGCTTTTGGCTCCAGTTGGTTTAACAGGTGGGACTCTACAATGATAGCACTTGGTAAGATTCCTTTAAAATAAAAGCAGCCATAAATACGACCCTCAGCAGAGTGGTCTTTTAATGATTTTTATGCGTGCTATGGGTGATTGAAGCAGGCTTTTCTCAGTATGTAGTGTGTGGCAACTGGGGCAGCTGATGGGTGGAAAGGTAGGCTCAGGATTCAGGAGATCGGAACAGGCACTGGTGACGTGCCTCTTCTACCATGGCTTCCCAATCCTAACCGTCCTTCCTGTATCCACTGCACCTTGCACACGAATCTTTTTCTGAATCCCATCTGATGTGACTGCTTCCTTATTTGAGCCACGAGAGTATTTTGGATTTGGCATTGTTCTGGCATTTACATTCTGCTTAATGTTATACGTATCATTCAGGGTTCTGCTAAGAGATACAGATTGAAGTAGGTAACTAAGGCAACCAGGTAACTTAAAGAGCTATTTACAAAGATGTGGGCAGGTCTTGGGAAATCAGCAAGGAATAGCGAAGTTCCCGAGCCAGCTGCACTAGATGTGGAGGGTCAAGAGGGAAGGAAGGAGCAGAACCCCAAGATAGTGGCTGTGGAGCAGGGGCTGCTTCACAGCAGGGGAGGAAGAGCTATGGCCTCCAGTTGAAGGACGCAGCCAGCCTACAGCGAACCTGAGTGAGGGCTGCGGCCGGGAGAGCATGCCCCTGCCTCTCGCTTCTCCCATCCTCTCATCTCCTGCTGGGGTCTACTTCAGAGGACAAGTTGGTGCTTTGGGGGCACAGAATAGAGAGGAGAGTGGATCTGGAGGGGCATTTAAATACAATCCAGGACGTTAGGGTTGCTTCAATATGACTTACTTCTCTACCCGATGAATACAAATAAAAAACCTGTTGTCAGACTCCTTTATGCACATTGTTATTTTGTCTCTTTCTTCTCAGTCATACATTTTGAAAGAATAGTTGATTTCCTAATTCCAGTTCACTTTTAAAACCACTATAATCAGGCTTCCGTCTCTGATACTCAGAATGAAATCCAGTGGCAAATGTTGAGACATGCAGCACTCATCAGTTACTTCCTTGCTTAAAACTCTTAACAGCTTCCAGCTGCCGAGCCATTGCGGTGCATTTTTAAAGTGTGGCTCTGAGACCACCTGTGTCAAAGATCACTTTGGATTGTTATTAAAAGTGTACATTCCCAGGCTCTACTCAGGGTATACCCAATGAGGGCCAGGGAGTCTGCATTTTCGACAGGGCCCCTGCTTCCCCCCACCTCCCACCACCATCACAGATAACAGACTTGGGCCAAAGTTTTTAGGCTGTTCATATTATTAAAAGTTTATTAAAATGGAATGTAGGCCGGGCGCGATGGCTCACGCCTGTAATCCCAGCACTTTGGGAGGCCGAGGCGGGCGGATCACAAGGTCAGGAGATCGAGACCATTCTGGCTAACACGGTGAAACCCCGTCTCTACTAAAACTACAAAAAATTAGGCCGGGCATGGTGGCGGGTGCCCGTGGTCCCAGCTACTTGGGAGGCTGAGGCAGGAGAATGGCGCGAACCCGGGAGGCAGAGCTTGCAGTGAGCCAAGATCGTGCCACTACACTCCAGCCTGGGTGACAGAGCGAGACTCCGTCTCAAAAAAAAAAAAAAAAAATGGAATGTATTTTTAAAAAATGTTTATATTTAACACATTAACATGTACTCGCCAAAACGTAAGGCAGTGTAATTGTGCTATTGACAATATAGTCACAAGGGAAAAATAAAATTCACTGTGTACTCTACTCTAGGCAATTTGGCCCTGAAACAAGACAATATTAAAGTTGGATGGTGTACACATCTCCCTTCAGTCCTGTCACTGCATCTCTGGTGACTGTATGTATAATCTCATATGTAGAAAATGTTGAACGTCTACATTTGGGGTCCTTCCGGAATGGGAGGCCTGAGCCAAGTGTCCCTTTTGGCCTACTCTGTGAGAGAGCCTGCTCCATGTGATTTTTTTTTCTCTCCTTTAAAAATTGTATTGATTGATTGATTGAGATAGGCTGGAGTGCAGTGGCTCAATCTCGGCTCACTGCAACCAGTAGTGAGATTGCCGGATTATGTGGCAGTTCTGTTCTTACTGTGAGCTTACCTTTGAAAGTCTCTGTCTGATGGGGTAGGCTTGGACCCTCAGAAGGATGGCTTATTCAACCCCCGACCCCTGACAAACTCTCACACTCTTTCCACACATGCCGAGTAAATTGCTTAGAGCAACGTATGTGGCGAGCTGGAATTTAAATCCTGGCTTTCTGCTGCTTAAAGTACTTGCATACTCAATTACTTAAAATGCTCCTCAATACATTTTCTCTCTTTTAACTCCTTGCCTTTGATTAAGCTGTTTCCTCTTGAAATCCCTGCTACACTTTTTGGCTTGGCAGATCCGTATTTTTCAATAGTCAGCTAAAGCCTATGCCTCCTTGATGAAGCGTTTTAAGATTTGCCCCATCCTTTCCTCCCTTTTTGGGTATCTTGCATGCATGATATGTTCGTGCATGCTACACCTACATGCCCTAAGTATTTGTAATTCTTCTGCCTCAGGCTGCAGGCATTCCAGGTGGACCCATGACTTGGGACCTCTTCACACAGCTGTCTCGCATCCCATGCAGCATTTATGTCATGAGGCCAGTGTTCTGGAGAAGGACCGAGAGAAGAGAGGCCCCTGGTATTCCTGATCTGCCTCTCTCCTTTGCTCTGGACTAACCAGCCTGTCCTGTTTCTGTACAGCAGAAGCCCAGTGTCATCCAGTTCTTTCTTAGGAAGGAGTTAATGGCAAGATCCCATGCGGGGTCCTCGCCCCTCTCCACTGCCTTCTTGTCATATGTGAGTACCCCTCCAACTCCAGGAAGCAGTGCTGCGAGAGAATGCCTGGGCTGCCCTGTTGGTTAGGGCCCTCCGAACAGTCCCATCATGCCCCGCTTTCACTGTATTCTACTCTGATAACACCTGGAGCATTGATTTTTTTTTTGTTTGCTTTACAAGTCTCCCTCCCAAACTAAATTCCTTAAGAATAAGGACCTCCACTTACTCATCTTTGTGTCCCGTCTGCCTAGGACCATTCTTGGCACGGAGCATGTTTAGAGTCCGCAGGGCTGGTGTGATGAAAGCATAGACTGGCTCAGCTTCTGACTGTCCCTTGTTAGCTGTGTGCTCTTGGCAAGGTGCTGATCTTTTATTTGCTTCAGTTTCCTCATCTATAAAGTAGTTCACGTAGTGGGTGTCTCCCTACGGAGTTGTGGTTAGCACTGAGGAGACAATGCACACGGAGTCAGAACCTGGCGTTTTGGGTGTTACTGACTTTAAGTGCTTTTCCAGGGGCTGGAGAGGGCACCATGCTGTTTAAGGCTTTACTTTCTTCAGAGCCTAGGAGAGTGTTCTCTGTCATCCATTTTGCAAGGAGTGAAGTGTCTCATGTATGCCAGGTGGTGAACAAGACACAGGGTACAGCGGAGGTACTGCAGTTGAATGCAGTGATTTTCAGACATAAAACACCGCAGCTCCTTGGAGCACTTCCTGGTAGAGAGGGCCAGGTCCTGCTGAGGAAGTTAGGAAGGCCAGGTTCTGAGGGATGCGGTCTAGTGGGTCTAGTGGGGTCATGCTGGGTGTTCCCAGGGGACTTTTCCTGGGAACTGTGCACTTTTCCTGTCTTTCATTGGCACTCACGCCTCCTGGGCTAGGTAGAAGGCAGGTTAGGGGCTAGGAAATCTGTGGACACTCACTTCACTGGCCAACAAGCTTCTCCACAGACTGAGCTCCCCTAATCAGCTTCTGGTCACTCTGCAGCTGCTTTCTCTTGCAGCTGGTCTGTGCCTCTTACTGCTGTGGAGTCTTGAGCATTCCGATGCCTTTAGTGGTTAGGCTCACTGAAGGACCGCGCAGCAGGTCTCTCTTAGGTAAGAAGTGAGTGATAGAAACCTTTTTAAAATGGGTTACTTAAAAGGAGGCTGAGGACATGCAAAGCATTGAAGAATTTTGGGGGATTTTGGCTGGATTATTCAAAAAGAATTGAAGATAATTCTGAGAGGTACCACTATTTTCAGCTGGATGATTACAGTGTCAGGTGTGGTTGGAAAAAGAAGCTTTATGAGCATTTTAATCAAGAGATTCAGATAAAAGAAGCCTGCAGTTGCACAATTGTCTTTATTGATAGAGAACAAAGGACTGCCACTTTTAGTGTCCCTTTAGTAGGGCCCTCTAGAAAGACTCCTTTGGGATATCTCACCCACCCTCCATGTCCTCCAGCCATCCATCCAGTCCAGGGAAGCCTGGCTTTTTGGCAGCAGCAGATGAATCATTGACAGATCCTCCCAGAGCAGCTCAAAGGAACAGGTAAACCCGTGTCCCTGTGGAGTGGGGAAAGCTCTGCTGAGCCAGGCGACCAGCCAGCTGCCAACCCCGTGGACCACATTCTTCTGGGAAGTCCCAAGCTCTGACCAGCATGCCTTGCTTCTGTCTAGGCGTTGGACAAAGACATAGCTTCCCATTTTAATCCATCATCTCATAGAAACTTTTTCAGGTTTTGGAGATTTTCTCCGCCAGACTTAGGTGTTAGTGGAAGGTCAGGGTGATACATAACATATAATTTTAGATATATTTAAGTAGTTCAATACATGTATGGTATATGTTAAAATAAAATAGATAGCTCCCTGCTTGTACAAACAAAACATTCTGGTTCTTTTAATTTTCTTTTTGAAACTAGATTATAGCTAAAACTACAATATATACATGAAAAACATCTAAGTGATACTTTACTTGTTAAAACTCAATGGAGAGGCTGGGCACGGTAGCTCATGCCCGTAATCCTAGCACTTTGGGAGGCCAAGGCAGGAGGATCCCTTGAGTCCAGGAGTTTGAGATCAGCCCAGGCAATGTAGCGAGACCTTCAAATCTGTATTAAAGCAAACAAAAAGAATGAATGGAGAGAGGTGCTGGCTGTTACAGAACAAGTAGTTACAAAACCATTTATCTACTGGGTGCTCAATAAATAGTAAAATTGGATGCATCTAATTTAACAATATTAAATTTCAAGATAGATGTAAAGACCTGCAATAAAGGTCTAGAAATTAATTGTATAGACAGAAAATGACTTGAGACCGGAAGTACATTTTATCAACAAGCCTGGGAGTTTGTGTTTATTGTATGGTGTTGCTTAGCTGACCAGATTGTGAGGTTAGGCGAAATAGCTAGTCCCAACATAAATTCCAAGTTCAGATGTCTGGAGGGTACCAGGGAAGGAACATGAATGGAAAGGCAGATGCGTGGGTTTTCTGAGGTGTGGACAGCATGACCGTCTGAAAGCCCATTCCCAGGCTAAAGGGAAAGCCCCTACTCACTTTTGCTAATGATGACCATAAAGGAATGTTCGCTTGGTGCTGCCAAAGCTGATTTGTCAAGGGAAGATGGAAATTTGGATTTTTTGTGAAAACAGGATTTTTAAAATTTGGGGTAAAATTTTAAGTTTTCTCTTTTTGAGCCCTGATAACACATCTAGACTAGATTTAGTTTATTGGCCACCAGGAATTAGGTAACAGTTTCTGTTAAGTTTGTGGTGTTCAGTCCAATCTGAAGTACACTTGTGTTCTGAGACTTAAAAGGAACATTGACAAATGAGATTATAACCAGAGCAGGGCACTGAGGACTACATAATGCTTGGAAACCATGTCAAGCAGTAGTTGAAGATACAGTTCTTATATTTCACCGTTTAGTAATTTCATCCTTAAATTGGCTGAAAGAGTTTCAAATTTTATCTGACTAGTTCTTTTCATTTGGAGAAGATCACATCTTGGAAATAATCTTGAAAGTTAATACCCCATTACAGTGGAAGGTTGGAATTTCACACTACTATCATTTTATTCTTTTTGCAGATCCAGTATTACTATTATTAATTGGTTTACATTGTCAAGGCTATTTTATGGTATGTGACATTAAAATAAATGTCTAGCTGGAGGGGAATAAAGTAATACTTGGAAAGGTCTTGATAAGTCCCTGTCAGTTTTTCGTTTTTCTAGAAAGTGTATATTGATTTTTGGCCAAAATGTTTTATTTTGTGATAACTCTGGAGTTATCAGCTTTGGAGTTTAGGTTTAATCTGTAGTGTGCTTCACTGTGAGTGTCAGCATGCCTTTTCTAATACTAGGACTGACACAGCTGTTCTTATTACCTATATCCCAAGAATAGCAGTGACAGAGATTTTTGGTTTGCAAGTAGAGCCAAGAAGATGAAGGTAGAGGACAGGGGAGAGGTTTGTTGAACTAGTACTTAGTATCTTTGGAGATAGTTAAGGGGTCCTTAGTATAAGCTTATAATTTTGGGTGCTGTAATTATAGCCCTTGTGTATTTCTTGTACGATGAGACTAGTTATGTCTTCACCTTTTGTTCTTGGAAAATACTTTTAAAGCCACATAGTAAAGGAAAATTTTGGTAAACTTGGCATCAAACATTGAGCCTCAGCTGTCTATTAGACCTGGATGGAAATTCTGATATGTTAATCAAAATTAATTCTAAGTATTGTTGCAATTTTTATGTGAATTGAAGGAATTCATTTCTAAGGATTCAAGTTTCTTTTTAAGGTGTAAGAAATATAAATTAATGGAGAAATATTCCAAGAAGGTTTTTGGCATATACTCAGAGTTTTACTTTATAGGATTATAAAGTGATCTATTAAATAATTTTTAAATGAATATTTCATTGGGTAGGAAATGCTTCAGTAGATTAAAAAATTCTTAGAAATTAATAGTAAAATAGTATATTAAAGATAAAAGGATGTTAGTACCATGTCAGCAAAGACTATAATGCCAGAGGCTGGACTTGGATTGCTTTCCTTTTTGTATTTTATTGAAAGCAGGAACCACTAGAAAATAATATAAAAATATTAAACTACTTTTCCTATTTTGTCTCTATCTCCAGATTTGATAAATGTGTGATATTGGAGTTTAGCCCTTGTGAAATGAAGGAGAAAGTATAAATTTTCTCAGAATCCTGGAGCAAAGGTGCAACTTCTAGTTAAGGAAACTGCAGTGTAAAGAAGGGACAGCCTAGCTCATTCAGTATTTATTGATTGCCAGGCTTTTTCCTAGGCCTCAAATTTCAGAGAGCAGAGGGTCGAGTTGGCAGGGTTTGATGATATAGCAAATGAAAAAACAAACGTGTTTCATACATTTAGATTATAGTGACTAAGATCGTGGATTGAGGAGTCAACCTGTGTTCCAGTTGTGGTTCTGCAACGTAGCATCCCTTACAAGCTGTGTGAGTTTATCTGTGTGCACAAGAGTGTAGTGTGTAATGAGTACTCTATAAATGGCAGCCATGGCTGCCATTGCACCTTTTGTGCAAACTGCTTGTGTGAAATAAAGTTTTATCAGGTGTTGGTTATCTGGATTGTATTTGAACACTTCTTCTGGTGCAGCGCTTGTTCCCTTTGTTAGGGCAGCCAGTTTCATTTCTAGATAGTTGTAGTTGCTAGAGAGTTTGTCATTTACATGCTTGCAAACTTTCTGGAGTAACCCAGAAGTGGTCTGAATAAGTCCACTTCTTCGTGGTTACCTTTCAGAGAATTGGACACTTCCTATTCTTTTTTCACATGGCTGGCTTATGAACAGCTGCATATTTGTACATTAGGCATCAGTAGCCCTCAGTCTTCTGTGAAATCCATGGGCTCATGATTGAACATTTCTAGCTCTCCTGGGATGATACAGCTCCGTATCTTGAAAGTTCACTTTCTAAGTGTTGTCCTCTCTAGAGTTTTGCAGTATTGGTGTACTTATTTGAAGATTTTTTTTGCCTCTATTGTTTACTAAAATGTAGTGAAAGTAAAATGGCTAATTTAGTAATAAGCATGTTCTCATAAATTATCCTGTTGAGCCAATGATAGAACCCATGAGGCATGCCCACAATACCATTTCTTCAGACGCAGTAGACTCATTTGACGTTAACGGGCTGATGGGTGTCAGGTGTGACAAAGGAGCATCACTGAAGGACACAGGTGGTGTGCTGGAAATGTGTTACCTAAGATTACCTGAAATAGGGGCTCATCAAAGCATATTTTTGGTCAGATGTCTAATGCTAGTGTTAAAATCAACATTGAGTTAAAGCTGAATGTTATCCAGGCAAATCTCAAAGATTTCTTTGTCTTCAACTCCTGAAAACGATCAACAGTGTCATCTAATCATTTCTGCAAACATTTGTTTCCCTCCATAGATTCAAAACAATAGGAACTATCTTATTAAAACATTCTAAGACTTAATTTCAGGTTTGATTAGTGAGAACAATACATGTTTTAGATACTCCAGTTTTCTTTAACACTTCCCTTTTTTCTTCATATACTTTATTTTATTGTGTATGATTCATTATGGATATTATTATGCATGAGTTTAGGATTTTTTTTCTCCTTGCAATATTGAGATGTCAGAGCTAATTGTTCTCCTTTTAATTCATTCTCACAGGATGTGTAGAATTCACAAATAGAGCTTTTTCATGAAAAAGGCTGTTTTTCATTATTTGAATGGAACTAAATAACTCAAAATCAAATACAGCTCCTAAGGGTTATTTTGTTTAATGTTGGCATACTAAACAAGCTTACAAATAATATATTATGAAATAATCGAATCTCTTAATGACTTCTTAAAAAATTTGGCTCAAAGGATATAATGTTCTTTCAAAAGTTGTCATATAATGAATCCTTTCTCAATACTCACATTAACTCATTTGTTTCCCTAGTCTCAGTTATAGTATTGTATTTTTGTAATAAAACATATTTAAACTGATACAATAGTAATATATAAATCATATAAAGTCATTTATTCTTTACACCCCAAGGTAACTGTAGAGTGTTTATACATATTTGAAAGTTGATGTTCATATAGTAACAATAAATATGAATGACATGCATTGTTTGTATTTTTGATGTTACTTTGCTTATCAGAAATGGTGGTAGTTTAGGCTATCAGATGGTCACTGACCTCCACCAATTTAAGGATGCTACAAATGACCAGCAAGTAGATATTAGGCCAAGACCCAAACCAAAGCAAAATAGTGGGGATTTGGGCTTAACCAAGGACAAAGCCAAAGTTCAGTTCATCTGTACCTTAAAAAGGGAGGTGAAATGAGGTACTTCATAATGTTTTTGCTGTTTGAGAGCTAATTCTTCTTTTATGACATGCAAATATGTTTAACATTTTTGCATTTCTAATTTCATTTGTGTTTTCAGTAATGTGTTATATACTCTAGTAGGGAACTGAATTTAGTTTGTATATTTCTCATCTGATTGAGAAAGTAATACATCTTTATCATATGAAACTTATAAAATAAAAAAGTATAAATAGAAAATTTAAAAATCACCCATTACCCTTCAGTCCAGAGACAACTTTTGTTAATATATTTTTATTAGAGTGTGTGTGTATGTTCAAACAAAATTGGGCTCATACTGAACATAAAATTTTTGTAACGCAGCCACCACGTTGTGAGGAATCCCAGGGCATATAAAGATGCCTTGTGTAGGTGTTTGAACCTACAGGTCCAGCTAAAGTCCAGATGACAGCCAGCATCCACTGTCTGACATGTGAGTGAGCAAGCCTTTAGATAATTCCAGTCTCTGATGCCAAATAGAGAAACAATGAGGTGTCCATGCTGAACCTTGCCCAAATTCCAGATTCCAGAGCAAAAGAAATGTGAGTGTTTTCAGCTGCCAAATTCAAGGGTACTTTTTAGGTCATCAGAGTTTTCATTTGGCAATCATATATTTTTAAAAAATTTTAATCGAATGTAACTTAAATATGGTGAAATGCATAGATCTTAATTGTGCAGTTTGACCAATTTTGACAAATGTGTACACTTGTGTAACTCATAACCTGTGTAACCCTTGTAAAGGTGAACATAGTAGGCCAGAGTGAGCAAGGTGTAAGTGTTAGATGCTGAGTAGAAAAGACTGGGAGGACTTTGGTCATAATATAAATATGATGGGAAGCCATGAGATTTTTGAAAATATACTTTTAATTTTAGAATAGTTTTAAATTTGTGGAAAGTTGTGAAGATAGTACAGCTAGTTTCCACATACCCCACATCCGGTTTTTCCTCTTGTTTACATGTTTCATTAGTATGGTCATTTGTCACAGCTGGTGAAGCAGTATTGATAATTATTATTGACTAAACTCTATACTTTATTTGATAGATTTCTTTAGTTTTTACTTAAGGTTAAGGTCTGTATTAGTTAGCTGTCATAACAAAAACCATAGACTGTGTGGATTAAACAACAGAAATTTATTTTCTCGCAGATCCAGAGGCTGTAAGTCTGAGATCCAGGTGCCAGCATGGTTGGGTTCTGGTGAGGGCTCTCTTCCTGCCTTGCAGACAGCCACCACTTGGGGGTGTGCTCGCGTGGTCTTTTCTAGATGCGTTCTTGGCGAAAGAGAGAGCAAGCCCTCTGTGTCTCTTTTTATAAGGGCACTAATCCAGTCAGGCCAGGGCCCTACCTACCTTCACAACCTCATGGAATCCAAATTACCTTCCAAAGGCCCCATCTCCAAATGCCATCACATTGGGGTAAGGGCTTCAACATATGAATTTTGGGGGGAAACAGACATTCAGTCTATAGAGTCCTTTTGTGTTCCTGGATCTTATGCAGGCTACCGTATTACTTTTTTTTTTTTAAAGACAGAATCTCGCCCTGTCTCCCCCAGCCTAGAGTGCAGTCATGTGATCACGGCTCACTGCAGACTTGACCTCTTGGGCTTAAGTGATCCTCCCACCTCAGTCTCCTGAGTAGCTGGGACTACAGGCATGCGCCACCAGGCACGGCTAATTTTGTATTTTTTGGAGAGAGGGGATTTCACTATGTTGCCCAGGCTGGTCTCGCAAGTGATCAGCCTGCCTCAGCCTCCCAAAGTGCTGGGATTATAGATATGAGCCACCATGCCTGGCCCATATTACATTTAGTCATTGTGTCTCCTTAGCTTCCTCCAGACTGAGGCAGTTTCTTAGACTTTACTTTTTTTTTTTTTTTTTTTTGGTGACCTTGTCTGCTTTGAGGATAACTGGTCATGGATTTTGTAGAATCTCTCCAGTGGGATTTATTGAATGTTTTTCTCATGAGTCTGTGCTTATGGGTGTTTGAGAGGAAGACCACAAAGATGAAGTGTTGTTTTCATCACATCATTCCAAGGGTATGTACTTTGAGTGTGACTGATCACTCTTGATGTTAATTTGATCACCTGGCTGAGGCAGTGTCTGTCAGATTTCTCCACTGTAAAGTTTCTCTTTTTACTCCCACTTTCCATATTGCATTCTTTGGAAGAAGCCATTCTGAGCAGCCTATGCATAGGGGTAAGCTGTGGATGCTTTGAATAGAGGAATTAGCTACTCTGGTTTACCTCTGAAGAAGCTCTCATTACTGTGTGGAGGGCAAGAGTTGAATCAGGGAGGGGAGTTGGCTTGTGGTCACAGTAGTCTAGGCTCGGTGATGGTGGTCATGGCGGGTGTGGTGCAGAGTGGCCTCATTTGGCATATACTTGAAGGTAGAACTGATATGACTTACTGGTGGATTGAATGTGGTTATGAGAAAAAGAGAAGACTGAAGGATGACGCTTCCTAAGTTTTTGGCCTAAGCAGCTAGGGCAGATAATTATGGGAAGCTAGGGGACAGGGCGGGGAGGACTGGAAAAGAAGTGGCTTTTGGAGCATGGGAAGGGTGGATATGAAAGGTTTTCCTTTGGGCTGTGTTAAGTTTCAGATGTTTGTTAGACTTTGAGGTATAAACATGTAGACCATTGAAGATGTGAGTCTGGAGTTCCGGTATAGATTAGGTCTCAATATTCTATTTGGGGGTCACACATTTTATCTTTAAAGAATTCCATGTATTTTCAGAATAAGAAGTTAGTTTGATAGAATAAAGAACCTGTGGTAATTTGATTCGAATGATGAAAAAAATTTAAATCAAACTTTCTTTTCCCCTGAAAGCATTGTGAAAAAACGGTAAAAGGTAGATCATTTTTCAATCAGCATCAGTGTGACCTGTCTGTGTCTGACCTAACTCTCAGCTAATATAGCCAGTTGAGCAGTGGAAGATGAAGAATTTGATTTGCATATCTTAAAGCCGTTGAGAAAAGGAACTAGACATTTTAGTTTTTTTTTTCCCCTGAGGAACTATATGCATATATTTTGAGCCTTACATTTTTTTCTTAGAGGGAAACTAGTCAGGAGTGGGAGGCCTCTGAACAAGCTGCATTCTGTGTAGCCGCCAGCTTTTCTTTCTCTTTCTCCAGGAGAACACTGGCCCTCAGCCCCTCTTTCTGCTTCCCCTTGTTCAGACCATTGGGGGCGACTGGCTTTCCTGTCTGACTCCTCCTGTTTTGGTAATGAAGATAGGGAGGCTGAAGGATTGATATTATTTGGCTCCCTATTTAAAAGGTAGTTATGTAAAATTAAATAAAATTTGGCCAATACCACTTATAACTTTAAGTTGTTGTGGAAATTGATTATTATTCAGAAAAGAGAATTTTAAGTTAATAATATTGGAAGAATTTATGGTTTTTTCTCTTCCCTTCCCTCCCCCCTAGTTCTTTATTTATTTTTAGAGCTTTCTGTACTAGTACATCCTCCCTTTTCTGGGGAGTTGATTTGGGAAATTAGATTTGCAAGAGAATGTATGCTTTTAGAGGATGATGAAAGCCACTTGCGCTCCCACTTAAGGAACACCCTTTTAAGCTCCCTGCATGCCCTTTCTAGACCCCATCCCAGAGAGGAATGACTTCTGGAATATTGTGTTAATCATTTCCTTGCTTTCTTCGTAGTGTTAACCACAAACGTATGTATGTATGTGGTAATAAACATGAAATTTGCCATCGTAACCATCTTTAAGTGCACACAGCTCAGTAGTGATAAGTATATTCACAGTGTTGAGCAGTAGATCCCCAGAACTTTTTCATTTTGCAGAACTGAAGCTGCATATTCATTAAGCAACTCCCTATTTTCCCCTCACCCCAACCCCTGGCCTTTTGTTTCTGTGAAGTTGACTGTTCTAGATACTTCGTGTAAGTGGAAACCTATAGTGTTTGTCTTTTTGTGACTGGTTTAATTTCACTTAGCATATGTTTTCAAGGTTCATTTATGTTTTCACATGTGAGGTATGTTATGGGACCTCATAAAAGTCAGAATTTCTTTCCTTGTAAAAGCTAAATAATATTCTATTCATAGTTCTTAATTTCCATGTGATTGAAATTGTAACATTTTATTCATGATTTGTGATATTTTTGTACCTAGTTTAGGAAAGTCTTCTGTATGCTGAGATTGATTGTAAAGATATCTTCCTATATTATCTTTTTCAGAAATAATTTTTCTTTATTTTAAAACAATATTAAATTCACAGAAAAGTTCCAAGTACAATTTAGAGAATGTTTTCCTGAACCATTTGAGAGTAAGTTGCTGACTCACTGCTCCATCACTTCTGGATACTTTTGTGATATTTCCTACAAAAAAGGACATTCTTCTGTGTAATCTCAAAATGACCATCAAAATTAGGAAAGTAGTAAATTTCTATCATCCAATCTTCAGACTTAAAGTTTTACCAGTTATCACATCAAGTCCTTTTTAGCAACAGGGTCCAGTTTGGAATCATAGGTTGCATTTAGTTCGCATGTCTCTTTAGTCTCCTTAAGTCTGGAACACTCCCTTTATTGAATTGAGAAATATTCCTTCCTCTTCTGTTTTCTGGAAGGGACTGTGTAAAACTGGTATTAATTCTTTTTTAAACATTTGATAGAATTCTCCAGTAAAACCATCTGGGCCTAGAGATGTTTTTTTCTAGATTTTAAATTCCAAAGTGTTTCGTTAACAGTTACAGGGCTGTTTAAATTATCTGTTTCATATTGGGTGAGTTATAGTAGTTCGAGTATGGAATTGGTGCATTTCACCTAAGAAATTTCCATTTTAGCTAATCTGTGTGCAGTTTTATTCTTCCTTACTTTAGATATATTTGTAATGAAAATACAATATGTATTTGTGAAAATATGTATTTTACATCTGTATCATATGATTTCATATCTGTATCATATAATTTGGATCAAGCTCTAGATGCAGCCAGGACCTCAGTGGCAGGCTGTATTCTGCACAGATGGGAGTCTCAGTGACCTGTAAAGTCTGTGGCTTTACACACTTCAGAATTTGCTATGCATGAGTCTCTCTGACTGCGGATAGTTGTATTGTGGCTATTCTGTGCACACACCTTGTTCTATTTCAATTTTTTTCCATGACTTATTATTCAAAACAGTGTGATACAGTGAAAATCAGATCCGCTATGGTCCCTGCCCCCAGGTTGCTTAGAGTCTCTGAGGGGTTATGGAAAAGTAATTAGGAAATTGGGAATCAGAGTGGTTTGTGTTCTGATGAGGAAGGAACAGGTCCTTATGAGAACACAGAAAAGAGGTACCTGTTTTATTCTCCTCTGCATCTCTAGCACCTGGTACAGTACCTGGCATATAGTAGGTGTCTCACTAAATCTTTGTTGAATGAATGAATAAACTCAGAGGTGGGTTGATTGCATGGTCACTTTTGGGGAGATCTTACATCTGAGCTAAGTTAGTGATATCCACTGGAAGTAGATGGATGGAGGGAATTCTCCAAGGTGGGTGCAACAGTACGCAGTGTCATAGAAGCAAAGAAAGCTTAGCAATCTAAACAGTTGTCTAGAGCTGACTGTTTGCAAGTGAGGAGTGGTTTCCAAAAGTGATTACAGACGGAAGGCTAAGAAGAAGTTACTCTGACCAAAGTATATATTGGACAAGGTTCGCGAAGAACTAGAATTGATTTTTATGAATTAGCATTTTTGGTTCTGGCTGTTGTGTTTATCATTGTTAAGTTTAGTTTCTAACATACCTTAAGAATAATGCTTTCCAAGTGAATGAGAAATATTTTTTTGTGAAGTGTAGTACAGCTTTCTCCAGGTCTTACCTACTCGTCTTACTCAGACTATCTTTGCTCTAAAACAAAACTTTCCTATGCTGTAAATATGTCTGTGGTAAATCACGAGTTGACTGCTAATAATGGTGGGTCATACATTAGCGTTTTCATGTGCCAGGTACTGTATTGAGACCCTGCCATGGGTTATCTCGCTTAATCCGGACAGCAGCCTATCTGAGAGGAAACCAAACCTGGGCTCGCTTCCACTTTACAGAAGTAACTAAGGTTTGGGGAAGTTGAGTGGTATGTACCCAGCATCGCTTAGGTAAGCCCACTACTCATATTTGGATCTAAGTCTGTCTGTCTTCATTAACCATTGAGTTTTGTGTGCTCTTTCCAATGTTTCATATGTCTTTTTATTAAATAAAAAAGGCCTGGGATTTAGTTTTGGGTATAGATCTTCAGAAAGTTCATCAGTTAAATATGGAAATAGTTTGTAATGAAATAACATATTAGGACACCCCTAAAGCAAATTACAGAAACCCACTTCAGCTAGCCAACATGGCTGGATACACATAGTCCAACAATAAACACTGTGTTCTTCATCTCTGTCTCCCTTCCTCTCTGTCCTTCCTGTTTCCCCCTCCCTCTTTATCCCACTGCCCTACCCCCTCTCTCATCCTGCTTTTCTTTGAGTGTTGGCCCATTCACTCCTGTCACAGAAGCAGCTCATTTGAAACCAGCTCCACTTGTGATCCTGGGAAGGGAGAGCATCGTCTTCTCTGAGGCTCTGGCAGAAATGCCCTAGGGAAGACTTTTGTTCCTGGGGCCTGTGGCTGTGACAGGACTTTGTGAAACTACATGGAATGGGGCTGTTGGGGGCGACAGCATATCTGTATTTCATCTTGATCAGACATATTTGATGGCTGAAAGCTATAATTATTATGTAAAGATAATGCACAGTATATTTTAATAGCTTTATCAAGATACAGTTCATGTACCATACAACTCACCCATTTAAAGTGTACAATTCAATGGTTTTAATGTACTCAGAGCCATGCAACTATCACTGCTGTCTAACCTGGAACATTTTCATTACAAAAAGAAGCCTTGTACCATTAGCAGTCACTCCCCATTTCCCCAAATCCCTCAGCCCTAAGCAGCCACTCGTCTACTTTCGATCTCTGTAGGTTTGCCTGTTTCGTGTAAGTGGAATCATACAATATGTGGTCTTTTGTATCTGGCTTCTTTCATTATAATATTTTCAAGGTTTATCTATCTTTGCATATCAGTGTGCATTTTTTATTGCCAAATAATATTTCATTATATGGATATGCCACATTTTATTTATGCATCTGTTGATGGACATTTAGGGTGTTTTCACATTTTGGCTATTATGAATAATGCTGCTGTGAACATTTTTGTAGAAGTTTTTGTGTAGATTTAAGTTTTCAGTTATCTTGTGTATATACCTAGGAGTGGAATTGCTGGATCATATGATAACCATGTCTCACATTTTGAGGAACTGTTTTCCAAAGTGGTTGTACTATTTTATATTCCCATCAGCAGTGTGTGGGAGTTCCAGCTTCTCCACATTCTTGTCAACACTTAACGATCTTTTTGATTGTAGGCATCTTGGTGGATGTGAAGTGGTATAGTGCATAATATTTTATAAAAAGGTTGTTTTGTTTTTTGAACAGTTGCCTGTTTACTTGTTTTTGTTGCCTTGTATTGGACCTCTCCCAGTGGGCTCTGAACCTTTTCCACCTCAGTCTAGGTGGCCAGGTAGGCAGACCATGTCACTCAAAGGACCAGAAGTGGATGTTTGCTTGTTTTTCTTTTTCTTTATAAACCTCATAATCTACAAGTGCAGATAGGGATTATTCTTATTTTCTTATTAAGAAACTATGGTATAAAGAGGTTGTAAATGCCAGAGGTTACTTGGTCAGGGCTAGAACAGGGATTTGTCTTTAGGGTTGATTGGGTGGTGTTGAGTTGCTTGCCTCAGATCCGCTGTTGTCAGCCTGCTGTGATGTGGTAGGTGCATTCCTGTGGCACACATTCCCACTGTGTTCACTGTGTTATATGTAGTTCCCACAACCTAGTTGCATCTCTACTGCTGTTTTTCTTAGAAATGTGAGGGCAAGAGTAATATTTCAGGAATAATCTTTATTAAATTGTTCACAAACTTGACTACTTTAATTTTCATTTGTATAAATTACTTGCAGCATACCAAAACTGAGCTACTTTTCTATGATTCACAATTGCTGCCTTTGACTACTTAATTATGGTGACCTTTATCAGCTGTGTAGGGCTATTTAACATTCACCTTGGGGTTGGTATAAAATGTGATATTCTGGCAGTCCATAGTCTGGGATGCACAGATGGTTTTCCATCTGCGGCTTTCTCCCTAGCCCTAAAGAGACACTATTGTTAGGCGTATTAGTAGTGGAGTCTGCGTATCAGGACTCCATGTTGAGTCTTGCGTTGTCAGCACAACATGAAAGAATCTTTGTTGATCACACCTTATGTAAGAATCTATGTTGATCTCTTGCCATCGATTTGCCACATGTCGCTGTATAGTTTGGAAGTCAAAAACGTGTGATTTAGAATTGCTGTTAAACTCATGCTTAATATTATAATGGCATCAAGCAATAGCAAGAAGAGATTACACATATTGGCAGTACCCCCTAAATTTGGAATAATACAATGATCTGCATAAAATAAAAGGAAACATGAGCTTGCAAGTATCTTAACAACACATACTTGTTAAGCTGATAAATGTGGTGGGACTAGGTGCTGGGGGATACAATGAACAAAACAGATAAGAATCACGGTCCTTATAAAATGCACATCCCAGTGATTATTTTAACGATTTCCTAGAAAATCATTCATCATGTGTGACATTGAGGCAAAATAATCTATTGCGATTTTCTTTGGTAGCAATGTCTGGAAACTTTAAAACTCTAAAAAAGAAAAATAAATTAAAAATGCCTAAATTGGTTCATTTAGATAGTGTATTATGTAAGTGATTATTGGTTAAATATCCCAAAGGCAAGATACCACTGATCCCAATCTAATCATTAAAAGTTAGTACTTTTTATATTGACCTGATCCTTCTTGAAAAGTGTACTATTTTAGTGGGAAGCAGTATAATTTCAAAATCAAGTCAACATATCCATAAGTTGATAAGCTGACATTGTATCTAATGGAAATCTGATGATAATGAGGCAGGCCAGTAGAGGAGTTTTTTTGTTCTTTAGAAGCATAATTTGAAGACTTGAAAATTAGTAGCACTGTTGAAATTGACCTTTATTTTTAAATAACAGATAGGTAGTGTGCTGATGTTGTAAAAAAGGTTTGAGGAAAGCACATCTCACACATGAGTGTGGAAACCCAGTCATCACACTTAGGAATTAAAAAAGGATTCAAAATAGACCCCTGCCTCCCCCCACCACCTTTTTTTTTTAAGATGGGTGCTTTTTTAATTTTTATTTTACTGTAAGTTCTGGGATACAAGTGCAGAATGTGCGGGTTTGTTACATAGGTATACGTGTGCCATGGTAGTTTGCTGCACCTGTCAACCCGTCATTTAGGTTTTAGGCTCCGATGCATTAGCTATTTGTCCTAATGCTCTCTCTCCGCTCACTCCCCACCCCCTGACTGGCCCCAGTGTGTGTTTTTCCCCTCCCTGTGTCTATGTGTTCTCATTACTCAACTCAGGTGGATGCCTTTTACCCCATAGACCTAGGCACTTGGAGAGGAATGCTTTCAAGTTAAATTAGGAAAGGATCACAGTTCTTATTTGGGCTAATGCTTCTGATGGTCATAGCAGGAATGAATGAGTGAACAGATAAATTTTATTAGCAAATATAATAAATAAGTAAAATTGTTTACAAGATCATTTTATATAATGAAAAATACCATAAAGTCAGTAACATGGGGTCCATGACAAGTGATTGGGGATGCTTCTTTAGATTGTAAGGTCTGTGAAGCTTTGGAAGATGTTATTTGAGTTGTGAATGGTGAAACATCTGTGTGCATTCCATGTGTGGAGGTGGGGAAGTGTCAGCTTTGGGGTGGAAGTGAGTTGAGTGTGTTGGAGACGGTCAATATATTGGAATATAGCCAGTGAGAGAAACAGTGCGAGATGAGGCTGGAGAGGTGGAAGGGGCCTTGGTCTTTCAGGGCAGAGTAAGGAGCGGAGATTTTATTTTAATCATGGCAGTCTGTAGAATGTTTTAGGGTCTGGGTATTGGTGGCCTCATGTCTGTGGCTGCTGTGTAGGGACTGACTGGTAGAGGCAGGAGAGGAAATGGGGACCTTAAAGAGCTATTGTCCAGATAAGAAGCCATCGCAGCCGTGGAGACAGAGTCCGGGCCAGCTTTGTGATGTGCTTTGAAGATAGAGCTAAGGAACTGAAGCATGGATTCCTTGTGGAGGGCAGGAGATGAGCAGTCAGAGGTTGATTGCAAGGTTTTGGTTGAAGTGTGATGGTGCAGTTACTCACATGGGTCAACTTGGAGGAGAAGTTGGTGGTGAGGGGAATCAGCAGTTCCCTTGTGGCCACAGTAAATTTTAGATACTCATTAGATAGTCAAGTGAGATAGTTTAATGGACAGCCGAATAAATGTCTGAAGTTCATCAGAGAGGTCAAGACTAAAATGACAGAGGAAGGTGTCAGCAACATAGAGCTCACTTCAGAGCCATATAGGACTGGATGAACTCCCCATTAGGGAGTGGGCTCTGCAGTTTACTTCCTTAAACTGAGAAAGTTGGACAGGATGGTCTTTAAGGTCCTCCTTTCCAAAAATTAGATGTTCATCGAGTTCTAAGAGCCTTTGTAAGAAACTTGAAGTGATGAGAATTTTCTCTAAAATGCTCTAGCTTCTTTTAAGCCATTGAAAGGATGAATGGGGAAGAAATACAGACATTTCAGTATTCCACATCTGTATTCATTCCACAATTGCTTGTCCACAAAGTGTGATATGTAACTTCAATGAAATACCCTTCTGAGAGGGAAAGTAATCTCAATCACATTGCAAGGTTTTCAGTTGAACCCAGTGGTGGTCAATGTGAACTTATTTTTATTAAAAAAAAATTTAAACAGCTTTATTGAGGTATAAGTGACACCAAAGCTGTACATAGTAAAAGTGTAAAATTTGGTGTTTTGACATAGGTATCCACCCATAAGGCTGTTACCAGAATAAAGATGATAGACATATCTGACACCCCAACAGTTTCCTTGTGCCCTTCAGTACCGTCTCCCTCCTGCCTCTCCCTGGCCTCCATCCCCAGGCAACCACTGATAAGCTTTTTGTCACTATAGATTAGTTTGGGTTTTCTAGAAATTCATCTAAATAGAATCATATAGTAGGCACTCTTCTCTCTTTCTGGCTTCTTGGACTCCACATAATTATTTTGAGATTCATCCATGCTGTTGTCTGTGTCAATAGTTCATTCCTTTTTATTGCTAAGTAAGTAATATCCTATTGTATGACTATACCAGATTCACTTGTGCAGTCATTATGAAGTTAGACTACTTTCTTTTTCCTTTCAGCAGGTCTTCTGATTTGCTGGTATTATTTGTAACCACCTAAGAGATTAAACGTGTCGATGTGCACACACAGGGAGACACGCTCTGAACGCGCTTTATGGAAGGGTTTCCTTGTTCTGGTATTCATCCCCCTTCTTCCTGTTCAGGGATGGGCTGCTTGGCTTCTCATTTGTCAGAGCAAGCTTGACAGTGTTTGGAGAGGAAGCAGGCCCATCCTTTCTGTGCGTCTGTGTTCTGTGTGATGCTTTGGGATGTGTGTATGTTGTTGAGCCTTACTTATTTTTTATCTGGCTTGTATTTATTTCAGTAGGTCGCCTACTGAAGCTTCATAGTTTAACCCTTCCTTAGGCTTCATAGTTAAGCAGTTGTGGATGCAGTTAATCTAGTACCTTTTAATTTCATAGGAGAGTGTAAATAAATTCCTTCTCAGTTCATAGGAATTTTTTATAGTTGGTTAAGACAGAGATCAAAATGAGACAAGCACTCATTATTAGCCTGGTAGGTAGGTGCCTACCTTTAATCTCTGTGGTGCCTTGATTAAATCGCTCGCTTTCTGCTTCTGTTTCCATGCATTTGGGAAAACTCACTGCTTTTTGGTTTGTATGATGGTCTGAGAATATATTTAGGGATTTGTGAGTTAATCAACCTTTGGGAGTCTGGCTGTTTTTAACAACATATGGATGTCTGGGCTGTAGATTGGCAGTTCTCTGTGCTGTTGTCTGGGGAGGAAGAGGAGAGGATGTTGTGTCTGATGTACAGGCTTGTCCTGCAGAACAGGGCTTCTTGCTGGCTGAACCCAGTGTATTTGGTGTAGGTGGAATTAGAATGGGCAGTGGCCATATAATTCAGGAGATAAGAAAGAGTCTTAAGAGAGGCATGCCAAATAAATCTCTCTACTTTGTGTTCTCATGATGCTATTTCTCTGCCTAACATAAGACTTAGTGGCCATCGTTTTTTTTTTTTTTTTTGTATTGTTCATTTAATTGTCCTCTTTTACTGGCCTGTAAGTTTTGTGAGTGCGGGGACAACCATGGCTGTGGTGTTCATCCATTGTACCTATACAAGAAGTGTTTACAGAATGTTGATAGAATGTGTCCTTACGCTTCATGTATTTATTTTACATTTGTGGTTATAAAGTTTCTAGTTGTAGCAATTAATGTTTCCCTTTAGGAAAGATGGAAGATAAATATGAGCTGTTGTATTAGTCTGCTCCCCTTGATTTTAAGCAAACTCTTGAGGCATGATTCTTGCCCCCACGTGCTCATCCCCATTTTCCTTTCAGTGAATGAAAGGCACAGATAGAGCCAGGCCTTCCACTCAGGGATTGGTAGTAATGCATAGATGAATAAAATTTGTTCCCAAGCCATCAGAAGCTCACAATCAAAAAGGAAAGTCAGACTCACAGGCCAGTGAGTGACGGTTTAATATAAGCACGTACAGAAATTACTTTAAAAGTATTTTGGGATCCCAAAAAGTATGAATAAAGGTTCTACTTTCTAGGTTGAAGAGGTGGGTAGAAGTGACCCCATTAAGTAAAATAGGAGATCCAGGAGGAAACGAGGCAGATTTGGTAAGATGGTGGCATTGGTCAGGTACAAGTGCAGTAAATAATTCAGTTTTTGGATGTTTTCAGTTTGAGTTTTGTGCAGAGTGTTATTCTTTCTAGGTAATCTGTAGATTTTTGTGTTGGTTTATAGAAAGCACTTTCCCCAGTTGGTAGCTTTGAATTCATCTTCATTGTTTGTGAGGAGGCTATACTTTTGGATTAGATATTCTCCATTACCTTACTAAAGTTGGCTCTAAGTGGTAGAGCCAACTTTCTGCTTACATTATGCTTGGAAAAAGTGCTTTTTCTGTGGCAATGGCCTAGAAATGCCTAGGATGAAAATGCTTGCATCCTTTAAGGTGTGGTTGCCATTGCATAAAATTTAGTGGGATGAAACGAGCAGATTCAGTATAGGGAGATGAGGTAATTACTATCTTAAATTTTGGTGCTTAGCTTCTTGTTTGGAAATTTGAAAGCAAGCATGTATTATTTTAAAAAATCATCTATTTGGGAGTAGATAATAAATGCCCATGAAATATCAAGGGAGATAGGTACATAATGAAAAAATAAGTCTCACTTTTACCACATCCTCCACCCTCAGAGGCTGCCATTGTTTCCAGTTACTGGGTATCCTTCCAGAGATATTCCGCTGGAGACGTCTGTTACCTCTTGGAAATACAGAGATAGCATGCTTTCTGGATTGGTTAATTCAGTGGCTCAGCAACCTCATCAAGGCCTGGGTTCTTTAATCTTTCTGTTCTGCTTTCTTATTTATTTCTCCTAGGCTGCCCGCCACATGATTCCCGGGTGTCTTTCCCCTTCCGTGTGTCTCACGTACCTGGCAGAGTCCACAGGCGAAAAGCAAGTATCTTTGTTGTATCCCTTTTTAAGAGTGAGGAAGACTTTCCCAGTAATCCCTAGCCATATTTCTCATTGAACAGAATTGCAGCACAGTTACATTCCCAGAATTAGTTGTTGGTGATGATTGGCTGAGACCAGTCACTATTCATCCCATGAGACTAGTGAAGAGTCTAGCTTTTCTTAAAACACATGACTGCCTGGTCTGGTTACTGAACAACATCTGGGTTCTTTTAGCAAGGAGAAAGTATACTGCTATGGGGTATCTAAAAGATCATTTCATCTTAGTACTTGGTACTTGGTACAGGGCTGCCTCATTCTTTGTGATGGCTAGAGAGCATTCATTCCATTCACTTCATGTACCATGCTTTAGTAGTCTCTGTCTTTTCCAATTTTGATATTATCACTGTGCTGCAGTACATGTTTATAAATGTAAATACATCGTCTTCCCTATTTCCAAATTGTTCACTATTAACGTTATGTCAGTATATATTAAATACTTCCACCAACAATGTTTAGTGTGCCTGTTTCCTTATACACTTGACAGTACAGAATACTGCTGAAGTCTATCTGATAGATGAAAATGTTATTTTACTTTGATTTTAATTTCCGTTTCTTGTATTATAGGGTTTGGGCATCTTTTCTTAGGAATGAATCATTTGTGATTCTTTTTCTGAGACCTGACTGTGCCTATGCTCTGCCTACTTTTCTATTATACTGTTTTTATTATTGATATGTGGGAGCTTCCGATAGATTAAAGAAATTAGCTCTTGGTGATATGACTTATATTGTTGCTTTTTTTTTTTTTTAGCTTGAGTTACTTTTATTTATTTATTTATTTTTATTATACTTTAAGTTCTAGGGTACATGTGCACAATGTGCAGGTTTGTTACATATGTATACATGTGCCATGTCGGTGTGCTGCACCCATTAACTCGGCATTTACATTAGGTATATCTCCTAATGCTATCCCTCCCCCCTCCCCCCACCCCACGACAGGCCCCGGTGTGTGATGTTCCCCTTCCTGTGTCCAAGTGTTCTCATTGTTCAGTTCCCACCAATGAGTGAGAACATGCAGTGTTTGGTTTTTTATCCCTGTGATAGTTTGCTGAGAACGATGGTTTCCAGCTTCATCCATGTCCCCACAAAGGACATGAACTCATCCTTTTTTATGGCTGCATAGTATTCCATGGTGTATATGTGCCACATTTTCTTAATCCAGTCTATCATTGATGGATATTTAGGTTGGTTCCAAGTCTTTGCTATTGTGAATAGTGCCACAGTAAAAATATGTGTGCATTTATCTTTATAACAGCATGATTTATAATCCTTTGGGTATATACCCAGTAATGGGATGGCTGGGTCAAATGGTATTTCTAGTTCGAGATCCTTGAGGAATCGTCACATTGTCTTCCACAATGGTTGAACCAGTTTACAGTCCCATCAACAGTGTAAAAGTGTTCCTGTTTCTCCACATCCTCTCCAGCACCTGTTGTTTCCTGACTTTTTAATGATTGCCATTCTAACTGGTGTGAGATGGTATCTCATTGTGGTTTTGATTTGCATTTCTCTGATGGCCAGTGATGATGAGCATTTTTTCATGTGTCTGTTGGCTGCATAAATGTCTTCTTTTGAGAAGTGTCTGTTCATGTCCTTCGCCCACTTTTTGATGGGGTTGTTTGTTTTTTTCTTGTAAATTTGTTTGAGTTCTTTGTAGATTCTGGATATTAGCCCTTTGTCAGGTGAGTAGATTGCAAAAATTTTCTCCCATCCTGTAGGTTGCCTGTTCACTCTGATGGTAGTTTCTTTTGCTGTGCAGAAGCTCTTTAGTTTATTTAGATCCCATTTGTCAATTTTGGCTTTTGTTGCCACTGCTTTTGGTGTTTTAGACATGAAGTCCTTGCCCATGCCTATGTCCTGAATGGTATTGCCTAGGTTTTCTTCTAGGGTTTTTATGGTTTTCGGTCTAACATTTAAGTCTTTAATCCATCTTGAATTAATTTTTGTATAAGGTGTAAGGAAGAGATCCAGTTTCAGCTTTCTACATATGGCTAGCCAGTTTTTCCAGCACCATTTATTAAATAGGGAATCCTTTCCGCATTTCTTGTTTTTGTCAGGTTTGTCAAAGATCAGATGGTTGTAGATGTGTGGTATTATTTCTGAGGGCTCTGTTCTGTTCCATTGGTCTATATCTCTGTTTTGGTACCAGTACTATGCTGTTTTGGTTACTGTAGCCTTCTAGTATAGTTTGAAGTCAGGTAGCGTGATGCCTCCAGCTTTATTCTTTTGGCTTAGGATTGTCTTGGCTATGTGGGCTCTTTTTTGGTTCCATATGAACTTTAAAGTAGTTTTTTCCAATTCTGTGAAGAAAGTCATTGGTAGCTTGATGGGGACGGCATTGAATCTATAAATTACCTTGGGCAGTATGGCCATTTTCACAATATTGATTCTTCCTACCCATGAGCATGGAATGTTCTTCCATTTGTTGGTATCCTCTTTTATTTCGTTGAGCAGTGGTTTGTAGTTCTCCTTGAAGAGGTCCTTCACATCCCTTGTAAGTTGGATTCCTAGGTACTTTATTCTCTTTGAAGCAATTGTGAATGGGAGTTCACTCATGATTTGGCTCTCTGTTTGTCTGTTATTGGTGTATAGGAATGCTCGTGATTTTTGCACATTGATTTTGTATCCTGAGACTTTGCTGAAGTTGCTTATCAGCTTAAGGAGATTTTGGGCTGAGACGATGGGGTTTTCTAAATATACAATTATGTTATCTGCAAACAGGGACAATTTGACTTCCTCTTTTCCTAACTGAATACCCTTTATTTCTTTCTCCTGCCTGATTGCCCTGGCCAGAACTTCCAACACTGTGTTGAATAGGAGTGGTGAGACAGGGCATCCCTGTTTTGTGCCAGTTTTCAAAGGGAATGTTTCCAGTTTTTGTCCATTCAGTATGAAATTGGCTGTGGGTTTGTCATAAATAGCTCTTATTATTTTGAGATACGTCCCATCAGTACCTAATTTATTGAGAGTTTTTAGCACGAAGGGCTGTTGAATTTTGTCAAAGGCCTTTTCTGCATCTGTTGAGATAATCATGTGGTTTTTGTCGTTGGTTCTGTTTATGTGCTGGATTATGTTTATTGATTTGCATATGTTAAACCAGCCTTGCATCCCAGGGTTGAAGCCCACTTGATCATGGTGGATAAGCTTTTTGGTGTGCTGCTGGATTCGGTTTGCCAGTATTTTACTGAGGATTTTTGCATCGACGTTCATCAGGGATATTGGTCTAAAAGTCTCTTTTTTTCTTGTGTCTCTGCCAGGCTTTGGTATCAGGATGATCCTGGCCTCATAAAATGAGTTAGGGAGGATTCCCTCTTTTTCTATTGATTGGAATAGTTTCAGAAGGAATGGTACCAGTTCCTCCTTGTACCTCCGGTAGAAATTGGCTGTGAATGTGTCTGGACTTTTTTTGGTTGGTAAGCCATTAATTATTGCCCCAATTTCAGAACCTGTTATTGGTCTATTCAGAGATTCAACTTCTTCCTAGTTTAGTCTTGGGAGGGTGTATGTGTCGAGGAATTCATCCATTTCTTCTAGATTTTCTAGTTTATTTGTGTAGAGGTGTTTATAGTATTCTCTGATGGTAGTTTGTATTTCTGTGGGATCGGTGGTGATATCCCCTTTATCATTTTTTATTGTGTCTGTTTGATTCTTCTCTCATTTCTTCTTTATTAGTCTTGCTAGTGGTCTATCAACTTTGTTGATCTTCCAAAAAACCAGCTGCTGGATTCATTGATTTTTTTTGAAGGGTTGTTTGTGTCTCTATCTCCTTCAGTTCTGCTCTGATCTTAGTTATTTGTTGCCTTCTGCTAGCTTTTCAGATTGTTTGCTCTTGCTTCTCTAGTTCTTTTAATTGTGATGTTAGGGTGTCAATTTTAGATCTTTCCTGCTTTCTCTTGTGGGCATTTAGTGCTATAAATTTCCTTCTACACACTGCTTTGAATGTGTCCCAGAGATTCTGGTATGTTGTGTCTTTGTTCTCATTGGTTTCAAAGAACATCTTTATTTCTGCCTTCATTTCGTTATGTACCCAGTAATCATTCAGGAGCAGGTTGTTCAGTTTCCATGTAGTTTAGTGGTTTTGAGTGAGTTTCTTAATGCTGAGTTGTAGTTTGATTGCACTGTGGTCTGAGAGACAGTTTGTTATAATTTCTGTTCTTTTACATTTGCTGAGGAGTGCTTTACTTCCAACTATGTGGTCAATTTTGGAATAAGTGTGATGTGGTGCTGAGAAGAATGTATATTCTTTTGATTTGGGGTGGAGAGTTCTGTTAGATGTCTATTAGGTCCACTTGGTGCAGAGCTGAGTTCAATTCCTGGATATCCTTGTTAACTTTCTGTTTTGTTGATCTGTCTGATGTTGACAGTGGGTGTTAAAGTCTCCCATTATTATTGTGTGTGAGTCTAAGTCTGTTTGTAGGTCTCTAAGGACTTGCTTTATGAATCTGGGTGCTCCTGTATTGGGTGCATATATATTTAGGATAGTTAGCTCTTCTTGTTGAATTGATCCCTTTACCATTATATAATGGCCTTCTTTGTCTCTTTTGATCTTTGTTGGTTTAAAGTCTGTTTTATCAGAGACTAGGATTGCAAGCCCTGCCTTTTTTTGTTTTCCATTTGCTTGGTAGATCTTCCTCCATCCCTTTATTTTGAGCCTACGTGTGTCTCTGCACATGAGATGGGTCTCCTGAATACAGCACACTGGTGGGTCTTGACTCTGTCCAATTTGCCAGTCTGTGTCTTTTAAATGGAGCATTTAGCCCATTTACATTTAAAGTTAATATTGTTATGTGTGAATTTGATCCTGTCATTAAGATGTTAGCTGGTTATTTTGCTCATTTGTTAATGCAGTTTCTTCCTAGCATCGATGGTCTTTACAATTTGGCATGTTTTTGCAGTGGCTAGTACTGGTTGTTCCTCTCCATGTTTAGTGCTTCCTTCAGGAGCTCTTTTAGGGCAGGCCTGGTAGTGACAAAATCTCTCAGCATTTGCTTGTCTGTAAAGTATTTTATTTCTCCTTCACTTATGAAGCTTAGTTTGGCTGGATATGAAATTCTGGGTTGAAAATTCTTTTCTTTAAGAATGTTGAATATTGGCCCCCACTCTCTTCTGGCTTGTAGAGTTTCTGCCGAGAGATCCGCTGTTAGTCTGATGGGCTTCCCTTTGTGGATAACCCGACCTTTCTCTCTGGCTGCCCTTAACATTTTTTCCTTAATTTCAACTTTGGTGAATCTTACAATTATGTGTCTTGGAGTTGCACTTCTCGAGGAGTGGCATTCTCAGTATTTCCTGAATTTGAATGTTGGCCTGCCTTTCTAGGTTGGGGAAGTTCTTCTGGATAATATCCTGCAGAGTGTTTTTCCACTTGGTTCCATTCTCCCCGTCACTTTTAGGTACACCAGTCAGACGTAGATTTGGTCTTTTCACATAGTCCCATATTTCTTGGAGGCTTTTTTCGTTTCTTTTTACTCTTTTTTCTCTAAAGTTCTCTTCTCGCTTCATTTCATTCATTTGATCTTCAATCACTGATACCCTTTCTTCCAGTTGTTCGAATTGGCTACTGAAGCTTGTGCATTCATCACCTAGTTCTTATGCCATGGTTTTCAGCTACATCAGGTCATTTAAGGACTTCTCTACACTGGTTATTCTAGTTAGCCATTCGTCTAATCTTTTTTCAAGGTTTTTAGCTTCTTTGTGATGGGTTCAAACTTCCTCCTTTAGCTCAGAGAAGTTTGATCGTCTGAAGCCTTCTTCTCTCAACTCGTCAAAGTCATTCTCCATCCAGCTTTGTTCCATTGCTGGCGAGGAGCTGCATTCCTTTGGAAGGGGAGAGACACTCTGATTTTTAGAATTTTCAGCTTTTCTGCTCTGTTTTTTCCCCATCTTTGTGGTTTTATCTACCTTTGGTCTTTGATGATGGTGACATACAGATGGGGTTTTGGTGTGGATGTCCTTTCTGTTTGTTAGTTTTCCTTCTAACAGTCAGGACCCTCAGCTGCAGGTCTGTTGGAGTTTGCTGGAGGTCCACTCCAGACCCTGTTTTCCTGGGTATTAGCAGCAGAGGCTGCAGAACAGCAAATATTGCTGAACAGCAAATGTTGCTGCCTGATCGTTCCTCTGGAAGCTTTGTCTCAGAGGGATACCTGGCCATGTGAGGTGTCAGTCTGCCCCTACTGGGGGGTGCCTCCCAGTTAGGCTTCTCGGGGGTCAGGGACCCACTTGAGGAGGCAGTCTGTCTGTTCTCAGATCTCAAACTCCGTGCTCGAAGAACCACTACTCTCTTCAGAGCTCAGTTGGAAATGCAGAAATCACCTGTCTTCTGCGTCACTCACTCTGGGAGCTGTAGACTGGAGCTGTTCCTATTCGGCCATCTTGGAACTGCCTACTATTGCTTTTAAGTTTGTTGTTTGTCCTTTGACTTTGTTTATGGTGTTTTGCCCATGAAGGAATTTTTTATATTTATGTGATGAAGTTGTATCTAATTTTTTTTATTGTTTCCAAAGTTTGTGTTATACTCAAAATATTTCAGATATTATCTTTATCATATTCTGAATACCCATTATGTGTTTGGATCTATCACTGGAATTCTAGTTATATTTCACTGATCTGTCTGTTCGTCTGTTCATCATTCTAGGTTCTAAAAAATGTGTTCTAGTCTGTGAAAGGAAGGTCATAAATTTTCTGGCTATCTCACATGTTTATATTTCAATATTAGTTTTAAAATCAAATTTTATTTTTTAAAAATCCTATTGACATTTTTATTGTATGGACTTAAATTTAATGATTAACATAGGGAGAAAGTAACATCTTTATGATTCCGAGTCTTCCCATCCAAGAATGTTTTGCGTTTCCATTTATTCGAGTGAAGCTCTTTGAGCAGGGTATCTGCTTTGGACAGTTTTGTGAACCTCTGTTTCATTAGAGCCATTACATATTTTTTGTGTCTATTTATTACAGTACATAGTGTTACTGTTAATAATACATAAGGTTTAATAAAAAACTAAAAGTCAGTATCTGTGTAACCACCCTGGGCAAAAAGTAGAAACATTACCAGCCCACAAAATCCCTTGTTGTCTGTCACTATTATAACCCGTTCTCTCCCTTCATACGTAAACACTTCAGTGACTTCAGTGATTGTCATTTTCATGTCAATTATGTAGGCATTCCCAGACAGTATGGTTTATTGCTTGCTTTTTGGAACTTTTTGTGAAGTACATTTATATGTTGTATATATATTCCTCTGAATTGACTTGAGATGTATGGATTCTTCTAGAAATTATAGTTTCTTCATCTTCGTTGTTCTGTGTGATTTCCCATTGTACAGATAAACCAGAATATATTTAGCCATTTTGCTGTTAAAGGTTTTATTTTTCCTTGGCATTTGGCTATTATGAACAACATTGTATTGAACATTCTTGTACATGCCTCTCCTAGTCCCCATGTTAGACACATGGGTATTGGAGTGCTCTGTCATGGGTAGGACTATTTTCAATCCTGTAAGAAAATACTGAATTTTTTTCTAAAGCACTTGTTGACCACGTATGAGAAATCCCATTGCTCTACATTGTAGTCTGCATTTGGTATTGTGACACTAAACTTTTGGCAATCTGGTGGATGTGTAATGATGTCGTATTTGGCTTTGTTTTATCTCATAAAGATGTAAAAAATGGTTCTTTCCTTTGCCTTTGGGCCCTATCATCTTTACTTAACTGGCTGCGAGGTTGGTTGATGAGGACTCTTGTTTTCCAAACGTAGCTGCACGTAAGTTTTGCCTGGGAAATTAAAAACAAAAAAAATAATTCAAGGTCTCATTTCAGACTGGGGAATAAAAAGTTACGGAGCTAGAATCCAATAATCTGTTTCTAACTAGCTGTCAGATGATTTTTACACAGCTAAACTTCCACAGATAAGATTCCAGCACAGGGCGCTTGAAACTGAAGGTTGTTCTGTCTGTCTATACTATGTCTTCTTAGTCTGGTGAGTATTTGGCAGTCAAGACACACCTCAATTTGGAATAACCACATATAAGTGCTCATAGCCACATGGGGCCAGTGACTATTGCATTGAACAATGCAGATCTGTTCAGAAAATTGCTCAGCAATAAGTGTATAGTTTGTTACGCATTTTGAACTTTGATATACACTTTGATCTTTCACATCAGGTTGTATACTTCACGCCTCCTCACTCCCCTTTCCATCAATGCAGGGTCTCACAAAGACTGGCTGTTCACCTTGGGAGGGACTGGTTAAGAATATGTTATCAAAAATCCGTTAATGTTATTTTTAAAAATTAGAACATATTTTGTATTCCATCAGTAGAGATGTGGATGTAACAATTGATTTTTTGGGGCTGTTTTTATTGATTTGTTGAAGATTGTAATCACTTTGCGCTATATTGAAATTTAAGGTTTTTTTACTCCAAAATTATTATAGGTTAATTTTTGGCTTAGTGTAGAATGCTTAATTCTGATGTGGAGATAATTAACAAGCTTTTGTTGGGCACGTGTGGCAGTTGATGGGCGTGTGGCTAGTGGCTATCATATTTGAACAGTGCAGATCTTTTCAGAAGATTGCTCAATTACATATAAGTGTATGGTTTGATATGCATTTTAAATACCCTAGAAACTCCTTTCTCGTGTTCTAGTAAGAGGGAGGAAATTTAAAGCATATAAAGCTGGAGAAAATATACATATAAAGCTGGAGAAAATATACAATCTTTTGTGGAGACAGAATGTAAATTTGTGGATAACATTTTTGTATTTTTTAACCACATGTTAATTAAAGTGTAAGCACCCTTAGTAAAAATTTAAAAATGATAAGATCAGGTTCAACTTTGGAACTAAAAGGAAAAAAGTGTAAGATGGAGATCGCAGAGGTTGAGGTCCCACATCTGCTGTACTTGCTGTTTCCTTTTAAAGTAGAGATAACACTGATCTCACATGAGCATTGAGGATACCTTAGGTTTCGTGAAATGTAATAAAATTTATTACACAGGAATGGAAAATGTTAGCACTGGGAGCGCTAAGGTATTTGGTTTAAGTAGGAAATAGGTATAGATAAATGTTTTAATGCCGTAAGTGGAAAATTCAGAATTCCTGGTTTCTCTTACTCAATGATATAATTACACTTGAACTATTTTCTGTTTTTTAAAAAAACTAAACCAAGAAGTACATTGATGCGTGTCCATGTATTCGTGTAATACAGTTGTATGTATACTGCAAAAATAAAAAGCTAAAGAGCTCACAGACTGTAAAGGAAATCACTATTGGAAAAGACACCATAAACAAAGATACAAGACTAAGCTGTAGACTGAGAGAGATGCTATTTGCAAAAGATCAGTTTCAGATATATAAAGAATTCTTTTTAAAGAAGTCAATGAGAAAAAGACAAGCTGATAGAATAATGGGCAAAGGATATAAAGGGAAAACTAAATGTCCAATAGACATAAGAAAAATGTTCATCCTGGCTAGTAATCAGGAGAAATACACATTTAAAAAATAGAGAAATAATGTTTTATATTTATTAGCTTGGCAAAAATTAGTAGTCTGACAGTACCAAGTGTTGTCAAGAATATGGAGCAGTGGAACTCACATTGCTGATAAATAATTAGGAGAGCAATTTAGCAATACTTAGTCAAGTGGATGTTGCTTGACTTGGAGGTTCTACTCTGGGTATTAACACAATGAAATATAATACACAAGATGAGTAAATAAGGTAGAGCCATGTGTATCAACATAGATAAATGTCAGCAATGTAATATTAAGTGAAAAAAATTGCAGAAGCTTACGTTCAGTTTTACACCATTTTTAGTTTAAAATATTCAAAGCAATGCAATATGTAAATTAGTCAAGTGGATGTTGCTTGACTTGGAGGTTCTACTCTGGGTATTAACACAATGAAATATAATACACAAGATGAGTAAATAAGGTAGAGCCATGTGTATCAACATAGATAAATGTCAGCAATGTAATATTAAGTGAAAAAAATTGCAGAAGCTTACGCTCAGTTTTACACCATTTTTAGTTTAAAATATTCAAAGCAATACAATATGTAAAATACACAAGTAGCAAAAGTATAAAAATATGCACGAGAATACTGCAGCAAACTTAAGGCTGGTAGTTACTCTTTGTGGGAGGGGTGGAAGGAATAGGGCCAGAGGAGGGGTTTGCACAGGAGGCTTCATTGTACGTGTAGTATTAGAAATACTGGAATATTTCAAGTCCCTGTCGTTCTCCATTACCTCCTTCCTAGAGGTGACAGCATCTAATGGTTTAGTGTCTAGTGTTTCTGGGCCTGTGCATATGGAAGTAGAATAGCATGGGCTCTGGAGTAAGGGTACCTGGTTGTGCAAGGTGGCTGTGATTATTACATGAACCCCTTCTTGTAAAGCACAGTGCGCTGCACTGCCTGGCACACATCTGGTATCTACTGAGCACCTACAGTTAGTGAAGTATGGTATATATAAATGGACTATATGGACACTATATTAATGTCTAGCACATAGTAAAAGCATAGTAGGCTCATAATTACAGAATAAATGCATATTTAATAAATGAATGTATATACATAGTTTGGATTTTTCTTCTACAACTCGTAACTTTCACTTACTAGTATTTCTTGGTAATCTTCCATATCAAAATATACAGATTTATATAATTATTTTCACCACATTTTAAAAAATCTAATTTTAATTTTTAGTTTCAGGTTGGGTGTGGTGGCTCATGCCTATAATCCCAGCACTTTGGGAGGCCAAGGCGGGTGGATCACTTGAGGTCAGAAGTTCAAGACCGCCTGACCAACATGGAGAAACCCCATCTCTACTAAAAATACAAAAATTAGCCGGGCGTGGTAGTGCATGCCTGTAATCCCAGCTGCTTGGGAGGCTGAGGCAGGAGAATCACTTGAACCCGGGAGGCAGAGGTTACAGTGAGCTGAGATCGTGCCACTGCACTCTAGCCTGGGCAACAAGAGCAAAATTGTCTCAAAGAAAAAAAAATTAGTTTCTTTTTGTGACTTTCGGGTTAGTTTTTTCCCTCCCCCTGCCCCCCCGCCTCAATTTTTTTTTTTTGAGACAGGCTCTCACTCTGTTGCCTAGGCTGGAATGCAGTGGCGTGATCACAGCTCACTGCAACCTTGACCTCCAAGGCTCAAGCAATCCTTCCACCTCACCTCCCCAGTAGCTGGGACTACTGGTGTGCACCACCATGCCCAGCTAATTTTTGTATTTTTTTGTAGAGATGGGGTTTCACCATGTTGCCCAGGCTCAAACTCCTGGATTCAAGTGATCTTCCTGTCTTGGCCTCCCAAAGTGTTGGGATTGTAGGTAGGAGCCACCTCGCTCGGCCCTGATCTTTGAACTGATGTTTATCTTTCTCCTACTGGCGTTTAGGAGTTCTTTCTACCTTTTGAATACTAACTCTTTGTTACATATCCCATGTGTGTATATAGGTTCTTTTTCCTTCCACATTGTTACTTAGGATGTTTTTAGTTTTTTTGTTGTTGTTGTTTTGTAGAAGTTTTTAATTTTTATGAGTAAATCCATTCAATATATAAAATTTATATTAAATTATTGTTATATCACATAAGATTATAATCTCTTACATTCTTGTCTAGGATATATATATATATAGTTTTAGTTTTCATAGCTAGGTTATGCTGCAGTAATAAACTATCTCCAAATCTCACAGGCTCAAACCACCAAAGGTCCCTCTTGCTACTTGCCCACTCATGGACTGGCAGGGTAATTTGCACCTCAGCATTTCTGGAACATTGCAGATAGAACAACTCTGAAGATTCTTGTTCTGGCAGTTAAGTGTTCTGGCCGAGAAGCAACACACATCACTTCTGCTAACAATTCACCAACCAAAACTCGTCCCCACAAGGGACTAGGAAATACATCCTCTGTCTACCCAGAAGGAGAAGAGAATCAGATATAGGTGACTGGTACTAAAGACCATCACAGTTGTTTATGGACCATTATTCTGTTTGGGGTTTGTTTTTAAATGTGGTAGGCAGTATAATGCAGTGGTCAGGAATTCAAATTCTAGATCTAGACTACCTGATTTGTAACGAGTTACACTAGTTAAACTGTTTCAGTCTCGGTAAATGGAGATAATAGTAGAGTTCTCCTCATAGGGTTATTGTGAAGATTAAATAGATTATAAATGTAAGGTGCTTAGAGTGTTGTGTCAGCTTGGGTCCTCTGAGGAGCAGGTGCCAAGGAGCAATTAGATGAGCAAGTGATGAGCTGGGGAAGTTGTCTATGAGACAGTGCTCTGGGGAGCTGGCAGAAGGGAGAGCTGCGGACTGCAGGACAGTCCCCTCTGGAGGAGAGGGGGAAGGAAGGAAGGCTGGGCAGGGGGAGGCACAGGCTGTAGGGAGTATGGCCTTGGCATGAATCTGGGCAGGGAGCCTGGCTGTGGAGAAGTGAAGTTCTAAGGAGGTCCCAGCATGGCCTTGGCATGAGCCTGGTGATGGGTATCAAGTGTGCTGCAGATGATGCTCTTGGTCAATTATGCCCCCTGCGGGTGGAGATTTGAGGGGTGTGTACTCATACCTGCCACATAAGCACACGATTAATATTAACAACGTGGCTTATGAAACAGGAGTGTAACTTGGTTTTTACCAAAAGGAAAACCAGTTACCCCAGTTACATTAATTGGATAATCTAGGTTTGTTTTTCCTACTGATGGGAAATATCTAGCTTTTTTTTTTTCCCTACTGATGGGAAATGGAAATGCTGCTTCTCTGTAGATGTGAAATGCTCTATTTGTGTAACAGTCCCCTGTGGATGGCCCTGTGCATGTGTGCTCTGACAGTGTGTAGTGGATCTTCATGTGTGCCTAAGCCTCTTGTGCTTTTGTGCACTTTATCTGGGGTAAAGTTGTAAATGTTCAGTTTCTTGGTAAAGGATATTATGTTTTAAGTTTTGGTGGCCATTGTCCAATTTTCTTTAAAGAGCTGCCCCAAGTTACAGTCAGATTAACAGTGTAGAGCACCAGCTTTCTCATGTCCCCAGCAGCACTGAGAGGCGGAAGATAGTGCCTCACTGATGGTTTATTTCACACTTCGTTACTTATGGTTGAGAGAGAATATTTTTCAGATTTTATTGGACATTGATATTTGTAAATTGTTCATTCCTTTTGCCCAGTTTTCTATTGAGTGGTTCATAGTTTCTCATGGGTATCCAAGAGTTCTGGATATGTAGAGGTGGAGGGTCAATCTCATCACTTCCTTGTTTTAAAAATCTTCCATGGTTTTGTCATCACTATGGGCTCAAACGCCGTGGTGTGGCATACAAAGCCCTCACTTCTGAACCACCCTGCTTCCAGCCTCATCTCCCATGATCCCTGGCCACGCGGTGCGTTTGCGCTTTCATGTCCAAGTGCTTCCTTCATGTTGTTTTCTTCCTTACAATGCCCTTTCCCTTATTGTCCAACAGAGTGCTTCTCACACCTTGAGGATCATAAGAACCTGTGTTTCCATTTTATTTTTTATACATATTTTTGGGCCTATCTCCCCAAAGACTTTGATTCAGTGTCCAGTGTGAGGCCTGATCTCATTTTCTTTATCTGAACGATGACAATGTTGAAAAGAGATGATTTCAAAGATTCTGTAAAATCCTGTATGTGTGTGGTCCTTGACATACTCTTTCTTGGAAGGAATCATACTTTGTCTTGTAATGTATGAATAGACTGATATGGAATGGGGGAAGGGAAGCTGCCCCCTCCTATGGTTGTGGAGATCAGCGGGATTGGGAAATGCTGCCCGCCCTGCTTACCCCTCACATCCTTTGTGGCAGGCACCCCTTCAGGCGTGCTCTTCTGTGGTGTCTTGAAGGATGTTCTATATAACCATTAAAAAGACTCTGATGTTGGGTTGACGTTCCTTCTGTATATGTTTATGTTTTCCATTAGGTTCTAAAGTCATCCTGAGCTAGGACTGGGACTCATGCATGTTTAGATTTCCCATGTTTGCCCATAGTAGATGCTCAGTAAATTTTTGTTATAATAATTAAATTAGGAGCTATCTGAAAAAGAAAGAAATAAGAGATACTTGAAACAAAGTTTTAAACTGTAAGAAGCCATGTAGATGTGAGTAGTTAATATGAAGAACACAAATTTTTCCATTCTATTCACTTTTTGCTTAATTAAAAAAAATGCCATTAGAACCCTTTAGAAGGCAGGAAGTATTAGAACCTTTTGGAAAGACATTTTGCTTTTATTGAGTCTGTTTTAAAGAACAATTGTTTCTTAGACAGTGTACAACAACGTTCTACTGTTTTTCTCCTTGATATGTGAGAAAGAGAACATACTTGTCTGTGTCTTTAGGCAGAGATATTTCTATGGGTCTATGGAAATAGCTACATGTAGATAGTGTGATTTGTTCACAATTTAGGTGCCTGAAACACTGATTGTTTTGTTATGTATTTTTTTTGCAGGTTCCTAATGTCAATGGATTTTTTCCTTTATTTATAGACTTTAAGGCCTATTATTCCTAAGATTCTATGAGAATATGTTTCATAAGGGAGAAATGGAGATTTTGGCCAGGTGTGATTGTTCATGCCTATTATCCCAGCACTTTGGGAGGCAGAGGCAGGCAGATTGTTTGAGCCCAGGAGTTCAAGACCAGCTTGAGCAACATAGTGACACTTTGTCTTTACAAAAAAATGCACAGATTAGCTCGGCATGGTGGTGTGTGCCTGTAGTCCCAGCTACTTGGAAGGCTGAGGTGGGAGAATTGCCCGAGCCCGGGAGGTAGAGGCTGCAGTGAGCTGTGATTTCACCACTGCAGTCCAGCCTGGGCCACAGAGCAAGACCCTGTCTTAAAAAAAAAAAAAAAGAAAAAAAGGAAATGGAGATTTTTCTCCAGTCTATCTTTACATACCATGAGAGATTCTTATTTTCAGTCTTTTTATTTGGAGGGAAAAGAGCAGCAGCAGTCTTACCAGAGTGTATTTCACTTCTATAAGTCAAGAACAGTTTAGTTCCTAGTGAACTATAAGGAAATTTAAAAATTGAGGTTGGTGGACTTGAGCTTTTCGAAGGCTGCTTTGTCCCTTATCTAATTCATTCCTTCCCCTTGGGAGCCAATCCTTGAGATGCCTCAGAGCTCAGCTACAGTGGTGATGTTTAGGCCGCAGTAGATTCCCCTTTACTCCTATTGCCATAGACTGTCCTGCATCCCACCAGATCCTCCAGGCCCTGGTGCCCTTATAGTCTCAGGGAACTTGGGGACATTGACCCCTCCCAGAGCTTTTGCGAAGAAATTTAGTGCTCCTCTTTTTCACGGGTTACAGGGTTCCCTCAGTCATTAAAACACGTTTCTCTTCCCTTTAACCGATAGGTGCCCTGGGCTTTTTGTTTCTGTGTCTGCAGACCAGTGTCAATCAGATTTTTCCAGGTGTCCTTCTACACCTCTCCCCACGTGGCCACACCTGTCTCCTGCCAGGTCTAGCAGAGACAGTATTGGTGGGCATTGGCCCATCACTTGGAACTTGAGGCTCATCCTTGGGATTTCCCTCAATTTTTGTTTTTGTTTTGTTAACTTGGAAGGTCAATTTTTGTGTAACCTTGGTGTTTTTGTCCTGAGAATTTCAATGTAACATGATATGAAAAATTCAGGTCTGTGTTGCTAATACAAAATTTTAATTTTTCTTTACAGGTCAACTTTGTAGTGTGCCAACTCTTTGCCTTGCTAGCAGCCATTTGGTTTCGAACTTATCTACATTCAAGCAAAACTAGCTCTTTTATAAGACATGTAGTTGCTACCCTTTTGGGCCTTTATCTTGCACTTTTTTGCTTTGGATGGTAAGTAATTATTTTGATCCTTTTAAAATGAAGACTATTTGGATGTATTTGAGAATTGAGTGTGTGGAAAGATACATTATGTAGGGTTTTGTTCTTATATTTACTTAAAAAGTTTTTTCTCCAGGCCAACTTTCATATTTTTATTTTTGAAACAAAAAATAACGAATGGGAAATGGGCTTGCTCTCTCTTTAGTCTTAGAGGAAAATTTACTATTTATAATTTGTGGAAAGACAGATGAAGAGGATATAAAGGCATTTGATTCTGTCATGAGTAGTTCTTTACACCTATTTTGCAAATCTTTTATACTGACAGAAAAGCCATTTAAATGTGTTTTTGTTTGCCTGTTTTTTCTCTGGGCAAGTAGCTTTTAAGAGCCTGATAAAGACTATGGATAGAACTTTATTGCCATTTTTTAGATTCTGCCATTACCAAAAAGAGGCTTTTTGTTTGTTCATTTGTCTGTTCTTCCTGGGGAAGAATTATTTATGATGGAAAGCTTTTATTTCTGACTTTTCAAATGGATGTTGGTGTTTTCTTTCATTAGGTCTCTTTCTCAATCCTCAGGGATACTCCGAGAGCCTTAAATACAGAAATACTGTACTTCCTGTTTGTTACAGGAAGTAACAAACAAATGTTAGCTGTGCATGCTGAAGAAATCAGAAGGGCACATTGTCTTGGCAAAACAGCAGAAACTCTCAGCGGCAGTCTCTTTGTGGTCTCTTCCTGAGCTTGCTTTCTTACGTGAGCACTTGTGCTGCATGCTCATCTGCTGTAGTGTTCGCCATTCACAGTGAAGGACTTCTAGGCTTGCTCTTCTGCAGATTGTTGTTTGATATCAGAATTCCCTGAGAGGTTGAAAATGCACTCACTTGGTCTGTGGGGTGTAGAATCTCTGGGACTTTGATGAGCTTCTGTGTTTGTTCTAGGATGTTGTTTTTGATAGTTATGAGGATTGGAATACACTGATATTTCTTAATCTAATTTTTGCCTGTGGCAATTGCAAGTGTTTCCTAGAAACTCATGAAAAATTAATTAGGGATAATTTATTCAGTCTCTACCATATTACCTGTGCTAGGTACTGCCCTGGTAGATAGTGGTTAGTATTGAGATTTAAATATGACCTCTTAAATAAGACCCAAGTCTGGTCTTTTTTGCTTCATTGACATCACATTTATATCATCACAGTTTTTTAAGGTTTCTCAGGTGATACTATTTAAACTTTTCATAAATCATGCCATGGAGTAGTGTATATTTTTCAAACTTTTGATTATGGCGCTTTTCAAACACAAAGGTACAAAGAACAATATAGTGAGCCCTCATATGCCCATCACTCAGCTTCAGATTATTAAAATTCCACCATTCTTGTTTTATCCTTTCTCCAACTTATTTTTGTAGAGTATTTTAAAGTATATCCCAGTCTATACATTTCATCCACAAATAACTTTGATATTCAGTATATATTTGTGTAGCATATTTTCATAATGCATTGGGAAGGGCTTGTAGTTCATATTGGCCAACTCCAGGGGACACCATTCACTCTGTGGTCTATGGAGACAGAGTAGAAGATAAAAATATAAACAATATCTCCTACAGTTGTGTAACATGGAGGTACTGCCAAAGATGAGGAGGCATCTCTTTACCTAGAAATCTTTTACTGAGGAAGTGTTCTCTTGCTGTGAAGTCTTCTTGGATGCCTTATAACACAATGTCACAAGTAACCCGACATTGTTAATGTCAGGTAGTCTGAAGTACTTCAAATTATATGTGATAACCAGGATTTCTTATTTTTTCAATTTTTTAAGACAAGGTCTCACTTTGTTGCCCATGCTGGAGTGCAGTGACATGATCACAGCTCACTGCAGTCTCAACCTCCTGGGCTCAGGTGATTGATCCTCCCACCTCAGCCTCCTGGGCAGCTGGGATTACAGGTGTGTGCCACCACACCCGGCTAATTTTTTGTAGAGGTGGAGTTTTGCTATGTTGTCCAAACTGGTGTTGAACTCCCAGACTCAAGCAGTCTGCCCAGCTCGACTTCCCAAAGTGTTGGGATTACAGGTATGAGCCACTGTGCCCAGCCAGGATTTTTATTTTTATTTTTCAAATGAGTTCTCTATTTTTTTCTTAAAGGAGAAAGCTTTCTGTATTCTTTCTTTGGAAAGACGGATTGTTTATGCCTCTGTACCATGTGTAAGATAACTCTTTGCTAACTGGAATTAACTAATAGGGATATATTCTTTTGATTTGCATTTCAGTACTTTCTTTTGTAGGCTCAAAGGCAATCGTATCTGCTATTGATTTTGACAACTTCCCTTTTGGAAAACATGTTAGTACTCTGTAAATATACAGGCATGCCTCAGAGATGTTACAGATTTGATTCTAGACCCCCATAATACAGTGAATATTGTAATAAAGCAAGTCACACAAATTTTTTTGGTTTCCCAGTGCATTTAAAAGTTATATTTACCCTATATTCTGGTCTATTAAGTATGCAATATAATTATGTCTAAAAAAACAATGTACATACCTTAATTGAAAAATTTTTTATTGGTAAAAAAATACTAAGGATCATCTGGGCCTTCAGTGGGTTGTAATCTCTTTGTTGGTAGAGTGTCTTGCTTTGATGTTGATGGCTGCTCACTTATCAGAGTGTTGTCTGCTGAAGGTTTGGGTTGCTGTGGCAAATTCTAAAAATAAGGCAACAATGAAGTTTACCATAGTGATTGACTCTTCTTTTCACAAAAGATTTCTCTGTAGCATGTGATGCTGTTTGACAGCCTTTTACCCACAGTAGAACTTTCAAAATTGGAGTCAAACCCTGCTGCTGCTTTATCAACTAAGTTTATGTAATATTCTAAATTCTGAATTAAAATTACAGTCCAAGATGGCTGATTAGAGACTTTCAGTGTTCCTCAGCCACTTGGAAATAGCACGATAGTACATAAAGATCAACTCTCTGAGCTTTAATTCAAGAAGGAAAACAGGAATTCACCAGAATTGTGAAGGACACCCCAGATCCTGAAGAGAATGCTGGCAAACAGCCCCCGTGATAGCATCCAGTTGATAAAAGTGAGTGAAGCCCCAGTATGTGAGAGAGGCAGGGAGACCTTCTCTATGACTCACCTTTCCACTGGGGATCTGAGCAACCCAGTCTGAGGGAGAGCACTTTATTTCTCCCAAGCCCTGGAGCCAACTTGGGGAGAGGGTTGGAGACGCTGTGAAGGACAGACATCGTGAAAAGCTGCAGACATTCTCCCAGACCTGGGATGGAGAACAGGACACCATTTTTAATCCAGGCACGTATGAAGCCAGCCATTCCTTGGTGACTCAGCAGCATGGCAGTGTAGGCATTTCAGTCTTAGGCCAGAGATTAGAGCACCTGCTCTGGAGTGGGGTAGGGGCCTCCATAGCCAGAATTGTGGAAAGCACCTCAGCTGTAGGGCTAGAATTGTGCTTTCCTCCATTGCAAGCCTGGGGCAGGAGGAGAGCTGCTAAGTTGCACTTTCTCCTGGGCAGCAACACTTGCAGCCAAGGCCAGCTTGGCGACCTGGAACTGATCCACCTGTGTCATTGTTGGGTGCCCCACTCTGCTCTACTGATACTGTGGTATGACAGGGCCGCCTCTGCTCCACTCCCAGGCAGAAATCCAGACATTTGGAGCACCTGTTTGCCTGGACCAGCAGACTGAGCCACCCCACCCCTCCTGGACACAGATCATGGTGAAGTGAGGCTCTCTCTGCTCCACACCCAGGCAAATCTACAGGCATTCAGAGCATCTGCTTGTCTGGTTCAGCAGCCTGAGCCACCCCAGTCTTCCTGGACATAGACTGTGGTTCAAGGGTATCCTGTCTGTTCCATGCCCAGGCAGATTTCCAAGCATCTGGAATGGCAACTCTTCTAGATTAGAAGTTTAAGCCATCTCCCATTCCTGTGTAGAGAACATGGAGCCCAGATGGTTTCCCAGCTGCATGCCTAGGCACAATCCTGCATTCTCGGTGGCTGCCCTCTGGATTCTCCCTTGGCGCTAGTGTCTGTGCCTGCCACTGGGGGATCTGTAGGCCAACCTGCTCTGTTTGGCCCTGCTCTTTGTGGCCCCTGCCCCCCAGGGCTGAGCAGGGAGCTCAGACCACTATATACTCCACAAACCAGCTTATTGCCTGAGGCAATAGAGAGCTTCTGCCAGTAAACAAGGATCAAGTATATACGCAGCTATGTTGGCTGCAGCTGGCTTTCACCTATAAGCACCATCTGTGGGCTTGTAGGTTGAACTCCACAGCCTGATATAAAACCTGCCAAAAGAAGTGTATAGGGCTATAGAAGCAAAGCCCAAAAGCCCTACCTAGCATTCTCTACAGTCACACTCATTAAGAAGGGAGAAAAAGGAAAAAGGAAAGAAGAAATAACATTATAGGGAAGGAAAGAAAAAGAAAAAAATCTTACCTGCATGAAAATAATTAAAAAATTAGAAGTGCCAGCATCTCTAGAACCAGTGCAAGAATTTTGGCATCATGTAGTGACACTGCCAAATGATTGCACTAGATCTCCAGCAATGGACCCTAACCAGAATGGAAACTCAGAAATGACAGATAAAGAATCAAATCATGGATTGTAAGGAAGCTCAGTGAGATCCAAGACAAAGTTGAAAATCAACACAAAGAAACTTCTAAGGCAATCCAGGAAATGAAGGAAGAGATAAACATCTGTAAAAGAAATCAGTCAGAGCTTTTGGAATTGAAAAACTCACTCAAGGAATTTTAAAATACAATTGAAAGCTTTATCAGTAGACTGGACCAAAAGAATTTCAGAGCTTGAAGACGAGTCTTTGGAACTAACCCAATCAGACAAAAATAAAAAAGAATTTTAATAAATGAACAAAATCTTCAGGAAATATGGGATTATGTAAAGCAACCAAATGTACAAATTATTAGCATTCCTGAGAGAGAAGGAGAAAAAGCAAACAACCTGGAAAATGTATTTGAGGGAATTATTCAGGAAAGCTTCCCTAATCCTGCTAGAAGTAGCCATCCATATATAAGAAATCCAGAAAACATCTGCAAGATAGTATACAAAATGATTATCAGCAAGGCATATAGTCACCAGACTGTCCAAGGTCAATGCTAAAGAAAAAAATCTTAAAGGCAGCTCAAGAAAAAGGGCAAGTTATATACAAAGGGAACCCCATCAGGCTAACCTTACAAGCCAGGACAGATTGGAGAGCTATTTTCAGCATTCTTAAAGAAATTCCAACCAAGAATTTCATAACCCACCAAACTAAACTTCTTAAGTGAAGGAGAACTAGACTCTTTTCTAGACAAGCAAGCACTAAGGGAATTTGTTACCATCAGACCAGCCTTAGATCCTTAAGGGAGTTCTAACACAGAAACAAAGAACAATACCTGCTACCACAAAAAACAACATAAATATATAGCCCACAGACCCTGTAAAGCAGCCACACATTAGAAACTACAAAGCAACCAGGTAACAATGTCATGATAGAATGAAAACCTCACATATCAATATTAACTTTGAATATAAATGACCTACATGCTCCACTTAAAAGGCAGAGTGGCAAGTGGAATAAAAACAAAAGACCCATTCTTCTGCGGTTTTCAAGAGCCCCATCTCACACATAATGACATCCACAGGCTCAAAGTAAAGGGTTGGAGAAAGATCTACCATGCAAATGGAAAAAACAAAAGCAGAGGTTGCTTGCTATTCTTATATATGATAAAACCGGCAACAGTAAAAAAAAAAAAAAAAGGGCGTTACATAATGAAACCTACATGCATAAAATCATAAAATTACATACAATTCTACCTGGATAAAATTACATAAAATCCTCCCTCTCAAGGGTTCAACTCAAGAAGATTTAACTATCCTAGTGTGTACATGTGCAACATTGGAGCACTTAGATTGATAAGACAGGTACTTCTAGACCTATGAAAAGACTTAGCCACACATTAATAGTGGGGAACTTTAACTCCCACTGACAGCATTAGACAGATCAATGAGGCAGAAAACTAATAAATTAATTCTGTACTTATAGTCATCACTTGACTAGGTGGACCTAATAAACATCTACAGAATACTCCACCCATCAGCCACAGAATATACATTTTTCTCATCTGCACATGGAATGTACTTCAAGATCAACCACATGCTCAGGCATAAAGCAAGTCTCAATACATTCAGAAAAACTGAAATCATACTATCTATACTCTTGGACCACAATTGAATAAAAATGGAAATCAATACCAAGAAGATCTCTCAAAACCACACAATTACATGGAAATTAAACAATTTGCTCCTGAATTGCTTCGGATAAACAATGAAATCAAAGCAGAAGCATAAAAATTCTTTGAAATAAATGAAAACAGAGACACAATATACCAAAATCTCTGGGATGCAGCAAAAGCGTGTTAAGAGGAAAGTATACAGTGTTAAACACCCACCTCAAAAAGTTAGATCTCAAATTAATGATCTAACATCACACCTAGAGGAACTAGAAAAACGAGAACAAACTAACCTCAAAGCTAGCAGAAGAAAAGAAATAACTAAAATTAGAGCTGAACTGAATGAAATTGAGACCCAAAAATCCAACCAAAGACTCAATAAAACCAAAAGTTTGTTCTTTAAAAGGATAAAGAGGACCAATAGATTGCTAGCTAGATTAACAAAGAGAGAAAATCCAAATAAGCACAATCAGAATTGACAAAGGTGACATTACAACTGATCCCACAGAAATACAAAAAGATCCTCAGAGACTATTATAAACATCTCTGTGCACACAAACTAGAAAATCTAGAGGAAATGGATAAATTCCTGGAAATACACAGTCTCTTAAGATTGAATCAGGAAGAAATTGAAACACCAAACAGACCAATATTGAGTTCTAAAATCGAACCTGTAATGAAAAACCTACCAACCACAAAAAAAGCCCTTGACCAGATAGATTCACAGCTGATTTCTATTAGATGTGCTAAGAAGAGCTAGTGGCAGGGCACGGTGGCTCACACTTGTAATCCCAGCACATTGGGAGGCCAAGGTGGGTATATTACCTGAGGTCAGGAGTTCAAGACCAGCCTGGCCAACATGGCAAGACCCCATCTCTACTAAAAACACAAAAATTAGCCAGGTGTGGTGACACATGTCTGTAATCCCAGCTACTCGGGAGGCTGAGGCAGGAGAATTGCTTGAGCTCAGGAGACAGAGATTGCAGTGAGCCCAGACCATGCCACTGTACTCCAGCCTGGCTGACAGAGTGAGACTCTGTCTCAAAAAAAAAAAAAAAGCTGGTACCAGTATTCTACTGAAAGTATTACAAAAAAATTGAGGAGAAGGGACCCCTTATTAACTCATTCTGTGAAGCCAGCATCACTCTGATACCAAAACCTGGCAGACACAACAAAGAAAGAAAACTACAGGCCAATATCCCTGACGAACATAGATGCAAAAATACCATAGCAAGCCAAACTCAACAGCACATCAAAAAGTTAATTCACCATGATGAAGTAGGCTTTATTCCTCAGATGCAAGGATGGTTCAACATATACAAATCAATGGTTCACCACATAAATAGAATTAAAAATGAAAACTATATGATCATCTCAATAGATGTGAGAAAAGCTTTCAATAAAATCCAACATCCTGTCATGATAAAAAAAACTCTTAGGAAAGTAGGCATCAAAGGAACATACCTCAAAATACCAAGAGCCATCAATGATAAGCCCACAGCCAATATCATACTGAATGGGCAAAAACTGGAAGCATTTGACTGGGTGCAGTGGCTCATGCCTGTAATCCCAGCACTTTGGGAGGCCGAGACGGGTGGATCATGAGGTCAGAAGATCGAGACCATCCTGGCTAACACGGTGAAACCCCGTCTCTACTAAAAATACAAAAAATTAGCCAGGCATGGTGGCAGGCGCCTGTAGTACCAGCTGCTTGGGTGACTGAGGCAGGAGAATGGCATGAACCCGGGAGGCGGAGCTTGCAGTGAGCTGAGATCGCGCCACTGCACTCCAGCCTGAGTGACAGAGCGAGACTGTGTCTCAAACAAACAAACAAACAAAAAACAAACTGGAAGCATTTCCTTGAGAACAGGAACAAGAGAAGGATGCCCACTCTCACCACTCATGTTCAACATAGTTCTGGAAGTGCTAGCCACAGCAATTAAGCAAGAGAAAGAAATAAAAGGCATCCAAATAGGAAAAGAAGAAGTCAAACTCTCGGTCTTTGCTGATGATATGATTCTATACTTAGAAAACCCTAAAGACTCCTCCAGAAGGCTGTTAGAACTGATAAATGATTGTAGCAAGATTTCAGGCTACAAGATCGATGTATAGAAATCAGCAGCATTTCTGTATAGTAATAATGTTCAAGCTGAGAGCCAAATCAAGAATGTAATCTCATTTGCAATAGCCACACAGAAAAAAAAATACCTAGGAATACATCTAACTAGGGAGGCGAAAGATCTTTACAAGGAGAGCTTCAAAACACTGCTAAAAGAAATCATAGATGACACAACAAATGGAAAAACCTCTCAGCTTATGGATTGGAAGAGTCAATGCCACTAAAATGGCCATACTGCCCAAAGCAATTTCTATCAAACTGCCAATGTCATTTTTTACAGAATTGGAAAAAACTATACTAAAATTCATATGGAACCAAAAAAGAGCCCAAATAGCCAAAGCAATCTTAAGCAAAATGAACAAAGCTGGAGGCATCATACTACATGACTTAAAACTATACTATAAGGATGCAGTAACCAAAACAGCATGATACTGGTACAAAACAGACACAAACCAATGGAACAGAATAGAAGACTGCAAAATAAAGCCACACACCTACAGCCATCTAATTGTCAACAAAATTGACAAAAATAAAGAGTGGGGAAAGGACTCCCTAGTCAATAAATGGTGCTGGTATAATTGGCTAGCCATATGCAGAAGAATGAAACTGGACCCCTACCTTTCACCATGTACAAAAATTAACTCAAGATGGATTAGAGATTTAAATGTAAGACCTCAAACTGTAAGAACCCTGAAAAAAAAAAAAGCAAGGAACATCATTTTATCTGGGCATTGACCTTGGGAAAGGATTTATGACTAAGTCCTCAAAAGCAATTGCAACAAAAACAAAAATTGACAAGTGGAACCTAATTAGAACCAAAAAGCTTCTGCACAGCAAAAGAAACTGTCAAGAGTAAACAGACCACCTACAGAATGGGAGAAAATATTTGCTAACTGTGGATTTGACAAAGGTTTAATATCCAGCATCTATAAGGAACTTAAACAGTTGGACAGGCAAAAAGCAAATAATCCCATTAAAAATGGGCAAAAGGCATGAAAAGACACTTTTCAAAAGAAGACATACAAGTGTTCAACAAACATGAAAAAATTACTGCACATTACTAATCAGAGAAATGCAAATCAAAACCACAATGAGATACCATCTCATACCAGTCAGAATGGTTATTATTAAAAAGTCAAAACACAACGGATATTGGCAAGGCTATGGAGAAAAGGGAATGCTTCATACAACGTTGGGAAAGTAAGTTAGTTCGGCCATTGTGGAAAGCAGTTTGCAGATTTCTTAAAGAACTTGAAACAACTACCGTTTGACCCAGCAATCCCATTACTGGGTATATACCCCAAGGAAAACAAATTATTCTACCAAAAAGACACATGCATTTCCCTGTTAATCGCAGCACTGTTCACAATAGCAAAGACATGGAATCAACCTAGATGCTCATCAGTGCTGGACTGGATGAAGAAAATGTGGTACATATACACCATGGAATACCACACAGCTGTAAAAAGAAGGAAATCATGCCCTTTGCAGCAACATGGATGGAGCTGGAGGCCATTATCCTATGCAAATTAACATAGCAGCAGAAAACCAAATATTGCATGGTCTCACTTATAAGTGGGAGCTAAACATTTGGGTACTCATGGACATAAAGATGGCAGCAGTGGTCACTGGGGACTACTAGAGGTGGGAGATAAGGAGGGGAGCAACAGTTGAAAAACTAACTGTTGGGTACTATGCTCAGTACCTGGGTGAGGGGATCATTCATACCCTAAACCTCATCATTATGGAATATACCTAGGTACTGCATATGTATCCCCTGAGTATAAAATAGAAGTTGGAAAAAAAATTTTTTGTTGTTGTTATTTCAACAGTGTTCACAGTATCTTTACCAGGAGTAGACTCCATCTGAAGGAATCACTTTCTTTGCTCATCCATAAGAAGCAATTACTCATCTGTTGAGAAGTTTTATCATGAGATTGCAGTAATCAGTCACATCTTTAGGCTTCACTTCTAGTTTTCTTGCTATTTTCCACCACATCTGGAGTTATTTCCTCCACTGAAGTCTTGAACCCCTCAATGTCATCCATGAGGGTTGGAATCAACCTCTTCCAAACTGCTGCTAATGTTTATATTTTGACCTCCTTCCATGAATCACAGATGTATTTAGTGGCATCTAGAATGGTGAATCCTTTCCAGAAAGTTTTCTATTTAGTTTGCCTAGATCCGTCAGAGGAATCACTATCTATGGCAGCTATAGCCCTACGAAATGTATTTCTTAAATAACAAGACTTGAAAGTCAGAATTGCTCCCTGATCTGCAGGCTGCATAATGGGTATTGTGTTAGCAGGTGTGGAAACAACATTAATCTCCTTGTCCACCTCTGTCAGAGCTCTTGGATAATCAGGTACATTGTCAATATGCAGGAATATTTTGAAAGGAATCTTTTTTTTCTGAGCAATGGATCTCGACAAGGGGCTTATAATATTCAGTAAACAATGCTGCAGAGCTGCTGTGGTTCAGACTTTGTTTTTCCATTAACAGAGTACAGGCAGAATCGATTTAGCGTAATTCTTAAGGACTCCAGCATTTTTGGAATGGTAAATGAACATTGGCTTCAACTTAAAGTCACCAGCTGCATTAGCCTGTCCTTTGAAGCTTTGAAATCAGGTGTTGACTTCTCCTCTCTAGCTATGAAAGTTCTCTATGGCATCTTCTTCCAGTAGTAGGCTATTAGATCTACACTGAAAATCTTTTGCTTAGTGTAGCCGCCTTCATCAGTGATCTTAGTTAGATCTTCTGGGTAACTTGCTGCAGCATCTAGATAACCTCAGCACTTGCTGCTTCACCTTGGATTTTTATTTCTGGAGATGACTTCTTTCCTTAAACATCATGAGCCAGTGTCTGCTAGCTTCAAAATTTTCTTCTCCAGCTTCATCTCTCTCCACCCTACTAGAATTGAAGAGAGTTAGGGTCTTGATCTGGACTAGGCTTTGGCTTAAGGAATGTTTGGCTGGTTTGAGCTTCTGTCCAGACAATTAAACTTTCTCTGTATTAGCAGCAATGCTGTTTTGCTTTCTTACCATTTGTGTGTTCAGTGGAGTAGCACTGTCAGTTTCCTTCCATAACCTTTTCTTTGTATTTACGGCATGACTAACTGGTGCAAGAGGCTTAGCTTTCAGCCTGTCTTGGCTTTTGACATACCATCGTCACTAAGCTTAATCATTTTTAGTTTTTGATTTAACGTGAGAGACATACAACTTTTCCTTTCACTTGAACACTTAGAGGCCATTGTAGGTTAATTAATTGGCCTAATTTCAATAATTGTTGTCTCTCCGGAATGGGGAAGCCTCAGGAGAGGGAGAGAGACAGAGGAAGACAGAGACTGCCGGTCAGTGGAGCAGTCAGAACACACCTAACATTTATCAATTAAGTTCTTATGTGGGCACAGTTTGTGGTGCCCCCAAACGATTACAGTAGTAATATCAAAGATCGCTGATCACAGATCACTATAACAGGTAAAATAATATTGAAAAAGTTTGAAATATTGTTGAGAATTACCAAAATACGCCAGAGAGACATGAAGTCTCAGCACGTGCTATTGGAAAAATGGTGCCAAGAGGCTGGCACGATGCAGGGTTGCCACAAACCTTCTAGTTGGAAAAATCTCAGTATCTGCAAAGCACGGTAAGGCAAAGTGCAGTAAAACAAGTCATGCCTGTAACTGATCGTTTACCTGCTTCTCTTTGGTCTTAGCTTTTTTCTTTTAAAACAATCATCTGCAAGTTCCTTTTAAGTGAGAATTAATTTAGACTTTAATTATTTATTTAAATGTCCTTGATAATAACACTATAGGGTAATGGAATAGAGCTTAAACTCTGAAGTCAGGCAAACCTGTATTCCAGTGTGGGTGCCTTGGTCTGGTGGCTGTATGACTTTGGACATGTTATTTAGCCACTCTGAGCTTCACTTTCCTCATCTGTGACATAGAACGAATGATTACTGTGAGAAATAAATCTGTAAAACTACAGAAAACATGGCGTGATAGCTAGTCATTACGAACATGGGAAGTTACTCAGAGTCATTCATCTGTTATTACCATCATCCAGAGTGATGCAGATTGGAAATTTTTGTGTTTATCTAATCTCTTTTTTAGCATATATCGTACAGTATTGAAGTAATCTATTTATTATTGTCTTTCTCTCTAGACTGGGAGCTCTGTGAGGACATAAACGGTCTCATTGACTTGTATTTCTAGTGTTCAGTACAGTGCCTTTCAGAAGGTAGACATTCAGTAAAGATTAGTGGAACAATTGAAGAGGTGTTTTCAACCTTTTTTTAAACCTGTGCTCTTTTTTTTTTCTAAAAATAAACCTTATGCCTTTAGTGTGACTTGAAATTCAGAAGAGTTAAAATGTGATATCTGAAAACAAACTAACGTTTTGTGACAAAGCATTGTTTCATTTTCAAAGCACTTTTTAGGTAGCTTAAAAGATGATGATCCACAGCCCATGGGGTTCCATTCTACCCGGCTGCATTCCTTAGAGAATCAGCCAGTGGATAAATTGCCCCGAAACAACGTGAGTTTTGATGTTAGTTGGAATATACTGACTAGATAGATGATCTTTGTTTCCTCAGTTCTGAAATCACGAGGGTTGAATGATAATAGACTTTTAACATATCTATCTTTAATTTTTACTTTACTAATAATACTTAATAGTTGAGTGCTTACTACGTGCTAGATAACCCCATCAACGCTTTTAATGTATTATCTCTTAATCCTGAAAAATCTCAAGTGGCCACTGTGTTTATTATGGTCACTTTACCAATGAGAACAAGCAGAGTAGCTCAGTACAGAAAATTAGGAAGATTATCACCAGTGCATTCATTGAGTGGAAAAGCAACTGAATGCTTGTTGTGGAGGTCAGTGAGATAGAGGTAAATGCAGATTCACTTTCTACTGCTGAACTTGGATTGTTGCAGCAACGAAGGTTTACACAGCAGGAGGCTGCCCAAGTATTATACTGCTCTCCAAAGATGGCCAAACATATCACCTGAATGGCGATGTCAGGAGAGGAGGGGGCACCTTAAGGTGATATGAGGCACCATAGCACTGTTTGAGAAGTAAGACTTGTAGCTTCTAAAGTTATGATATATCCCTCATATTTCAAGAAATTTAACGTAGCAAAGGAACACTTTTTTCCCCCAAGAGTCCTCAAAAATGTGTTTTCCGTGTTTAAGATAAGTACCTGTATTGAGTTCTCCTCGCAGTTTAAGAAGCCCTTAAGGGTGTTCTAGCAGACCTTGTCACCTTTCGCACGAAGTCAGGAGTCAGCCAGTGAATTGCTAGTGTTGGCAACACATAAGAGGTAGATCATAAATTTGAAAAGTGTGTGTTTTAATTGTTTTTTAAAAAAGCTTTCTTCTATTTCCTTTTATACTCATTTAGGTTTTTCTGCTTCCTCTGATTATAATGGTATTAAAAAAAGGCCAACATTATTTTCGTGTGTGTGTGTGTGTGTGTGTGTGTGTGTGTGTGTCAGTCAAACAGATAGACTGACCTATTCTGTACAGTGGGTCAAATAAGTTTCTCCTACAGGCCTGCCTTGGAGACTATTACTGGTTTATAATATTTCTATGGAAAAATGTGTTCAAAATTTTGCATAACTTTTCCACATTGGAGGTGCCTGTTATTCCATAAAGATTAAAAGTTATTTGAATCATAGGTTAACACCCTTAGTAGTAGTTTAAACTAGATTTAGAGGTTCAAGAAAAAAAATAAAGTACTTTAAATTGTGCCTGATGATTCGAAAATTTTATTTTAAATTGTTCATTCCCCCAAAGGGGAAAGAAAGTGGAGAGAGTGTGTGTGCATGCACGGACATGCATAAATTAGGGATAGTTTTGATTGATTTTAGTCACAGACATCCTAATCATGTTTTGCCTGAATTTTGTGAAATGAGTAAATTATCTAATTTAATGGTGGATTTCAAGAATATTGGAATATTAGAAAATACCATGTCATGGGCTGGCCACGGTGGCTCATGCCCGTAGTCCCAGTACTTTGGGAGGCTGAGGTGGGCAGATCACGAGGTCAGGAGTTCAAGACCAGCCTGGCCAACATAGTGAAACCCTGTCTTTACCAAAAATACAAAAAATTAGCTGGGTGTGGTGGTGGGCACCTGTAATCCCAGCTACTCGGGAGGCTGAGGCAGGAGAATCACTTGAACCTGGGAGGCAGAGGTTGCAGTGAGCTGAGATCGCGCCACTGTACTCCAGCCCAGGCAACAGTGTGAGACTCCACCTCAAAAAAAGAAAAGACTGTCATGTTAGCCAGGATGTTTGTAGATACGTTACAGCAAATTAAAATTAATGAATTTGATTTATATAAGGAAGTTTATTTGACTTGAGCCATCATGTATTGAGAAGAGTATACGCTTTTCTTTTGTAAATTCTAATATTTAGCACTTTTTGTTGTTTTGTCAGTCATATTGTTAAAAAGGTAAAGGCAGAGTACAAAGTTGGTACTGGAGAAACTAGTTTGGGGAAACAACCGATGTTCTGTCAGGACGATCCTGAAATTCATATTAATTACTTTTTAAAATAATTGTGCCTTGAGTTATGAAGAAAGCTATAATCCTGAGCCATGTAATCCCACACGGCTTCCATGCAGCCAGGAGACATGGAGTGCTGGGCACTGGGCATGGCTTTAGGCCTTGTTTTTTCCCCCCAGCTCTTCTGGAGCCTGTGGTATGGGACTCTCTCTTTAGGGTGTCCACAGGATTTTAAGCTCCTGAAGTTTCATTCCTTATTTTTTTTTCTGGGAATACTGTGTTATGCATAAGTATTTTTTAGCTTAATTCACTTCAGCTTGATGTTTGTGACTTGGCATCCCTCTTCTAATAGTGCTCTTACTTTTTATAGGTATGCCTTACACTTTCTTGTACAAAGTGGAATTTCCTACTGTATCATGATCATCATAGGAGTGGAGAACATGCACAAGTAAGTATTCACTTTGTTCACATGAAAATATATATTTCACTTGAATAGAACTGCATCAAAATAGAATTTTATTTATTACATTAAAAGTAATTATGAATTGTGATAATTTTTTAAAGAAGAATTGTCATAAATACAAAAATAAAATCATTGGTATGCATCATTCTTCTTTTTACTTAAAGCACCGTTGACATTTTGGGATGGATGATTCATTGACATTCAGTACTAACCTGTGCCTTCTAGGATGTTAGGCAGCATTCCTGGCTTTTACCACCTAGATGCCAGTAGCACCCCTTGAGCTGTGACGACCATAAATGTTTCCAGATATTTTCACATGTCTCTTGGAGAAGCGAAATTGCCTGCTGTGAAGAACCACTGGCTTAGTCTGTAGGTGATAGCAGTGGAGAGATGCAGTGAACTGAGTAGACTGGAGAGAGAGTTAGAAGGACCGGTAGGAAATAAGGTGTCAAGGATGACTTCCGTGTTTCCAGCTTGAGGAGTAGAGTAGATGGAAGCACTGTCTTCTGAGGTGGGGAGTCCTGAAAGTGGGGAGCATGTAGAAGGTGGCATAGGCATTTCAAGTGGGTATATATTCAGCCCCTAAACGTGTTTGGTATATAGTAAACACTCAATGAAGTTTTGCTGTGTAAGTGAATGATGACTTTAAGATATCTGTAAGACATATAAGAGGAGATTGGTAACTAAGACATGTAGTAGGAGCTGGGTAGCTGGGCTAGAGATGGAAATTTGGGAATACAGATGGATAAAATGTACTTGATTGAAAACCCAGGGGCAGAGTCTATTAGCAGATCCTGCTGGGTGTTCTGCAATGTCTGAGCTATGATGTATGACCTAGGTACCATATTTCTGAATTCTGAATCACATATGTCTGCAAGAACTTTGTATAAAGAATCAGACCTGTGGCTTTTATTAGTTTTTTTCTAAGTCTCATTCTATTTTGCATTTTCCGTATTTGGCACTGTCAGTCGCTACCTCTGTTGTAATGTGTACTGTCTCCTCCATTTCCATTGACATTGCCTGCACTGACTTTTCTTTTTCCTCTGTAAACCAACCCTTACAAGTTCCTGATGTTTTTATTTTTATAAGAAGAGAAAGGATATTTAGATGGTGTTTCAGATGAAGCAATTTTTATAGGATTATGACCCTATTTTTTAAAAAACTTGTACCTCTGATGGGTTCAAAGTGATGCTACAATTAATATCTGATGCAAAAGATATTAATCAGGTTTAGATTAGATTAGATTACTGAAAATAGGGGACTTACATACATTTTGGCCAAAGCAAAAGTAATATGCTTTTCAGTTGGAAGGTTAGTAAATTCATGTTTAGCAATGGGAAATTGTTTCTTTTTCTGAAAGGCAGTTGCAGTCGGTGAAGTTAACTTTGTAATACTTTAGACCTGTACTGCTGAGTATGACAGCCACTAGTGCACATGTGACTGTGTAAGTTTAAATTAATTAAAACTTAGAATTCAGTTCCTTGGTTACACTAGCCACATTTCTTTTTTTTTTTTTTCCTTTGAGACGGAGTCTCACTCTGTTGCCTAGGGTGAAGTGCAGCTCACTGCAACCTCTGCCTCCCGGGTTTAAGCGATTCTCCTGCCTCAGCCTCCGGAGTAGCTGGGATTACAGGCTCCCACCACCACGCCTGTACACTAGCCACATTTCAAGTGCTCACTAGCCACATGTGGCTAGTGGCTACATTGGACAGTGCAGATAGAGAACATTTCTGTCATTGCAGAAAATGATATTGGATAGTGCTGCTTTAGAGACATACAGTTGTATAAAATTAGTAATGTTACTCTTTTACAGTAAGTATTCAGGGAGATAGTGCTACTTGCTTATATGCTACTGATATTTAGGATAGAATCTTGGTGTTGTAATTTGACACTATTGATGTAGAAGATTAGGGCAGGTAAGTAAGGTTTGCCATGTGAGTAAATTGCTAGGATTGGCAGTAAATAGCAGGTGGATAATTAATTTGAAAAGTACATATTTTAATCTCTTTTTTAGCTCCCTTCTATTCAGCTTATACCCATATATATTTTTCTATGACTTTACTTTTTCACTTTTTTTCTTATTATCTGAATATGCTCATTTTTTTTTCTGCTTAGGCCTTTATAATAATTAAAAATGTTTAATGGGTCAGACCAAATACACTAGATGGGACTTAGAGCATTTTTATGTGTTGTCCAAAGTTATTGTTTATGTCGAATACAATCTGTTTGTTTCTTTCAGTCTAGTTTTACATGGTATATATTTCTTACATTACGTTTTAATATATTTCTTTGACTAGCCAGAGTTTAAGTCTTTAAAATGAAAGATTTGAATTTATCTGTGTACTGAACAGTTTTTAAATTCTTGCCTCTCTCTGTTTTATGATTTTTTTTGCTTTATGCTCTTTATGAGGTATTCATAATGTAGTTATTGTACTTGCTTTGATTGACCCACGTGTAAATTCAAATATATATATACACACACACACATGTATACACACTTTATTTTTGTAATTCCCTTTAATGCCTCTATGGTATGTTTTATTATTCTGATTCATATCTTACCTTTAAAATGTTATCTAGGCCAGGCACAGTGGCTCACGCCTGTAATCCCAGCTCTTAGGGAGGCCAAGGCAGGTGGATCACTTGAAGCCAGGAGTTTGAGACCAGCCTGGCCAACATGGGGAAACCCCATCTCTACTAAAAATACAAAAAATTAGCCAGGCGTGGTGGTGCATGCCTGTAATCCCAGCTACTCGGGAGCTTGAGGCAGGAGAATTGCTTGAACCGGGGAGGCGGAGGTTGCAGTGAGCCAAGATCGCACCACTGCACTCCAGCCTGTGCAACAGAGCGAGACTCCATCTCAAAAAAAGAGAGAGGAAAAAAAAGAAAATGGAAAAGTTCTGTCATTGCAGCATTGACTTTCTTCCTGTTCTCTGCCTTTTATGCCTTAGTATATCCGTTCCTTCTCTTTATATTCCCAGTACCTTGTTTTCTATCCCCCGTTAAGACGTAGAAGGGAAGAGGGGGCTGATTGTGTGCCCCATTGGCAGTTTTACTGCTTGAGAGGTGGTGGCCCCTCATTGTATAAGTAAGCAAGCAGAGACTGAGTTGTTAGGTAACTGAGGACGTGTAGCTGGAAAACAGTGGGTATGAACTGGTATCTGTTCTGTTCTGAGCATGCTGTTTTAAGTAATCTAATTTCATTTGACTGAAATTTATTTGCACGATCTGTCACAGGTAATTTGCCCTTTATCACTTTTTATGAAACGAAAAACTATTGCTGTTAAAGGAATTACAGATATCAGCAGACAGAGGAGAATCTTTCTTGAGATATGGGATGAGAAAGTTCAAGTGAGTTTCTTTCTAGTGATTTTGACATCATGTGATGTTTTAGAACCGTTTGCAGAGTTTATTCTGTGTGTGTATGTGCTTGAAGATTGCTCCAGGGAAAGGATTGGCCATGTGTCTTTTCTGACCTCAGATGACCTCCCTGCTCCCCAGGGATTGTGTGCTCTGGAAAGCAGCCACGGAAGCCCGTTTCCTAGGACCTGTGTGGTGTGGAGGGTCCGAGAACGTCTTTGGCCTGACTGTGTCTCTGACCCTGCAGCCTGGCATAAGCTTGCCTGCTTCACCATAAGTCCTGAAGCTATGCCTCAGCCCTGATCTCCTTGTCCTAGAACCTCCCTTCATCCCTGTCACAAGACATCTTTCCCCCGTGCTCCCACTGCGGTTGATGCCATCGGACTCTGTCCTGCCGTTTTCTTTGGCTCCAGCAATCCCAGGCCCTCTGACTCTAGGCCAGGATGAGTGAGCAGCAGGATTTACTCAAGTGCCACCTTGTCGGGGCTTCGGACCTCCATCGGGTTCAGCTGTGGAGTGTGTTCCCCAGGCACAGGACATGGATGTGGGGGACAAGTGGCTGTGCCAGAGTGCAAAGGGACAGAGTTGAGATTAAGTTCCTGAGATGCACCAATATCAGTCTCCATTTAGTAGAAAGATTCATTCACTGTTGTGTGGTAGACAGAATTCCAGTAAGGGTGATGAATCATGAAATCAGGCTGTTGGTATTGGTTCATTCATTCGTCTTATTTATCACACCCCTCTCCTGTGTCCTAGGCACTGTCCTCAGCTTCTCCTCCAAGGAGTTCAGTATGGCAGGAGGCATGTGAACACATTTTAATATTGTGTGCTAAGAGCTCTGGTGGGAGAGAGTTTACAAAAATAGCTAACCCAGCTAGGAGCAAGTAGCTCAGGGCAGAGATTCCTGGGGGGCATGGTATGTGAATTAGATACGAGGACTCTTAAGTAGCTGAAGAGGTAGCAAGGGCAGACTTTACTGCAGGGTGGACAGCACAGGCAGAGGCGTGGAGGCATGAAACATGGCAGCATGAAACACGGTGGCATGAAACACGGCATGAAATGTGGCGGCATGAGACAACGGTGGCATGAAACATGGCAGCATGAAACGTGACAGCATGAAACATGGTGGCATGAGACACGGCATGAAATGTGGTGGCATGAGACACAGTGGCATGAGACGGTGGCATGAAACGTGGCAGCATGAAACACGGTGGCATGAAACACGGCATGAAATGTGGCCTGAGACACAGCGGCATGAGATGGCGGCATGAAACGTGGCGGCATGAAACGTGGCAGCATAAAATGTGGCGGCATGAAACGTGGTGGAATGAAACACGGCAGCATGAAACACGGTGTGGAAGCACTGGCACCTTAATAAGTAGCCTGACTATAGGGGGTGGTGAGGTGTGAGTGTGTAATGTGTGTGTATGCTAGAGAGAGAGCGTGTGCCCAACCATATGAGCTTGGTGGGGGTGGGGTGACACTGTTACATCTCAAGGCATGCTTTCCCAGCCATTTCCCTTTGGCCAAAGTATATTGTTTGTGTAACAATCCTCTTGTCCTCTCAAATGAGAAACAAATGCATCATATGTGTTTCATGTACTAAGGGAACAGAGATACAGAGTGCCAAATTTCTCTTTTATCTAGCATTTATTTAGTATATGCAATTTAAAAATAGACACACGTGTGCCTTGCCTATAAAAAAATGTATGATCTGGCTGTGGAGACAATCCCTACATGTGTCTTGATGTGTGCCACAACCAGTACCATTTAAACCAGGCCCCAGGGTAGGTGCAATCTGTGTGCTTGGACTTCCCTCTCATAGAAATTCAGCACCGTGGTGGCAGTCGCATGCTCATAGCACTGTTTGACGTGATCTTGCTTGTTTACGTCTTGGTCTGTCTCTCCCTGGCGAGTGTGAGTGATAGGAGAGCAGGAGCATGTCCTGTCTGTCTCACACGCGGCTTCATCCCCAGGGCCTAGCAGAGTGCCTGGCGCATGGTATGATCTCAGTAAATACTTCTTAAAAGAGTGAGTTTAGGATACAGCCTGGTTTTGTCCACCCTCTACCGACTCCTTTGCCTTGTTCTCCATGACTGCGCTTCCTTCCTTCCTGGAAAATGTCTCTTTTCTGCAGGCGTGGTTCCCTGTGTTCCCTCTGTCTGGAGTGTTCCTCATCCTCCCTCTCCTCCTGACTCTCAGATTTCACCGTATTACATCCCTAGCGAGTCTTGCTGAGATGTCTCAATCTAGGACAAATGATTTGTTACACATCCTCTTGTGGAATTGTGTTCCTTTCCTTCAGAGAATCTATCTCAGTTCTTAATGATAGATGTTTGAGAGTTAACTTGAGGAGTGTGTTTCGTCCTCATTGACTGCAAATTCTGTGATGGCCATTATGCTGTGCCTGTTTTGTTTTCTGAATATAGTCAGTACCTAAGAGATTGTATGCTCTCAGTGAGTGTTCACTGGTGAATAGATGAGTGATGACATGACTTCCGCATCACAGCACACCTTGTCCAAGGAGCCCCCTCGAACTCCTGCTTCCCAGCCATGGCCCCTGCCTCATTTAGAACACTGGGATCCACCTCAGGGCCTGCCCCATGGGGGTCTCATGAAAGCCACTGTAGACTCCCTGTCTCCTTTTCTGTGCCCCTGGAGCAAGTCTCATCCCTGATTCTTGTACCTGCAGCAGCTCTTGCCAGACCGTACTCTCTCTGTTCCCAGGGAAGAAGCAGAGGGGTGGAAATGAGGGAAGGGCCGAACATAGGGAGCCTCTCCACTTAGGCTGTGGAAGAAGGGGAAGAGGAATGTGTTTCAGGCGTACCTAATTGGAATTAGGAAGATATTTTCCCTGGCGAAGGCAGCACAATGTGGCGTGTTCTGCGATATTCAAGAGTGGAAGCCTGTTAACCTTGAGAAGTTAAGCTGAAAATTTTCTTTATAACTTGGCAAGTAATTTTCTTTCTTTCTTTCTTTCTTTTTTTTTCTTTTCTTTTTCTTTTCTTTTTTTTTTTTTTTTTTTGAGACGGAGTCTCCCTCTGTAGCTCAGGCTGAGTGCGGTGGCACAATCTCGGCTCACTGCAACCTCTGTCTCCCGGGTTCTGGTTCAAGCAATTCTCCTGCCTCAGCCTCCCAAGTAGCTGCGATTACAGGCATGCACCACTATGCCCAGCTAATTTTTGTGTTTTTAGTAGAGACGGGGTTTCACCATATTGGCCAGGCTGGTCTTGAACTCCTGATCTTTGATCTGCCTGCCTTGGCCTCCCAGAGTGCTGGGATTATAGGCAAGTAATTTTCAACAAGATAAATGACCTAAAGAAAAATGTAAAAGATGTAAGTAAATGCAATAAATTATTGCATAGATCTAATGGGTTGCCTTGCTGTGTATGGAATTATATTGTAAAAGCTGTAGGAAAGTGATTTTAAACCTCCCATCATAAGGTTCAGCTGCCCACCAATTTGAATAAACATTTATTGTGGGCCTCAGTATTTCCAGGAACTCAAAGATAAAGGAGATGGGCTCCTTACCCTCTGAAATGAACAGTTGAGTTGGGAACATTACAATGTCATTCCTGCAACAAATGTTTGTTATGCTGATGCTGGGATCTAGTGATGAATAAAAAAGACAGACTCTGTCCCGTCATGAAGCTTACAGTCAAACTACCCACCACAGGCAATTACTGTTACAAAAGAAGGGTGTACCAAAGGCTGGGGGGCATCCTGGAGGGAACAGCTGTGGTGGAAAGTAGTAAAACTATGTATCAGCCACTGACCGTATTCAGTAGAATAAAAAAGTTACAAACGATTTACAGATATTTGGTGTTAAGTAGAATGATGCCAACATATACTTATTTTAAAAATTGGGAAATATATTTTCTTCAGAAGTCTACTTTATTGATGATAAAATTGAACAGCAGACAAGGACATGAAAAAAGATTGAATTTAAACTCTGATTCCCACTGGGTGGCCTTAGTGATTGATTTTTATGGGCACTGGTTGGAGTCAGATATATATGGGTTTGAATTCAAGCTCTGCTAAGTTTCCATTACCTTCAGAACCTTGGCTAAGTCACTTTACTTTTCCAGGCTTAAATTGGATTAAATCAGTAACTTAGATGAGGAGCAGGGTACCTGCATGCTTCATATTGTGGGCACATAGGTAAACTTTTCTTGGAATAATGGGTTCAGCTACCAAGAAGAGGTGTTCAAACTTCTAGATCAAATCTTTCAAAGGTCATTTTTACTTCTGAAGTATTTTGCTGTTTTTTTCCCTCTCTCCTGATTATGTGATGTTAAAGCTTGTTTTTAAGTATTCATACTGTCATATTTATCACCATGTCCTGCAGTTCATTTTCTTCTCCCCAGAGTGTGAACTCCTTGGCAGGGATATTTTACTCTTTTTAAAATCCTGCTGTTGAGCATGCAGATGATAGGAGCTCAGTAAGTGAAGTTATCTGTTGTATTCTGTTCTATCAAATGAGTATTTGTGAGTTCTTGCCTTTGACTCTTTTTAACATTTTTTTGGCTGGATTTTGGTTCCTGGTGTAAGAGATTTCCAAACAGATGCTTCTCACTCATGCTTTTGACCTTGAATGCCACTCTTGATGGGTTGACTTGCCGTAGTCTCCTGGTGTTCTCTGCTTCTCTTCCCTCTTGCTTTTCTTCCTCTTAGGCTCTCCACAGGTCAGCGGACATGGTAACTGGCAAAGTGGGGTGGAGTCGGGGCTGGAAGAGGCAGCTCGGGCTGCCATGGCCTCTATCTCAATCCACCATGACCCTGAAGAGCAGACTGTCCTGGGGTCCATGTTACCTGTCATCTGCCGGTACTCACAGCACTCCTACAGTGGCTTCCTAGATAGAAATGTCATCAGGAACTGCCTCAACTCTACTGGGAATGAATGATGATCTTGGAAGTGCCATCTAGCAGGCAGAAGGCTCAAGTCATTTGAAAATGTGTCCTCATGGAGTTAATTAGCAGTGGTTAGTGGCTTGGCAGGAACTCTTTGGGGAAAATACTAACTTCACTGAGGACAATCCCATGATCCCACAAGAGAGAATAAAATGTGGCAGCAAGGAAAATGGACTTTAGATTGTTTTCTTGTATGTTCTCTGTGGACCATATTTACCAGCCTTTCAGGGGTTTGGAATAAAGGTACAGGCCCTCTTGGTATTGCTGTGCTAACCCAAGATAAAAGTTGAATGTCATTTGGGAAACTGTGAGTAATTCTAAAATTGATTTTTTGATATTATCTTATCCTCCTAAGAGTTAATGTTTCAGTAATTACCATGTGTCAGTCACTGTGATAAGCACATGCTATTGCATCCTAGCAACAGCACTTACAGGTTTGTGTGTGATGCCTCTTTCACCAAGAAACAGAAGTTAGTAAATGGTGATCTAGGATTTGAATTAGTTGTGTCCCATTCCACCCAGGGCTTTTTGTTATTATTTCTAAGCAGTAACCATTATGATTATGACATTGTGTCATTAAAAAAAATACTCTAAATAGACTGAGGAGAGTTTGTGGAGCCAACAGGGTCTCTGAACAAAAGCAGGGGTTGTAGGTGTTGGTGATTGTTCATCAGAGCAAATATGCATATATCTCTATCCAAAAGAATGTGGTTGCCTTTTGGCATATTGTGCTTAGGATGTAAGGTTTTTAAAATATTCTCAGTTCCCTTAGGGAGTTACTTGGTAATAGGTAATAGGATGTCCAGGTCCTGTTGGATTTCTGAAAGATTTTCAGAACATAGCATTGTGCCATCAAATCCTGCACTCAGGAAAGGGTGTGATTGAGATTCCTTTGTATACTGGTAAGTTAATATAATGTCTCTTTTGGAGGTGTTACATTTGAATTAACTTTATTTCAAATTGTAAACTGAATCCCTGTTGAGGTTTCAGTCATTCTTGAGCAAGTAAGGGAAGCACTTTTTTTTTCTTGGATCGAGGGCTTTTATATGAAGTGGGGGGATTCTGTTAATTAGAGGGTTGATAAGACTAATACACGTTTTTGCTAAATAAAGGCATTACTTTGGACATTCTGAACCTATTAGAGTAAAAAGAAGTTCACGTAGATTGCTCATAGAATGGGGCTCTGCCAGTTCAGGACTGTCTAAAAGGTCAGTTTGATAGTTAATGCCCCAAATTAATCAATTAAAAAATCAAAAGATGTCATTCGTGGTGGCTCATGCCTGTAACCCCAAGTGCTTTGGGAGGCTGGGGTGGGAGGACTGCTTGAGGGCAGGAGTTCAAAACTAGCCTGTGCAACATAGTGAAACCCTGCCTCTATAAAAATTGTATAACTTAGCCAGATTTGGTGATATACCTGTAGTCACAGCTACTTGAGGAGGGCAGGAGGATTGCTGAACCCAAGAGTTCAAGCCAGCAGTGAACTGTGATTGTGCCACTGTACTCCAGCCTGGGCAACAGAGCAAGACCCTGTTTCTGCCCTCTCTTCCACCCAAAAAATTTTCAGGATAACATCCAATTTGATGATATATCTGATCTTGAAAATAATTATATATTACTGAAACATAACTAGGTAGTTGTAGTAACTTAAAATAAGAATATTACTCTTTATGATAAAGTACAAGGATGCATCTTTTGCCTTTGGGTACTTCTAGAAACTAATCTTACTTTTACACCAAGATCCTAATCCTTGCCAGAACACTGAAAGAAAAATTAAGAGCCCATGCAACCATCCATTAGAATGATAAAAAAAATTATTCAGCTGTTACAATACCATGCCATTTATATAAAAATTGTGGTTCATGTTGAAGTTTTGTGAGAAAAGAAGCATGAGTGAAAGGGGTATTTTTTCAACTTTTGGTTAGTAAATGAGGAAATTGTCTTAGACAGTTGGGACTTGCTAAATTATGAACTCTACCTGTGATGTGGTGTGTTGTTATGAGTGTATAGACTTGACATGTGCACGTTCTGTAGTCACTGTGTTAGAAAGAGTATGGTTTAATAGAAAGAGCCTTTGGCCTTTGACTTTGGAATTTGAATGATGGAGTGATTTCTATGTGCCACTTTGCTGAGTGTTTTTTTTTTTTTCTCCTAAATACTGTATCCCATTTAACTGTTGAAACAATCCCGTGTAGGAAGTGTTACTGTCTACTTGTACAGATGGGGACACTGAGGTTCCAGAAGATTAAATCAAGGTCACAAAACCAGTAACTGGCAGCTCTAGAAGTCTGTGAAATTCATTAGTCTTGTTGAGGTTTGTTAGATTGCTTTATTTAGTGAGATTCTTGTAAAGAATTTTTTATTTAAGTTGGAGAAACAAAGATATTTTTACTTGCTTACCTGCTAGCATAAAAATCTTGGTTTACTTTTTCAAAGAGTAGCAGGCACCATTGAGACATTGTATTGCATTGTATTGTGACTGGCTTCTTCTCTGTCTTCTTCATCAGGATGTAGTATTGGGAGTCTTTAAAAATATTTTAACCCTTAAATAAATATCTGAGTATAATAGTGATTTTATTTTCTAGAATCTCTCCCTTTATTTAAAATTGTTCAACCTTCTGTAAGTGCTTTGCTTGCAGTTGGTATTTATTAAAATACTAATAAACATAGACTTTAAAATAGTATTTTAATATCAACTGACTAAAAATATAACTTTAGAATCTTTTAGATAAATTAACTGTGTAGAGAAAAAATGACTTCCTCCTACTTGTTGCTAGCTTATTAAATAGTCCTTATTTAGAGTAGTTATGGAAAAGACAGGTAAGGGTAACAGAGGCAATAGCTAAGAACCTGAAAAACTGCCAGGCATTTTAGTGAAAGGATATTAGAACAATTGAGCGTGGCATTTATTCCTCATGGCGAAAATTGAACATTTATGGTACAGGTACAAAAACAGACACATAGACCAGTGGATCAGAATAGAGATCTCAGAAATAATACCACACATCTACAACCATCTGATCTTCAACAGACTGACAAAAGCAAGCAACGGGGAAAGGATTCCCTATTTAATAAATGGTGCTTGAAAAACAGGCTAGCCATGTGCAAAAAATTGAATCTGGATCCCTTCCTTACACCTTATACAAAAATTAACTGAAGATGGATTAAAGACTTAAATGTAAAACCCAAAACTATAGAAACCCTAGAAGAAAATCTAGGCAGTACCATTAAGGACATAGGCATGGGCAAAGATTTCATGACAAAAACATCAAAAGCAATTGCAACAAAAGCAAAAATTGACAAATGGGATATAATTAAACTAAAGAACTTCTGCACAGCAAAAGAAACTCATCAGAGTGAACAGTCCACCTACAGAATGGGAGTAAATTTTTGCAATCTAACCATCTGACAAAGGTGTAATATCCGGAATCTACAAGGAACTTAAACAAATTTACAAGAAAAAAACAAAGCCATCAAAAAGTGGGCAAAGGACATGAACCTCCTGAGGTTCTTGAGACCTCCCCAGAAGCCAAGCAGATGTCAGCACCATGCTTCCTGTACTGACACTTCTCAAAAGAAGACATTTATGTGACCAACAAACATATTAAAAAAAGCTCAACATCACTGATCATTAGAGAAATGCAAATCAAAACCAAAATGAGATACCATCTCACACCAGTCAGAATGGCGATTATTAAAAAGTCAGAAACAACATGCTGGTGAGGCTGTGGAGAAATAATAATGCTTTTACACTGTTAATGGGAATGTAAATTAGTCAACCATTGTGGAAGACAGTGTGGCGATTCCTCAAAGATCTAGAACCAGAAATACCATTTGACCCAGCAATCCTGTAATGCCAGAGGTTCTTGCCTTAGCCACGCCAAAGATTTGGTGTGGCGGCAGCCCACGGTGAAAGAGAGACATGGAGCAGACCGAGAGAAAAAAAAGCTGCAGGCTTTATTGAGCAGAGTGACAGTACAAAGCTTCCACAGCATGGAAGGGGTCCCGAGCAGGTAGCCAGTGTTAGATTTTGTTTTTTTTTATACTTTAAGTTTTAGGGTACATGTGCACAACGTGCAGGTTTGTTACATATGTATACCTGTGCCATGCTGGTGTGCTGCACCCATTAACTCGTCATTTAGCATTAGGTATCTCTCCTAATGCCATCCCTCCCCCCTCCCCCCACCCCACAACAGTCCCCGGTGTGTGATGTTCCCCTTCCTGTGTCCAAACCGTTGTGGAAGTCAGTGTGGCGATTCCTCAGGGATCTAGAATTAGAAATTCCATTTGACCCAGCCGTCCCATTACTGGGTATATACCCAAAGGATTATAAATCATGCTGCTATAAAGACACATGCACACGTATGTTTATTGTGGCACTATTCACAATAGCAAAGACTTGGAACCAACCCAAATGTCCAACAATGATAGACTGGATTAAGAAAATGTGGCACATATACACCATGGAATACTATGCAGCCATAAAAAAGATGAGTTCATGTCCTTTGTAGGAACATGGATGAAGCTGGAAACCATCATTCTCAGCAAACTATCGCAAGGACAAAAAACCAAACACCGCATGTTCTCACTCATAGGTGGGAATTGAACAATGAGAACAGTGTTAGATTTTTTGATCACCGTTTAAACTCTTTAAGGTGGGAAGTACGTGCAGCAGGAAGATGTTACCAGAGTGAGAAACAAAGACAATTAACATGTCTCAGATCTTGAGGAAAACTGGAATTGTAACTTAAGTTTTATCTACTTTATAACCTTGCAGCGGCATGGCAAAGGAGACAGGATCTCACAAGATTTTACAAATTGTGTTTACAAGGAATTGGAACTGGGACATAGATAAGGTCTGCTGGTCACAGAAAAATGGGCTTTTAACATTCCTTTTAGTTTCAGGGGAGGGGAAGGGAGAGAGGACACAGGGAAGCTTACAACAAAATTTTCGCTGTTTATAGCTTTCTTGGGGAAGAAAACACATGCACAAATTCAGATGTTAGGAATATTTTAAGCATATGTGTTCAATATTATTCATCCAGGACCAAGTCCTGATGCAGGAAATGAGTGAGTTTCACAGCGTTCTGAGCCCCTACTTGACCCAGGAAGCCCAGCTGGAACCTCCTCTCAAATAACCATTTGACCCAGCAGTCCCATTACTAGATATATACCCAAAGGAATGTAAATCATTCTGTTATAATGATACATGCATGCATATGTTTGATGCCTCCTATAAAATGTTAGGGCCAGCCAGGTGCGGTGGCTCACGCCTGTAATCCTAACACTTTGAGAGGCCAGCGCAGGCAGATCGCTTGAGCTCAAGAGTTGAAGACCAGCCTGGGCCACATGGCAAAACCCGGCCTTTACAAAAAATACAAAAGATTAGCTGGGCATAGTGGTGTATGCCTGCAGTCCCAGCTACTTGGGGGGCTGAGGCCGGAGAATTGCTTGAGCCTAGGAGGTCGAGGCTGCAGTAAGCTGAGATCGTGCCACTGCACTTCAGCCTGGATGACAAAGTGAGACCCTTTCTCAAATGAATGAATGAATGAATGAATGAATGAATGAATGAACAAATAAATAAAATGTAAGAGCCATGGGTAAATCAGTGGTATTTCTTACCCCCAATGCATGTAACAGAACATACTTTAATTAGTAATAGTACTTTCTATAGCAGTAATTTTTACCTCTTTGAAGTAAAGGGTTATACCAGATTTTGGGGGACTGGAACAGTGATTCTGATATGTTATTATACTCTTTTATCCCCACCTGGCATACAAAAAAGGTACCAGCCAATTTAGAGATCTATTTTTGTGTCTGCTGACATAAGTAGAAAATTTCCCACCTCCCCACTACCTTTTCCATTTACCGCTCTTTCAGTTTGCGGGCTTATCTGGCTGTTCTGTTCTTGGTGTCTCTCTAAATTGCTGTCATTTACCATCCTCTGGATCAGTCATTTGCAAAATCTGATCCAGAGATCTCTGAGAGTCCCTGAGATCTTTTTAGGAGGGAGGTGGTATAGTCAAAACTATTTTCATAGTAATAACACTTAGACATTATTTGCCTTTTTCACTTTCATTCTCTCAAGAGCATACGGGGTCTTTCCAGAGTCTATATGATATGTGATTTGCAGTAGAAACATTTGAGGATCTGTTGGTCTACTATTAAGTCAGACATTCAGTAGAGTTGTAAAAATATAGGACAGTACCACTCTTCTCACTAATTTTTTTTTTGTTTTGGAAATATATTTTTCATAAAAATTTTATTATAATTATTCTTGAATTAACAGATTTTTTAAAATTCTCAGTTTTAATTCGTAATATGGTATATATCAATGGCTATTATTTATGTAAGTTATGTTTCTTTGGTTTCCTCAATAATTTTTAAGGGTAAAAAGGGTCCCGAGACCAAAAAATTTAAGAACAGCTGCTCTAGAATTCATTCATGCCTCTTGGGTAGCTGGCTCTGTAGTCTTCCCCAGTCATCTGGATGGCAGACGTCCTACCAGCCTCTGTGCCAGGGGTCACCTTAGCCCCTCGTTAGCGTCACATGTTTCTGCACCCTCACTTTTAACTCTCTTGTCTAGTGCTGCTCTATCTGAAATCTGCAGCTCCTGGAACTGGCTGAGACCTCTCTTCTGGAGTCAGGCTTGCTTACTGATATGGTTTGGATCTGTGTCCCCTCCCAAATCTCATGTTGAAATGTAACCCCCAGTGTTGGAGGTGGGGCCTGGTGGGAGATGATTGGATCGGGGGCAGGTTCTCATGAATGGTTTAGCGCCGTCCCTTTGATACTGTTCTCACAGTCGTGAGTGAATTCTTGTGAGATCTGGTCATTTAAAGGTGTGTGGCACCTCCCACCGCTTTCTTACTCCTGCTCTGGCCATGTGATGTGGCTGCTCCCCCTTCACCTTCTGCCATGATTATAAGCTTCCCGAGACCTCCCCAGAAGCCAAGCGTATGTCAGTACCATGCTCCCTGTACAGGCTGCAGAACTGTGAGCCAATTAACCCTCTTTTCTTTGTAAATTACTCAGAGATATTTCTTTGTAGCAGCATGAGAAAAGCCTGATCACACAGTCTCACTCCCACAGGACCACCCACATTTGGATGTCTGCCTGACACTGATAGGTGACAGACTCGAGAGTTGAGGGCCTAGGAAGTGTGCTAGAGGTGATGCTCCTCCTCCTTCCCCTTCCCCAGTTCTCCTGGCTGTGCCTTCCTGCCCTGCCCTTCCTGGAACACCAGCTCTACCCCTCCTGCCTGTGCCCTTATCTCCCTTGCCTCATCGGCACTCCATGCACCACTGGGTACTTTCCCAGCCTCGGTTGGACACAGCTCTCTATTGTACTTGGGCTGCCCGGTGTTTGAGAGAAACGCAACTCGACGGAGCTACTGCAGTTATGATTTCTTACCTCACTTAAGTCTTCAGTTTTCTTGAAAATTGTTTTAATTGATGGGTTTCGGCTTCCATTCTATTCTTTTCAAAGATTAATCTAAATCTTAGTTGCCTTATTAAATTCATTCACTTTATCTCTGTCCCCACACTTAGCAGACAATATGAATGTATAATGAAAAGTTTTAAAATGAAGATAATTCTTGGGAGATAATCCTTAATGATATAGGGTAAAGTGTTTAAGAAGTAACAGAAAGGAAGAAAAAGAAGGCAGAGAAATGGCCATTGGAAGAAGGAGATGGGGGTTGATGGTCTGCAGGTGTCCCTGGGCAGAGAATGTTCCTGCCCCGTGTCTCGCCCTGCTCATTTCTGCTCCCACCCCAGCATACCTAACACCACACTCATCTTGGCCTCAGATCTCTTCCTTGCTTATGCTTTCTCTCTCTAAGGTGCCCAGGTAACTGGAATAAATCATCCCTTCTTCCTTCTCACCTCCACATCTAGCCATCACTAAGACCTGTCTGTGCTTTGGTTTCCTATTGAGTTGTTTTGAGGACTTGAGATTTGTAAAGCATTTAGAGCAGCCCGGGGCATGTAGTAAGCACTAAGTGGGTGGTGGTGACCCTTAGCTCTTGTTACCCCCCAACCCATGTCAAATCCACTGTTGGTCTTCAGCTCTACCCATTTCTGCTGTTTACCATCTGGTACCTGCATCTCACATTACTCTGCCAGCCAGTCCCTCTGGCCTCTGGTCTGTGCTGTGCTTTGCTGCCCAGATGATTTTTACAGTATCTGTCTGACCATGCCTCTTTTCTGCTTCAGACTCTGTTAGCTTGGCAGCTTCGCAGCACCCGTTGTGACTGCCCCTGCCTTCCTTTCCACTCTCAGTTCACAGCACTCGCTCCTCGACTGAGCCAGGCCCGGCCATAATGAACCGTTTGTAGTAGTGCACACATGCTCTACTGTTTAACACTTGGTTCCTTTGTATTTGCAGGGAGCCCCCTGCCCCCAACATGAATTCTGGCTGGTCTTTCAGAGCCTTGTTGACCTGTGACCTCTGTGGCGAGGCCTTTTCCCCCTTTTCTTAATAAATCAGCCTTGTACTCTATGTTGAGTTTTCTACCTAGAGTCGTACTTTACTTTGTACATCTTGTATACTTCACATATTGCACTGTATTACTTATACTTGTATTCAGGTGGTTTAACACTTCAAGTGGTCAGTGTGTGGTGCTGTGTGCCTGTAGTCCCAGCTATGTAGAAGGCTGAGGTAGGGGAATCGCTTGAGCCCAGGAGGTCAAGGCTTCAGTGAGCCATGATCACACCACTGTACTCCAGCCTGGGTGACAAGACAGATTGAGACTCTGTCTCAAATCAGACAAAACAAAACAAACAAACAAACAAAGAACAAAAGAAACCTGTTGCTAAGACCCAGACTTCAGAGCCACACTGCCTTCTCACCCTTGCTCTCCTGCCCAGTAGCTTTGTCACATTATCCAAGTTACTTACCCTCTCTACACTCCTCTTTTGTAAATTGGAGTAATAACACTTACTTCGTAAGATTGTAGTGAAGATTAAATGAAATACTGTATTTCATTAAATATGAGATGTCATTGATGGTAAGATGTACCGTTATTTTATGTACCACTAAAAAGGTTTACATGCCATCAGTTATGAAGAGGATTCTTGATTTCAGAGATGTTAAAATGTGAAAACACACATGCATCATATTCAGTGGAGTGGCCACGTGTGAATGAGCCAGTACACATTTGCCTTTGCCTCCTGTACTGGACTTCAAACTCAGGATGGGGACTGTGAGTCTTGTTCAATATTGTGTCCTCAGAACCCTGCCAGACAATTTTAGATGATTAACATGTATATTCTAACAGAACTGATAACAGACTCTGCTCACATGCTAACCGTTTTCTCCTGTCTGCAGTCAAAGAGCAGACTAGAGAGTGTACCTTTTCTTCTAGGGCCTCATTTCTAAGAGGCTATGACAGCTCATCTTTTGCTCAACCATGGTGGTGTCTTCATCCTTTTCCCACTTACTGGTTCAGTTGTCTTATGAACCAAAATATGGGATGTAAAGAACTGTAACCCACATAGTCTTGTTGCCCTTGCTTTTAAGTGCTTTTCAGAATTATTTGAATTACTTTTTTTCTTTTCCTACTTTCCACCTAAAGGTTTTTTCTCCCAAAGTCGAATAGAAGAATGATGAGTGATCTTGTGTGCAGGCAGGTGGGGAGATCTGGACAGTAGCACCCTTTATTAAAATATGGCCCCTGAGGAACAGTCAGTGATAGGTTCTAATCTTGGTGTAAAAACCAAGATCTTGGCATTGGGGTGTGAGAGGGGTGATATGAAGTCTTTTCCAAACATTTTTTTTCAAAGTCCTGGTTTTATTAGTGACTAGAATAGGCTGAAATCTGGATGTGTTTTTGTGGATGATCATCTTTCTCAGTTGCTCCACGATTCTGCCATTACATTGGTAGTTTTTCATGTTATTAAAAAGCTTTGAATGTTTTTTTATATGTACTTATTGAGATACTAGGAGAGCTTGAATTGGGGACTGTTAATCAGGTGATATGCTGAAGGTCTTAAATCTTCATGTAAACTACAATATTATTCGTTGTATTTTGAAAGATAAAATAATCTTGCTTAATACCAATAGCCAAAAACCAATTTATTTGTGTATTTTAGCTAACTTTGAAATTTTCTTAGTGAAGAACAATTAAGTGACTTCATTATCTTACTGAGTCAGTTGTGGGAACAAAAGTTAGATTTTGTTAAAAAAAAAAAAAAAGCAGCTGAACCATAGCTGGGTGGGGGTTTGGTTCATTTTTGTCATCTGTAAACAAAAGTGAGAACAGGAAAGAATCAAGTGACTTCATGTATCAGTGTCATTATTTGTGTCTGGCATAGTGAATACATCGAAGCTCCTTTCCTCTTTGTTTATGAATAGGGCTTTGCAAAAGAACAAACAAAATCCCTCACGATTTTTATTTTATCTGTAACTCATTCAGATCCCTTTGTTCCAACTAAGAGAACACCTGGTCAGGAGAGACAGGGCAGATCACCAAGCAAGCCCACACTTCGTAGAACAGCAGAGTTTTTATTGAGGATCATAAGATTCTGTGCAGGTCTTTAGGAAGGAAGGAAGTGGGTGTTCTGGTTACCAGACACCAGAATCTGGTGTCTCTGTATTCAAGGAAAAGCCTAGTGAGGCTATTAATCAGTGAAATGGGATCCTAGAGGAATGGTGAATTTGCCCTACAGAGGACCCCAAGTGTTCTAAAGTGAGTGGGAAGAAAAGGAGGGACCTCTGAATCTTGTGTGAAGATGGCATGGCTGTCTTGTGCTGATAAAGCAGGTGGTTTAAAAAAATTCTTCTATTCAAGTAGCAAATATAGAGACGATTTCTCATTTAAAGAACTCAAGTTTACTCTTCTTAGTGAGGGTTGGCTGTCTGTTCTTACTACCAGTACTTTACTAAGCATAGATGTTTCTGGTTTTCTGGATCTGTGTTGGAACCCTAGTTTACCTCCCACAGAAATAATGTTTCCTTGCTGATCTACAAAAAAACCCATTTTAATTGATGCACCTGCCAGCTATTGAATAGTGAAGGGGTCAGTGAATGTTCTTCCCCCTGAAACGGCTGTACAACTGGATGAACTTGTCAGAAACACTTTTGGGCTCTGGAAATTGACCAAAAGCAAGCAACAATTTGAGAAATGTTAATTCATAAAAAACTGCTGACTTTTAGATCAAAAACAGTGGGAATTGATGGTATTCTTGCCTGGAGTTACCCTGTTCCCCATCCCTTGGCAAAGTAATGCTACCAGGGTGTCAGCCTGATGGGTTCTTCTTGACTACTGCCCAGAAAAACCAATGCACTGAGAACAGCAGGTATTGTAGCAAAGAAAGAGTTTAATAATTGCAGGGCCAGCCAAGCAGAGGGACAGAGGAGGTATTTCACAAATCTGCCTCTCTGAGAATTCAAATTAAGGGTGCTCCGGTTGGCAGGGGCCTGGAGAACTGTAATGATTGACTGGGGATGAACTCATAGGGGTGTCTAAAACTGTTTTTGCATAGCTGAGTCAGTTCCTGGGAGGAGGTCTCAGGTGGTGTCTCCTGATCTGCCAAAGTGCTACTCTGAAAAATATCTCAAAGACCAGTTCTTTAGGTTTCACAATAGTAATGTTTTCTGTAGGAGTAGTTGAGAAAGTTATAAATCTTGCAACCCCTGGTTACATGACTCTGAAACAGTAAGCAATTTAGAGAAAAGCAAGCTAAGCAATGGCAGGTCATGGTTTAGGTGTGCCTATTCTTTAGCAAAGATGTAGTCCCTACCATAAGTCTAACCTTGTGACCTTTTGTTAGTCTTTACCAATATGGTTTCAACTTTTGAACAAGGGCAGGATCAGTTCAAGAAAGGACTATTATAACCCCTGCACAAGAATGAGCAAAAGCAGTTTAGCCTGATAGAAGCAAGCTTGAGTCAGTTATGTCAGATCTCCCTTACCACTATAATTTTTGCAAAGGCAGTTTCAAGGGCAAGGCTGGCCATGAAAACCAGCTGACTTGATTTGGAGTGAAAGGCAGAGAACCCCATGCAGTAGCTAACAGAGAATGCCTCCAGCTCTCCTAGCCTGAGGATGTGGTCCATCATATAACAGGGAGATCTTGGAAGTGAGAGAGCCATCAAGGGACTTGATAAGATCTCCACACACCCCTGGCTGATGGAGGCTGCATCTCAGCACAGAGGAGGCCTGAGAGGACCTGGGGGAAAGTAAGAGCTGGGGTTGACTGGAAAAAGGATGGAACTTTGAACAGCTCTCTTACTGGCTTCGGGTGTTTGAGCATAAGCTCCGACTAATCATTGACTGACCACTCAGATATGCAGACACGGGGACAACCTCTGGAGTGAGGCTAAAAAGCAACACTGAGGCTTTAAAAAACTGAGTAGAGACATCAGCTGCTGCATCAGCTCTCACCATGAGTGAGAAAGATTCAGTGGATTAACTTCAGGCTAAGAAACAAAAACAGCACAGCAGTGCTCAAGAAAAAGATGATTAAAATCCAGAGTTACTGTCATGTATTATCTAACATGTCCAGTTTAAAAAATTAAGAGAAACGAGGAAAACAGCAGTCAATTGAAACTGCCTCTAAACGGACCCACATGTTGGGTTTACCAGACAAAACAACTATTATAAATACATTTAAAGAATTAAGATAAGGAGGATCATGATTTAACAAATAGGGAATGTAAATAAAGAAATGGAAACTTTGAAAAAGAAACAAATGAAGGTCCTAGAGCTGAAAAGTAACTGAAATGAAAAATTCATGATAAGTGCTACACAGTGATTTGCAATGGCCAAAGCATCAGTGAACTTAAGGGTATATCAAAGGTATTAGCCAATCTGAAGAAAAAAGGTATAAAAAATATTGAAGAAAAATAAACAGAGCTTCAGAGACCTAAGGGATAATATCCCATGCATCAACAACGTTTAACGCGAGTTCCAAAAGAGAGGGGAGAGAGAAAGGGACAGAAAAAGCTTTTGAGGAAGTGATGGCCATTGATATCCCAAATTTGATGTAAAACATTAATCTGTGGATCCAAGAAGCTCAACAGACCTCAAGTAGGATAAACACAAACAGATCTTCACTAAGTCCTACTGCTGAAAGACAAAGACGAGGAGAACATCTTGAAAGCAGTGAGAGAAAAACAACTCATTATGGAGAGAGCAATGATAAAATTCTTATCAGAACAGTGGAGGCCAGAAGGAAATAGAGTGACATATTCAAAATGCTGAAGGAAAAATTTGCAACTACAAGTTCTAGATCCAGCAAAATTATCCTTCAAGAATGAAGGTTTAGTAAAGACATTCCCAGATAAACAAAGACTTGCTTTATAAGAAATTCCAAAGGAAGTCCTTAAGGTCGAAAGGAAGTCCATAGGAAGGAATGAGAAGCTCCAGAAATGGTAAATAGGTGGGTAAATATGGAAGTCTATATACATGTCTCTTTTCTTAATTTTTAAAGGACCTAAGAGTGTTTAAAGCAATAATTATAATACTGTATTATTTGGTATTGTAAAATATGTAGATGCCATATATATGATAGTAATAGCTCAAAGGATGACAGAGAAAATGAAGCTGAATTGGAGCAAGCTGGCCAAATTTTATCAGAATTAAGTCAGTATTAATCTGAAATAGATTGTGATGAAATGAGACACATAGTAATTCCTAGAGCAATCACTAAATAAATAAAAAGTATACATTGAAAGAATCAACAGAGGAATTAAAATAGTTCACTACCAAATATTTGTTTAATACAAAAGAAGGCACTAAAGGAGGAACAAAAAAGGCCTGAGACATAGCTAAAACAAATAGCAAAATGGCAGGTTAAATCTGACCGTATAAATACTTACAGTAAATGCCAGTGAAAAGTCAGAAGTTGTCAGACTGGATTAAAAAAAATCTAACTATATGTTGTCTACCAGTAAAACACATTAAAGACATGAGTAGGCTGAAGGTAAAAGAGTGGAAAAGATGTAAGCCATGCAAACAGAAACCAGATGAGTGTTGGAATAGCCACAGAAAAAGACTGAGGACTAATAAATGAGGCTGGCAAGGTTGCAGTTTATAAGACCAGTGTACAAAATCAGTTATATTTCTATATACTACAAATTGAGAATCCAGAAATGCAGGTATAAAAACAATTCCATTCACAGCAGCATCAAAAAGAATAAAATACTTAGAAATAAATCTAATAAAAGAATTGCAGTTGCACTTGAAAACTGTAAAACATTCCTGAGAGAAGATTAAATGGAGAAGTATTTTATATTTATGAGTTGGAAGACTTTACATTGTTAAGATGGCATTTCTTCACAAATTCATCTATAGATTTAATGCAATTCCTAACAGAAACACTGGCAGTTTTTTTTTTTGGTAGAAATTGATAAGCTTTTCCTAAAAGTTATATGGAAATACTAAGGACCTTAAGTAACCAAGATAATTTTGAAAAAGTATAACAGAGTTTGAAGATTTACACTCCTGTGTTTCAAAACTCATGCTACTGTGATCAAGACACTGTGCTATTGGCATAAGGATAGACATATAAATCATTGCAACAAAATTGAGAGTTCAGAAATAAACCTTTATGGTCAGTTGATTTTTGACAAAAGTGCCAAGGCAGTTGGGAAAGGATAGTTTTTTCAATACACAGTGCTGGGACAATCAGGTTTCTATATGCACAGAAATGAACCTGACCCTTACCTCACATCATACATAAAAATCAACTCAAAATGCCTCTTAGTCCTCAATGTAGCAGCTAAACCTATAAAACTTCAGAAGACAACACAGGAGAAATTCTCTGTGACTTGTGATTGGGCAAAGACTTCTTAGATATGACAACCAAATAATTGCCCATAAAGAAAAAAATTGTCTGAGTGTGATAGCACACGCCTGTAACCCCAGCACTTTGGGAGGCCGAGGGAAGAGGATTGCTTGAGGCCAGGAGTTTGAGACCAGCCTGGGCAACATAGTGAGACACCATCTTTTAAAAAAAGTTGTTTATAAGTAGAAAAGTACCCCAGTGTGGTGGCGCACACCTGTAGTCCTAGCTGCTTGGGAGGCTAAGGCAGGGAGATCACTTGAACCCAGGAGTCCAAGGTACATTGAGTTATGATTGTACCACTGTGCTCCAGCCTGGGAAACAGCGAGAACCTGTCTCAAAACAAAAAATTAAAAATGAATCATAATAAAATAAAAAAATTGAATACTCGTATTTCAGAATTTAAAACTTTTACTATTCAAAAGACACCTTTAAGGAAATGAAGAGATAAGCCACAGGAGAAAAATACTTGCAAAACATGTGTCTGATACAGGACTTGGATCCAGAAGATGTACAGAACTCGTACAATCAATACTAAGAAGACAACCCAATTTAAAGATGGACAGAATTGCTAGTTACACATTTCATGGCCAATATGCAAATTAAAAGATGCTCAAGATCACTAGCCATTAGCGAATTGCAAATTAAAACTACAATAAAATTAAAACTATTTTATATAATAACAACTATATATCCACTAGAATGGATGTAATTTAAAAGACTGACAATACCCAGCATTAGTGAGGATATGAAGAAACTAGAATCTTCATACGTTGCTTACAGGAACATAAAAATTGTAGTCACTTTGGAAAACATTTTGGTTGAAAGTTAAACATTAACTTACCATATGCCCTGAAAATTCTGTTGTTAGGTTTCTACCCAGGGTGAAAACGTATGTCCACATAGAGTAGCACTATTCATAATAGCTAAAAGCTTCAAACAGCCCAAATATTCACCGGCTGGTGAAAGGATAAACGAAATGTGGCATGTCCATACAATGGAATACCATTCGGCAGTTTACAAAGGAACAAACTGCTGATATATGCTGCAACATGGAGGAACCTCAAGAGCACGGTAAGTGGAAGAAGCCAGATACAAAAGACTACATATTGTTTTATTTTATTTACATGAGACTCCCAGAAAAGACAGATCTAGAGACAGAAAATGATCGGTGGTTGCCTAGGGTTGAGGGTACAATTAGGGATTACTGCAAGTAACCACAAGGGAACTCTTGGGGCAGCGGTCTTGCAGTGATGGTCACACAACTCTACACATTTACTAAAAATTGTTGAATTATACACTTACAATAAGTAAATTTCATGGTGTGTGAATTATACCTCAATAAAGCTGTTTAATAAAAAGGCTATTTGAGCGAGGCTTGCAAGCCTTTTAGGCCTGGAGCAGTAACAGCTCCTTAATTCACTGTTCCTTCTGCCTTTCTGATAGGAACTATAATTCAGGTTAAACAAATATGGGCACACCTGTTCTATTGCACTCCATTTTATTTTATTGCACTCCATTTATTTATTGCACCATAGATACTGCCTTTTTTCTTTTTATTAAACAAACAGAAAGTTTGTGGCATCCCTGCACCCAGCAAATCCATCAGTGCTGGTTTCCAGTAACATGTGTTCACTTAGTGTCTCTGTGTTACATTTGATAATTCTGACACTTCAGACTTTATTATCTCTGTTATGGTGATCTGAGATCAGTGATCTTTGATGTTACCATTGTAATTGTTTAGAGGCACTGCACACTGTGCCCATTTCCTCTTGAAAATGAATGTAAATGGAGAAAAGATGCAAACTGAACCCTGGGACCCCAGGATAAGAAGGAATCTGCAAAGGGCTTGTGCAAAAATTGTTTGTTTCCAAATAATTTCTTAATCAGTTTTATTTAAGTACGACTTATCTAAAATAAAATAAAGCTGCCTGTTCCATGAGCTTGGACAAACATGTAGACTGGTGTGACTTCCACCCTAAATCTAGATATAGCACATTTCACTTGTCCCTAAAAGTTCCTTTGTGATCCTTTGCAATCAGTCCATCCTGTCTCCTGCAACCAATGATCTGCTTTCTGTCACCATAGATCAATTTAGCCTGCTCTAGAATTTCATAGCAACGGAATCATACATTATGTAATCTTTTGTGTCTGGCATTTTTTACTCAGCTTAATGTTTAAAAAACTCATCCCTGTTGTTGTGTTTCACAGTTTGTTCCTTTTTATTCCATTGTATTAATATATCTCAATTTATGTATCCTTTCACCTATTAATGGACATTTGAGTTGTTTAAAAATTCAAAAATGGGCTATTAGGAGTAAAACTTCTGAAACATTCTTCAAGTATTTTTGTTGATACATATTTTCATTTCTCTTGTGTAAATACCTAGGAGAGGAATTGCTGGAGCATCGAATAAAAATATTTTAATCCAGTAAGAAATTGCCAAACTTCCCAAAGTGATTGTAGCATTCTACACTCCCACTGGCAGTGTATGCGAGCGCCAGTTCCTTTCTGTTCCCACCAGCAGTTGGTGTTCTCAGCCTTTTCCATGGTGCTCATTCTGACAGATATGGTGATATTTCATTATGATTTTAATTTAGATTTCTCTGATGATTAATGATGTCAAACATTTTTTTCCTGTACTGTTTGACTAATTGTGTATCTTCTTTTGGGACATTTTGTTCATATCTGTTGACTGTTGGGTTTAATTTTTTTTTATAATTCATTATTTCTATGTTTTGGATATAAGTCCTTTGTCAGATAGATAAATTATGAAAATTTTTTTCAACCTATGTTTGCCTTTTCCTTTCCTTAGTGGTGAATTTTGAAGAGCAGAACTTTTAAATTTTGATGAAGTGAATTTAATTTTTTAGTTTGGAGCTTTTTATCTTTTACTAAGAAACCTGTGCCTGCCCTTGGTTTATGAATAATTTCTCCTAGAAGTTTTACAGTTCTAGTTTTTATGCCTAGATCAATGATCCATATTGAGTTAATTTTTGTGTATGTTAAGAGACAAGGGTTGAAATTTATTTTTTCTATATGTATATTCATTTGTCCCAGCACTATTTGTTGCAAATACTTTTTCCTTTTGAATTGCAATTCACCATCTATGTATGGCTTTATTTCTGTACTCTTTATTCTGTTCATTGATCTATGTGTCTGACCTTAGGCCAGTGTCATACTGTCTTGGTTACCGAAGCTTCATACTTAGTCTTGAAATCAGGTAATGTAATTCCCCTAACTTTTCAATAAGTGCATAAAACACTATAAAACAAAAGGTACATAGTAAACAGTCTTGGAAAATATAAACAGAGGGGAAGGCAGAATAGAGATAAAAAAGTTAGTATTCAAATGTGCAAGCCTTTTATGCAGTTGGGCTACAACCAAAGCCGTCTAAGCCTGAGAACCTTGGAGTAAACCGTTTAATTTGATTTCATCGTGTTAAAACAAACACTCATTTGTTAGTTTTTGTTTTCATTCCCATCAGGATTTTGAACCTTTTGGTGACATCACCTGTTTTTCCTTTTTTGAGAAGAATTCGTTTTTAGTTCTCTTCAGCAGTTCTAGTTCATTAATTCCCATAGTTGCTGCTACATGGGAATTAGCAATTTCCCTGAGCAATTTCCACTCTATATCCAACACGTAAGTGAACAGATATTTTAGATGTGGTTTCACCTTTTGAAATGAGGCAGCAATTCAACAGTTCTTATGCAATGAATAAGAAAATGTTCCGTTCTAGAACTCTACAGAAGCTGTTGATTTTATTTTGATATTAGTAATAATCATATCTGAATTCTTTTGGCTGTGAAGAGCAGAAATCCCAATTTATAGTAGTATCTGAATGGTGTAAACAGCAGAGAAAGTTACCTCTCGAAGCTGGAAGTCACGAGACAAGGCACCTCATTTTCATTAATTCAACAGCTCAGTGTTGATGAGGGCGTCAAAACACCAAGTTCTGTTTTTTATTTTGCCATCTCAGCATATTGACTTTGTCCTCAGGCTAGCTCCTTGTAAGCTAAAGATGGACCCTGCACATGTAGACGTGCCAACAGCAAGTGTCACACTAAGAGTAAGAAAGGCCTTTCCAAAAGCTCTGTGTCATGCTTCATCAACCAGACCTAAGTTTTCTGCCTCCCATAAACCAGTCAGTTGCAAGGAGGGTGAGATGACAGTGATGGGGATACCATAGCCAGGATCCCTGGAATAGTACGTCCACCTTTTAGAAGTGAGAGAACCAGGATGCAGAAGGATAGTCACTTTCTAAGGTCACACAGGTAGGAATAATAAAAAGTGATTGGGACTGTTATTTAAATCCAGTCCAGGTCGGTCTGGATTTTATTTGCATGTATATTCTTCTATTTGAAGACATTCAGTGAAATTCATAAATGGACTGTGGCACTGAAAATAATTTGTGCACATAGTAGCTTATATGTCTGCTTTCTCTGCTGATGTGTGAACTTGAAAAATCAAAGGCTTTCCCCAACACCCTTCCCTGCAGTCTAATTTAAAAGACAAGATAGCAACAAAAGTTTGATGTGCTTTTGGAGGAGTACAGACAGTAAACAAAACAAAACAAAACAAAAAAACCCCCACCACCTAGAATTCTTTCTCAAGTTAGATTGTCCAGAGCCAATATAGCAGCTCAACAATGTCATTAAAGAACCAGGTTTCCTCCCTTGTTCTGACTCTCAGCTGATTACCTCATGGGTGCAAGATGGCTGCTACAGCAGCCATCAGATCCATATTCTAGGTAGAGAGAATGGCAAAAATGTGAAAAGCCCCACCAGCTGGGTCCGTTTTCCTTTTTTCAGGAAAACTATTTAGTACTTTGTGATAGAAATACAATGCAAGCCACAGATATAATTTAAAACTTTCCGGCTGGGCACGGTGGCTCATGCTTGTAATTCCAGCACTTTGGGAGGCTGAGGCAGGTGGATCACTTGAGGTCAGGAGTTCAAGACCAGCCTGGCCAATATGGTGAAACCTTATCTCTACTAAAATTACAAAAATTAGCTGGGTGTGATGGCGGGTACCTGTAGTCTCAGCTACTCGGGAGGCTGAGGCAGGAGCATCTCTTGAACCTGGGAGGTGGAGGTTGCAGTGAGCCGAGATTGCGCCACTGCACTGCAGCCTGGGTGACAGCAAGACTCCATCTCAAAAAAAAAAAAAAAAAAAAAAAAGAAATTTCCAGTAGTCACAGTTTAAAAACTGAAAAAAAAGCACATTAAGTAATATATTTTAGTAATAACATTTCATTTTACCCAATATAGCCAAAATAATATCATTTCAAGTGTAATCAATGAAAACAATTTTTGTTTTTATACTTAGTCTTCAAAATCTGGGGTTTATTTTACAATTGCAGCTTATCTCAGTTTGTGCTAGCCACATTTCAAGAGCTCAGTAACTACATGTGGCTAGTTGGGGTATATTGGTAAGTAACAACTAACTGGCTTTCTAGGAAAAAAATGCATAAATATGCATACATGAGTTTATTGTAAATTTTACAAATTTAACAGACTTTTAGTGCACAATTGACAAATAATAATGATAATAGAATATTCTTTATTTTCAATTCCGTATAGCTCGTTGATTCTCACAAAACACTTTCATTGTTTTTTTTTTTTTCCTGAACTCTCACAGCTAACTTATGGCTGCAATTCAACTGTAATTTGACAAAAATGACTATAAATAAATGCTTGGTTACTGTCCTATTTAGTAAAGTAGTTGTTCACATTATTGGCAAATGAATGTAGTTCCAATATGAATGTTGGTTAATATTTTTGCTTATGTTAATGAGATTGTTTTTGTTTTTTTGTTTGTTCGTTTTCTGTTTATGCTGTACTGGCTACAGTCATGATACACTGTATCATGGTGCACCCATCACCCAAGCAGTATACACTGTACCATATTTGTAGTCTTTTATCCCTCACACCCCTCCCACTCTTCCTCCCAAGTCCCCAGAGTCCATTGTATCATTCTGATGCCTTTGCATCCTCATAGCTTAGCTCCCACATATCAGAACATATGATGTTTTGTTTTCCATTCCTGAGTTACTTCACTTAGAATAATAGTCTCCAGTCTCATCCAGGTTACTGCAAATGCTGTTAATTCATTCCTTTTTATGGCCGAGTAGTATTCCATCGTATATATATACCGCAGTTTCTTTATCCACTTGTTGATTGGTGGGCATTTGGGTTGGTTCCACGATTTTGCAATCGTGAATTGTGCTGCTATAAACATGCATGTGCAAGTATCTTTTTCAAATAATGACTTTTTTTTCCTCTGGGTAGATACCCAGTAGTGGGATTGCTGGATCAAATGGTAGTTCTACTTTTAGTTCTTTAAGGAATCTCCACACTGCTTTCCATAGTGACTGTACTAGTTTACATTCCCACCAGCAGTGTAGAAGTGTTCCCTGAGCACTGCATCCACACCAGTATCTACTGTTTTTTTAATTATGACCATTCTTGCAGGAGTAAGGTGGTATCACATTGTGGTTTTGATTTGCATTTCCCTGATCATTAGTGATGTTGGGCATTTTTTCATATGTTTGTTGGCCATTTGTATATCTTCTTTTGAGAATTGTCTATTCATGTCCTTAGCCCACTTTTTGATGGGATTGTTTGTTTTTTTTCTTACTGATTGAGTTCGTTGTAGATTCTGGATATTATTTCTTTGTTAGATGTATATAGATTGTGAGGATTTTCTCTGTGGGTTGCCTGTTTACTCTGCTGACTGTTCCTTTTGCCATGCAAAAGCTCTTCAGTTTAAATAGGTCCCAACTATTTATCTTTGTTTTTATTGCTTTGCTTTTGGGTTCTTGGTCATGAAATCCTTGCCTAAGCCAAAGTCTAGAAGGGTTTTTCCAATGTTATCTTCTAGAATTTTTATAGTTTCAGGTCTTAGGTTTAAGTCCTTAATCCATCTTGAGTTGATTTTTGTATAAGGTGAGAGATGAGGATGCAGTTTCATTCTCCTACATGTGGCTAGCCAATTATCCATTTGTTGAAAAGGGTGTCCTTTCCTCATTTTACGTTTTTGTTTGCTTTGTTGAAGATCAGTTGGCTGTAAGTATTTGGGTTTATTTATGGGTTCTCTATTCTGTTCCATTGGTTTGTGTGCCTATTTTTATGCCAGTACCATGCTGTTTTTGTGACTATGGCCTTATAGTATAGTTTGAAATCAGGTAGTGTGATGCTTTCAGATTTGTCCTTTTTGCTTAGTCTTGCTTTGGCTATGCGGGCTCTTTTTTGGTTCCATATGAATTTTAGAACTGCTTTTTCTAACTCTGTGAAGAATGATGGTGGTATTTTGATGGGGATTGCATTGAATTTGTAAATTGCTTTTGGAGTATGGTCATTTCCGTAATACTGATTCTACCCATCCATGAACATAGGATGTGTTTCCATTTGTTTGTGTCGTCTATGATTTCCTTCAGCAGTGTTTTGTAGTTTTCCTTGTAGCGGTCTTTTGACTCCTTGGTTAGGTATATTCCTAAGTATTTTATTTTTTTGCAGCTGTTGTAAAAGGGGTTGAATTACTAATTTGGTTCTCCGCTTTGTTGCTGTTGGTGTATAGAAGAGCTACAGATTTGTGTACGTTAATCTTGTATCCAGAAAACTTTGCTGAATTCTTTTATCAATAAGTTATAGGAACTTTCTGGAGGAGTCCTTAGGGTTTTCAAGGCCGGCCGGCCTGTCTTTCTTTCTTTCTTTCTTTCTTTCTTTCTTTCTTTCTTTCTCTTTCTTTCTTTCTTTCTTTCTCTTTCTTTCTTTCTTTCTTTCTTTCTTTCTTTCTTTCTTTCTTTCTTTCTTTTCTTTCTTTTCCTTCTGTCTTTCTGTCTTTCTCTATGTCTGTCTGTCTTTCTTATTGATTTGGCTAGGACTTCCAGTACTATGTTGAAGAGGAGTGTGGAGAATGGGCATCCTTGTCTTGTTCCTGTTCTCAGTGAGAATGCTTTCAACTTTTCCCCATTCAGTATTATGTTGGCTGTGGGTTTGTCATAGGTGGCTTTTATTACATTAAGGTATGTCCCTTGTATACCAATTTTGATGAGGGTTTTAATCATAAAGGTATGCAGGATATTTGTCAAATCGTTTTTCTGCATCTGTTGAGATATCATGTGATTTTTGTTTTTAATTCTGTTTATGATTTGCACTGTATTCTATTGGTAAAAATAAATTATTAAGTCTAGCATAGATTCAAGGGGGTGGGACGGCAAAGTGTCTTAATGTAATGTTTCTATAAAGGAATACCTGAGGCTGGGTAATTTATAGAGAAAAGGTTTATTTGGCTTGGGGTTCTGATGGTTACAAAGTTCAACATTGAGCATCTGCCCCTGGTGAAGGCCTTAGGCTGCTTCTACATGTGGCAGAAGGTAAAGGGGAGCCAGTGTGTGCAGAGACCACGTGGCCAGAGAGGAGGAAAGAGCGGTGAGGTGCCAGGCTGTTTTTAACAACCAGTTCTCAAGGGAATAAATAAAGTGAGAACTCACTCACCTTCTCATCCCCCAGGGAAGGCATTCATCTATTCATGAGGGATCTGCCCCCATGACCCAAACACCTCCCATTAGGCCCCACCTCCAGCATTAGAGATTAGATTTCTACATGAAGTTTTAGAGGAGACGAACATCCCAACCATAGCAAGAATTTTCTTTCAGCTCTTGATGTAAAGAGTTAGACATGTGCAACAGGGAGGGATGTTATTGATGGCAGCAGTCTTGAAAAACAGCCAGTCCTCTGGCCCCCACAGTTCACATGAATCCTACATGAAAGTTTACCCACTTTCCTCCCAAGATCCCCAAAGTCTCATTTCATTAGGGAATCAAGCTCAAGTTCTTGATCTTGTCATCTAAGTCAGGTCTGGATGAGGGTTGTTGGAGTGGGTCCTCAAGTACAGTTCTTTTTGATTTGAGGACCAGTGGACTAATGGACAAGTGTTTTGCCCCTCACACACCTAGTATCCAGTGATGATCAGCCATAGGACAACTGTAGGAGACATTATTGTTAATGAAAATGATTGGACTGTAAGGCGCTTCTCAGTCCCTAGTCCATGGTGATTGTGAAATCTAGACAGATATGTGTGATCAGTTCCTTGATTTAGGGCCCAGACCCAGTCCCTCTAGTGCATCTGTGTGGTGTTTGGCTTCATCCTCTGAGCTCTTGACTCCACACCCTGAACTAGTCGTTCTTTTTCATAAGAAATTGCCAGGTTTTACATTTGAATAGCTTTCCTAGACTGCTTCCTGTGGGTAAAATTTGGGGACCTAAACATCTCTTTTCATTTTGAACTGTCTCTCCTTTTCAGTCTAATATTTTACAAGCCCATTAGAAAACTATGTGGGCTTCCTGTGTATCTAATTGTAATCCTCTACATTAGACAGAAACTACACCCACAAATCTCTTTTAGACAGCCTCCTTTCTACTTTGAGAGTTGGGGTGCTGTGTGACAACACCCTTGGGGTTCTTAAAAACTTTTTTTTATCTATCAGAGAATGTCTAAGAGGCATGTGCTTAGGATTCTTAGAAACGGCTTCTTATCTGACATGTTCCATAAAGGTGTTTGGTTATAGTAGCACCCCATTTTCAGTTACCAGTTTCTGTTTTGATTATGTCATTACATCAAAACATAGTGGCTTAAAACAAATTGATACTCTGTATTAGGTTGCTTATGACTGTGGATAAGCAGTTCAGGAAGGGTTCAACTGGATAGCATCATCTCTTTTTCATGTGGAATCAGCTTCCTCACTCACATGTCTAACCACTTGGTGCTCCTTAGTGCCTCACTCTCCATCTCCACGCTGCTCCTCTCTCCTTCACCCCTCTTTCCTTCCTTCCTTGTCCCCTAGATGTGTGTGATCAGTTCCTTGATTAGGACCTACACCCAACCCAATCCCCAACCCTTCCTTTATCCCACCTTTTCTCTCTTGTTCTTTCTCTCTCTCTGTCTTTCTCTGGATCGTCTCTCATCCTCCAGAATCTCTACATGCAGTGGTCTCAGGATGGTCACACTTCTTCCCAACAACCAACTTCTAAAAGGCAAAAAGTAGAAACTCCCAGGTTAATTATGGTTCACACCTGGAACTAGCAAAATGTTGCTTCTGTAATCCGCTGGTCTGTGCAGTTAGAAGGCCAGCCCACAGAAGTGGGCAATTAGAGGTGGGCAGCGAGGTAGACTCCTCCTCTTGACGGGGAGCAGGACAGACTGCAGAAGAGTGTATAAAATGGGAGATACTGTTTTGGGCATCTTTGGAAAGTGCAGTCTGCCACATGATTTTTAGAAATTATTTAAAATTTGATTTCTCAATGCTTTGTGTATGGGTATCCATATGTGCTATTTTTGTCAGATACAGCAATCATGAATATATTAACTTTGTTAAACATTTGAATTAGGAAGCTTTCCTTCCCTGTTCTTTGCTCAGGAATAATTCAAAAGATTATAATTAACTATTTGTCAAAAGTTTGAAAGAACTTTCATAAAACCACCTGAACTGCCTACATGACAAAGATTTTTATTTGGTCAAATTTTTTTTTAGTTAAAGGTTTTTTTCTCCCTTGATTTCTCCTATATCATATATTGCTTAGAAAGTCCTTCCCCAATTTCAGAACATTTGAATATTTAGTCACAGTTACTATTTGTTGTACTTGTATATTTTACATATAATTCATTAATCCACATAGAATTGTTTCGGTGTGAGATGAAGGCATAGCTTGCTTTTCCCCACCCAGACTGTGAACCAATTAGATGACAACTCATCCATTCCCTGATAATTTGCATTGCAGCCTTCATCCTATTCAATGTTAAATATTCTGGAGTCTGTTTCTGGGTTTCTGTTCTCTCCTGTTGATATATAAGTTCTTTTTCCCATGCTATGTTTTTAATTGTAACTATATTCCAAGCATCTTAAGTTTATAGAAATCAGTAAGTGTTCATGGCTATGAAATGTGTGTAAATGCCACCCGACTCATACTTAGAAGGTATGCTTTTAGACTATCGAGGACAGGTTTTTTTCAAAATTCTATTAAGAATTTGTTGAATGTATACCTTAGCCAAATATTTTTGTGCTAACTTTTGTGTCCTAGAAAGGAGGAATAAATGGAACACATACTAACCACAGGTTTATGCTTGTGATCCTGATTTCAAATATGTAAAGTGGTGTGTGTATGTCTCTCAGAAGGAAATGAATAAAATGAATTTACCATTGAAGGTGATAGTCAAGTAAACTGAAGTGGATACTAGAAAAGAGTTTTCATAATTTATTAAAGAAGGGTGTTTGTAGAGTAGATCTAGTAATATTTAATTTCTGAACCATATCATTTAGCTAATAAATTACTTTAAAATGTACTCTTTAACAAAATGAGTCTTATTTTCATTAATGTAGCTTATTTTTGTTTTGCAGTTACTGCTTTGTGTTTGCTCTGGGATACCTCACAGTGTGCCAAGTTACTCGAGTCTATATCTTTGACTATGGACAATATTCTGCTGATTTTTCAGGGTAAGATGAAAACTTTGATTCAGTAGCCTGTTTTATCCATTCCAACAAGGTGGTTAAAGGACAAAATATATTTGCATTTAGTAGTTCAAGTGAAAAGCTATTATTAAACATTTTAGTTGAAAATTTCTTTCTAAATTTAGAATTTCTCTCTTGTAAGTAGTCTTTTTAGTACTATCTAAGTCAGTAAGAGCCTTGTTCTGCTTCTTCCTGCCTAATGGAACTTCCTTTGGTTCTTAGGTCCTTGGGCTAGGTCAGTCTGAGTTTCCTAGAGAAGGCGCTCAAGAGTGCGTTTTACTTCTATGCATTTCACCTATTTTCAGTGTTCTCCATTCAACACCAGTATTCAGTTGAGTAGTGGAAATAATTTCTGGCATTTGTTCCTTCAAAGGGGATGTATTTTCTTCCTGGTACTAGATGAATCTTTTTGTCCTGTAACAAAACTGATTATATGTCTGTTGTGAAATAAATGCACAAGCTCTTACGAAGTAACTTGCTTTCCATCTTTATAAAGTGACATCTGCTAACACTTTGGTACCAGATGGGGAAGTTGAAGATAAACCTTTATATACATATATATTTTTTATGTCAAGCTTGACTGCTTTCTCCAGTGAACAAGATACAATAGGCCTGCTTTGGGCTAGTCTCGGGTCATCTGGACAGCGTAAGTAATGAGCAGTAAATCCAGTGTAAGGATAAGTGTGTTGGAAAAATCATGTTACCTCTGAAAAAAAAATTGTTCAGCAATAGAAATGGACCAAAGTTGTATGAGCTCAGGGAAAAAAAATCACTTCTATAAAACAAGAGAGTTTTAGAAGAGAAAGAGGAAATACCTTTTTCTCCCTAATGAGATTAAAGTATATTTTACTACACAGATTTTAAAAATAGGTTCAGATGAAAGGAAATTACATCAAAAACAAATAAAACCCAAGGCCAAAACAAAACAATTTAAATGCACTAAAAAACTAGTTAATCGAAGCTATTGAGTGGAATTGGGAGATACACCTGGAAGGGCAGAAAAGGAGAGCAGATGCTGGCCATCTAGTTTATGGATAGTAGGTATTCCTGGAAAACATTACCTCATGAGCAGGATCAGTAGATACTGGACCACTGTGAAAACCTTCGTGATCTTGAGGAAGTAGCCCAGGTCACATTGTCATCATAGTGTAATGAAATTGGGAAATAGTTATATAAGTTTAAAAGAATTGCAGTCACTTAGAAAATTAAATTCTCCTGAGAATTTGCACCTATATTGGTCTTGTTCATCATGCATCCTAGTGCTTAGCACACGATGGCATTAAATATATATTGAGTCGGGAATAATACTTCAGTACAGAAGAAAGTTGAAAATACAGTGAGAAAAATGGGGGAAAGTAACAGACAACACAAATGGAGAAACTGGAGCCATGTGGGCAAAGCTGTGCCATCTGAAAGAGAAATTAAGAGCTTTGAATACTTGAATTATAATAAGTGAGAAATAAGCATTTATTAATAGTAGAAAATAGAAACAAAAAGCATACTTTTAATTAATTTAGTTTAATGTTGATAACAAATATTAACATTAGCAACTTAAGGTTAACGATACTGTAAAATCATGAATTTTCACACTGACCTTTAGAGTCCTGGGACTCTGCAGGCAGGTTCTGCAGGTGTCGGAGGAGCTCAGCAGATGAGGTTCTAGGTCCTCCAGTCTTGCTTCAGCCACATCTGCTCTGTATTTCTCTAGTTTGTATTTTGGGATTCCGTATATTTCATTAAAAAATATTTTGTTGCTCTTTTAACCATTTGATTTAAAAAGTGATTTACATAGGCAAATTGAATTTATTGTACAACCATGTGGATTGGTGTTACTATAGATTTGTGTGACTCAGTCTTTATTGGGCTCTCACAGCCCCTCCATCAGTTTGATCTTGGTCATTACCCTTTTTATTTTCCTCGTCAGCTATTCCAAATTCTTGGCAGTCTCAAGACCTTTACCTCACATTTCTGTGTTATCTAGGGATAGGCTAACTGCATTTAAAACAGTAACATTATTTCAGTGGCTCAACGTAATAAGAGTTTATTTCTCATTCACATTACAGTTCATTGAGAAGGGAGTCTCTGCTCCACACAGTCATTCAGGGAACCAGACTCCTTCCTTCTTGTGGTTTCACCTCCTTCAGGCTCTGGAATCCTCTAGGTGAAGTTGAGGGCAGGGTGGTGAGTGTGAGCAAAGTGAGGGTGTGCCTGCGCAACACTTGTGCCTGCATCCTGTCAGCAAGCATGAGTCACGTGGCCTCATAGATCATAGGACAATTGACATTAAGAGCATAGTGCATGTTTAAAAAACAGCTGTATAGGACGTGACTTTAGAAGTATTTTGCTGACATTTAAAAGGCTGGGTGTGGTGGCTCATGCCTGTAATCCCAGCACTTTGGGAGGCCAAGGCAGGTGGATCACCTGGGCTCAGGAGTTTGGGCAACATGGCAAAACCCTGTCTCTACTAAAAATACAAAAAATTAAATAGGCATGGTGGCGCATACCTGTAGCCCCAGCTACTCAGGAGGCTGAGGTGGGAAGAGTTGCTTGAGCCCTGGGGGCAGAGGTTGCAGTGAGCTGAGATTGCACCACTGCACTCCAGCCCAGGTGACACAGTGAGAACCTGTCTCAAAAAAATGAAATAAATAAAAATAAAATGCCAGTTAAATACTTAAATGCAATTTTAAATGTTTAAATATGTAGAAGAAAAACAACCTGGACTTTTAAAGATAGAAAACCTGTTTATAAATCTCCAAGTTTAAAGAATAATTTTTATCCATTAGGAGGAAACTTTTTTTATTATTATACTTTAAGTTCTAGGGTACATGTGCACAACGTGCAGGTTTGTTACATACGTATACATGTGCCATGTTGGTTTGCTGCACCCATTAACTTGTCATTTACATTAGGTATTTCTCCTAATGCTATCCCTCCCCCATCCCCCCACCACACAACAGGCCCTGGTGTGTGATGTTCCCCTCCCTATGTCCAAGTGTTCTCATTGTTCACTTCCTACCTGTGAATAACAACATGCGGTGTTTGGTTTTCCATCCTTCTGATAGTTTGCTGAGAATGATGGTTTCCAGCTTCATCCATGTCCCTACAAAGGACATGCATCTCATCCTTTTTTATGGCTGCATAGTATAGGAGAAAACTTTTGACCATTATCAGTGAACTGATAAAGATTAGATAGTCGAATTAGCTGAAGGAGATCATTGTGGCAGAATGAACTTGAAGGCTCTTGTTTTTTTTTGTTTTGTTTTTTAATGGGCACAAGGGAGAAAAAGCCACCTAGAGACAGACTCTCCCCTTAATGAAGTATTCAAGCACAGGGAACCCTTGAATGTGTTATAATACATGAGCAGAAAAGATCCTGACTTGATCCTAATTAGCGTGAATATCATAGCTATTCAGAATGTTAGATGGCTAATAAGGTGGATTGGATAGTGACTCACTCTTGGTGCTGAGCTGGTCTGTTGCTCTGATGCTAGAAAGTGCAAGAAGCAAAGCCCAGACTCTTGCTGAGGAATCAGTGTGAAATCTCTCTTTTATGGGACAGTTTTACTTGCACAAGAGTATGGAGAAACTGCGCGCGTGTGTGTGTGTGTATGTGTAAATTGTTAGGTTTAAGATACATTTAAAATGTTGATTAGATAAAGATAAACTTATACCATAATACATAATACAAGTTTCTGTTTACAGAAAGGTTGAAAAGCTACTGAAGTTGTTTGGTTTCATGTTAGCCTCAGAAAATAGATACAAGAGAAGTATAAAACAACTAAATAGCTTTCTTCATGTCAGCAGTAATCAGTTAGAAAATATGATAGAAAAAGGATCCTATTTCAAAAGCAAGAAAAACCATGAAATGTGTAGTAATATGTGTAAAAAGAAATGTACAGAACCTGTGCAGAAAACTATAAATTGTTACTGTAGAACATAGAGTAACTGGAAAAAAAAATCAGACTGTTTGTTTGAATAATAAAACTCAGTATTGTGACTGGGTGCAGTGGCTCACACCTGTAATACCAACACTTTGGGAGGCCAAGGTGGGAGGATCACTTGAGCTTAGGAGTTCAAGAGCAGCCTGGGCAACATGGTGAAACCCCATCTCTACAAAAAATTTAAAAATTAGCTGGCATGGTGCTGTGTGCCTGTAGTCCCAGCTACTCAGGAGGCTGAAGTGGGAGGATCGCTTGAGTTTCGGAGGTTGAGGCTGCAGTGAGCCATGTTCGCACAACTGTACTCCAGCCTGGGTAACACAGCAAGATCCTATCTCAAAAAAAAAAAAATAAAAAATAAAAACAACCTTCAGTATTATAAAGATACGAATGGGGCTGGGCATGGTGTCTCATGCCTGCAATCTTAGCACTTTGGGAGGCTGAGGCAGCTGGATCACTTGAGGCCAGGAGTTTGAGACCAGCCTGACCAATATGGCAAAACTCGTCTCTACTAAAAATACAAAAATTAGCCACGTGGTGGCGCACAACTGTAATCACAGTTTCTTCGGAGGCTGAGGCACGAGAATCACTGGAACCCAGGAGGTGGAGGTTGCAGTGAGCTGTGATCACACCACTGCACTCCAGCCTGGGCGACAGAGCTGTCTCAAAAAAAATAAAAAATAAAGTAAAATAAAAAAAAAAGATACTGATTCCCCCAAGTTAATCTGTTGATGTTAATGCAGGTAAAATTGTGGAGTCTTGAGGGAAATTAGATAAATAAATTGAAAATTTTTCTCTAGAAGAATAAATGCTTGAGTGTAGTGAAGTTGATATAAAGACATACTGCCGTCTGTAAAGCAGGAGTCATTAAAATATTCTGGACTGACAGGAATAGGCAAACCAAGGAAACCCGGATGAAGGACTGAGAAAGAGACTCACGGATCTAAGAAATTAAAATACAGAACAGCAGTGGTGGGATCAGAAATCCGTGGGGAAAGCTAGGCTGTACTCAGTAAATTGTATTGGGACATTTGGAAAGAGAAGAGAAAGGTGAATCCTTGCCCCAGGTAGAGATAATAGATTGTAGATGGAAGCGAGAACAGATTTTTTGGCAAAAACGTTCTGATTGGAATATGTTGATTTCTGTGGTACTGAAAGAGTTGCTTTTAGTGTACCCACCAAAAAAAAAAATCTATGTGAAATAATTGTTTATTCACATCAAGGATATATCTTAGAGCTAACTGAACCGTATCAGAGGCTTGGTAAATGTTTACTACTGCTCAGTCGTGTGTGCTCCTTCACTAAGGTTTATTAAGCAGGCACTGTGCATTTTGCTAAGTTCTTGAAGGCTGAGCCAGGTACTTTTGTAGGCAGCATTTTTTTCAAGTATAAGAAGAAGTGATAGACCATGTGATCTTGAGAGGTGAAGCCAGCTGGGCTTCTGGGTCGGGTGGGGACTTGGAGAACTTTTCTGTCAAGCTAAAGGATTGTAAATGCACCAATCAGTGCTTTGTGCCTAGTTAAAGGTTTGTAAATGCACCAGTCAGCGCTCTGTGTCTAGCTAATCGGGTGGGGACTTGGAGAACTTTTGTGTCTAGCTCAAGGATTGTAAATGCACCAATCAGCATTCTGTGTCTACCTAAAGGATTGTAAACGCACCAATCAGCACTCTATAAAACGGACCAATCAGCACTCTGTAAAATGGACCAGTCAGCACTCTGTAAAATTGACCAATCAGCAGGATGTGGGTGGAGCCAAATAAGGGAATAAAAGCAGGCCACCCGAGCCAGCAGCAGCAACCCACTTGTGTCCCCTTCCACGCTGTGAAGGCTTTTTGTTCTTTTGCTCTTCACAATAAATCTTGCTGCTGCTCACTCTTTGGGTCCCCGCCACCTTTATGAGCTGTTAACACTCACCGTGAAGGTCTGCAGCTTTACTCCTGAAGTCAGTCAGACCATGAACCCACTGGGAGGAATGAGCAAGTCCAGATGCACTGCCTTTATGAACTGTAACAGTCACCGCAAAGGTCTACAGCTTCACTCCTGAAGTCAGTGAGACCACGAACCCACCGGGAGGAATGAACAACTCCAGACGCACCGCCTTTAAGAGCTGTAACAGTCACCACGAAGGTCTGCAGCTTCACTCCTGAAGTCAACAAGGCCACGAACCCATCAGAAGGAAGAAAGTCCGGACACGTCCGAACATCAGAAGGAACAAACTCCGGACACACCATCTTTAAGAACTGTAACACTCACTGCAAGGGTCCGCGGCTTCATTCTTGAAGTCAGCTTGACCAAGAACCCACCAATTCCAGACACATTTTGGTGACCACAAAGGGACCACTGATTATCGCCAAGTGGTGAGTACCATCGGACCCCTTTCATTTGCTATTTTGTCCTATTTTTCCTTAGAATTTGGGGGCTAAATACTGGGCACCTGTTGGCCAGTTAAAAGCGACTAGCACGGCCGCTGGACTACGGACACGGGTGTCAGGCTTTCTGGAAAAGGGCTCTCTTAACAACCCCTGACTCTTAGGAGTTGGGAGCGTTGGTTTGCCTGGAACCAGCTTCCACTTTTCCTGTACCTCTGGGCTGAGCTGAGGGTTGACAGAGAGGAAAGCCATTCAGCTCCGGGGTCCCGACAACAAGTTGGTTGACCCTGCGGCCATGAGCGGAACTCTCAAAGTCATGTCGCCCAAGCGAGACTCGCCCATCTATCCTATCTATCCTGACCCTTGCCTCCTGGGTCCTAATGCCTGTCAGACAAACTTCCTCTCGCCTCTCTTCTCCAAGGCTAGTCCTGCTTCTAAAAACCACTCCCTGTCTCTGATTCTTTTCTAGTTTCTCCTGTAAGAATGATTTCTAGTATAAACTTCAGGACTCTGTTACCTTCTTTAGGCACCCGGGCTCACCAATCAGAAAGACATAATTTTTGCCCAAAGCCCCATCGTAGGGGGGACTATCTGGAATTTTAGAATCCCTCCTCAGACAAGCAGGCCTAACAAAAACTATTCCTGAAGCTAGGATACGGGGTGCCTCAGAAATTGTATCCTTCCTATTCATATAAGTGAGGACAAAAGGCATCACTCTTGTAACTCTGGAGATCCCTTCCCTCCCTCAGGGTATGGCCCTCCACTTCATTTTTGGGGCATAACATCTTTATAGTACATGGGTAAAGTCCTAATACTAACAGGAGAATGCTTAGGACTCTAACAGGTTTTTGAGAATGTGTCGGTAAGGGCCACTAAATCCAATTTTTCTCGGTCCTCCTTGTGGTCTAGGAGGACAGGCAAGGGTGCACGTTTTTGAGAATGCGTCGGTAAGGGCCACTAAATCTGACCTTCCTTGGTCCTCCTTGTGGTCTAGGAGGAAAACTAATGTTTCTGCTGCTGTGCTGGTGAGCTCAACTATTCTGATCAGCAGGGTCCAGGGACTGTTGCAGGTTCTTGGGCAGGGTTGTTTCTGCTGCTGCATCGGTGAGCGCAACTATTCCAATCAGCAGGGTCCAGGGACCATTGCAGGTTCTTGGGCAGGGGTTGTTTCTACTGCTGCATCAGTGAGCACAACTATTCCGATCAGCAGGGTCCAGGGACTGTTGCAGGTTCTTGGGCAGGGCGAGAAACAAAACAAACCAAAACCATGGGTGGTTTTGTCTTTCAGATGGGAAACACTCAGGCATCAACAGGCTCACCCTTGAAATGCATCCTAAGCCATTGGGACCAATTTGACCCACAAACCCTGAAAAAGAGGCAGCTCATTTTTTTCTGCACTACAGCCTGGCCCCAGTATTCTCTCTCTGATGGGGAAAAATGGCCACCAGAGGGAAGTACAAATTACAATACTATCCTGAAGCTTGATCTTTTCTGTAAGAGGGAAGGCAAATGGAGTGAAATACCTTATGTCTGAGCTTTCTTTTCATTGAAGGAGAATACACAAGTATGCAAAGCTTGAAATTTATATCCCACAGGAGGACCTTTCAGCTTACCGCCATATCCTAGCCTCCCTATAGCTCCCCTTTCTATTAATGATAATCCTCCTCTAATCTCCCCCACTCAGAAGGAAATAAGCAAAGAAATCTCCAAAGTACCACAAAACCCCCCAGGTTATTGGATATGTCTCCTTCAAGCTGTAGGAGGAGGGAAATTTGGCCCAACCTGGGTACATGTCCCCTTCTCCCTCTCTGATTTAAAGCAGATCAAGGCAGACCTGGGGAAGTTTTCAGATGATCCTGATAGGTACATAGATGTCCTACAGGGTCTAGGGCAAACCTTTGAGCTCACTTGGAGAGATGTCATGCTATTATTAGATCAAACCCTGGCCTTTAATGAAAAGAATGCGACTTTAGCTGCAGCCCCAAAGTTTGGAGATACTTGGTATCTTAGTCAAGTAAATGATAGAATGACAGCTGAAGAAAGGGACAAATTCCCTACTGGTCAGCAAGCCATCCCCAGTATGGATCTCCACTGGGACCTCAACTCAGATCATGGGGACTGGAGTCGTAAACATCTGTTGTCCTGTGTTCTAGAAGGACTAAGAAGAATTAGGAAAAAAGCCATGAATTACTCAATGTTGTCCACCGTAACTCAGGGAAAGGAAAAAAATCCTTCTGCCTTCCTTGAACAGCTATGGGGGGCCTTAAGAAAATATACTCCCCTGTCACCCAAATCACTAGAGGGTCAATTGATTCTAAAAGATAAGTTTATTACCCAATCAGCCGCAGATATCAGGAGAAAGCTCCAAAAGCAAGCCCTGGGCCCTGAACAAAATCTGGAGGCATTATTAAACCTGGCAACCTCGGTGTTCTATAATAGGGACCAAGAGGAACAGGCCCAAAAGGAAAAGCGAGATCAGAGAAAGGCCGCAGCCTTAGTCATGGCCCTCAGACAAACAAACCTTGGTGGTTCAGAGAGGACAGAAAATGGAGCAGGCCAATCATCTGGTAGGATTTGTTAAGAGTGTGGTTTACAAGGACACTTTAAAAAAGATTGTCCAATGAGAAACAAGCTACCCCCTCATCCATGTCCGCTATGCAGTGGCAATCACTGGAAGGTGCACTGCTCCATAAGACAAAGGTTCTCTGGGTCAGAAACCCCCAACCAGATGATCCAACAACAGGACTGAGGGTGCCCAGGGCAAGCGCCAGCTCATGTCATCACCCTCACTGAGCCCCAGGTACGGTTTAACCATTGAGGGCCAGGACATTGACTTCCTCCTGGACACTGGCGCGGCCTTCTCAGTGCTAATCTCCTGTCCTGGATGACTGTCCTCAAGGTCCATTACCATCCGAGGAATCCTGGAACAGCCTGTAACCAGGTATTTCTCCCACCTCCTCAGTTGTAATTGGGAGACTTGGCTCTTTTCACATGCCTGCCTTGTTATGCCTGAAAGTCCCACACCCTTATTAGGGAGGGATATATTAGCCAAAGCTGGAGCTATTATCTACGTGAATATGGGGAACAAGTTACCCATTTGTTGTCCACTACTTGAAGAGGGAATCAACCCTGAAGTCTGGGCATTGGAAGGGCAATTTGGAAGGGCAAAAAATGCCCGCCCATTCCAAATCAGGCTAAAAGACCCCACCACTTTTCCTTATCAAAGGCAATATCCCTTAAGACCTGGAGCTCATAAAGGATTGCAAGATATTGTTAAACGTTTCAAAGCTCAAGCCTTAATAAGGAAATGCAGCAGTCCCTGCAACACCCCAATTCTAGGAGTACAAAAACCGAATGGTCAGTGGAGACTAGTGCAAGATCTTAGACTTATCAATGAGGCAGTAATTCCTCTATATCCAGTTGTACCCAACCCCTATAACCTGCTCTCTCAAATACCAGAGGAAGCAGAATGGTTCACTGTTCTGGACCTCAAGGATGCCTTCTTCTGTATTCCCCTGCACTCTGACTCCCAGTTTCTCTTTGCCTTTGAGGATCCCACAGACCACACGTCCCAACTTACGTGGACGGTCTTGCCCCCAGGGTTTAGGGATAGCCCTCCCCTGTTTGGTCAGGCACTGGCCCAAGATCTAGGCCACTTCTCAAGTCCAGGCACTCTGGTCCTTCAGTATGTGGATGATTTACTTTTGGCCACCAGTTCAGAAGCCTCTTGCCAGCAGGCTACTCTAGATCTCTTGAACTTTCTAGCTAATCAAGGGTACTAGGTGTCTAGGTCGAAGGCCCAGCTTTGCCTACAGCAGGCCAAATATCTAGGCCTAATCTTAGCTAGAGGAACCAGGGCCCTCAGCAAGGAATGAATACAGGCTGTACTGGCTTATCCGTGCCCTAAGACATTAAAACAGTTGCGGGGGTTCTTTGGAATCACTGGCTTTTGCCAACTATGGATCCCCGGATACAGCAAGATAGCCAGGCCCCTCTATACTCTAATCAAGGAGACCCAGGGCAAATACTCATCTAGTAGAACGGGAACCAGGGGCAGAAACAGCCTTCAAAAACCTTAAAGCAGGCCCTAGTACAAGCTCCAGCTTTAAGCCTTCCGACAGGACAAAACTTCTCTTTGTATGTCACAGAGGAGCAAGGATAGCTCTTGGAGTCCTTACTCAGACTCGTGGGACAACCCCACAAACAGTGGCATACCAAAGTAAGGAAATTGATGTAGTAGCAAAAGATTGGCCTCACTGTTTACGGATAGTTGTGGCGGTGGCCGTCTTAGTGTCAGAGGCTATCAAAATAATACAAGGAAAGGATCTCACTATCTGAACTACTCGTGATGTAAATGGCATACTAGGTGGCAAAGGAAGTTTATGGCTATCAGACAATTGCCTACTTAGATACCAGGCGCTACTCCTTGAGGGACCAGTGCTTCAGATATGTATGTGTGTGGCCCTCAACCCTGCCACTTTTCTCCCAGAGGATGGGGAACCAATCGAGCATGACTGCCAACAAATTATAGTCTAGAGTTTTGCCGCCCAAGATGACCTCTTAGAAGTCCCCTTAGCTAATCCTGACCTTAACCTATATACTGATGGAAGTTCATTTGTGGAGAATGGGATATGAAGGGCAGGTTATGCCATAGTTAGTGATGTAACCATACTTGAAAGTAAGCCTCTTCCCCCAGGGACCAGTGCCCAATTAGCAGAACTAGTGGCACTTACCCAAGCCTTAGAACTGGGAAGGGGAAAAAGAATAAATGTGTATACAGATAGCAAGTATGCTTATCTAATCCTACATGCCCATGCTGCAATATGGAAAGAAAGGGAGTTCCTAACCTCTGGGGGAACGTTCCCTCCATTAAATACCACAAGGAAACCATGGAGTTATTGCATGCAGTACAGAAACCCAAGGAGGTGGCAGTCTTACACTGCTGAAGCCATCCAAAGGGGAAGGAGAGGGGAGAACAGCAGCATAAGCAGCTGGCAGAGGCAGCAGAAAGGAAAGAGAGAAAGAGACAGAAAGTCAGAGAAAGAGAGAGGATGAAAGAGAGACAAAGAAGGAGACAGAGAGGAAGAGACAAAGATGGAATCAGAGAAAAAGAGAGAAAGAGACACAGAAAGTCAAAGAGAGGAAGAGACAGAGACAAAGAAGTCAAAGAGAGAAGTAGTAAAGAAAAAACAGTGTACCCCTTTCCTTTAAAAGCCAGGGTAAATTTTAAAACCTATAATTGATAATTGAAGGTCTTCTCTATAACCCTGTAACACTCCAATACCACCTTGTTATCAGTGTAAACAAGGGCATAGCCCGAAAGCACTGAGGCCACTGACAGCCCGTAGCCTTCCTATCAAAAATCCTTAACCCAGCAGGTTTCCTAACGGGATCTAAATCTTAATTATCATACAAAGGTCCCATCAGGCATAGGAGGAACTCCCTTCAGGACAGGAGATAGATGGTTCCTCCCAGGCGATTAAGGAAAAAGACACAATGGGTATTCAGTAAGTGATAAGGAAACTATTACAGAAGCAGAGTTAGGAAAATTGCCTAATAATTGGTCTGCTCAAACGTGTGAGCTGTTTGCACTCAGCCAAACCTTAAAGTACTTATAGAATCAGGAAGGAGCCGTCTATACCAATTTTAAGTTAATATGGACTGAACAAGGTCTTATTAATAGCAAAGAAAAATTAAAATCCCAAACTTAACAAGGTTTTCAACTAAAGTAAATTTTGCTAAAAGTTAACAGTGTAACATGCATTATCCTACTGCCACACACTCTCAAAGGATTTCTCAGACAGTTTGCAGGAAGTGACGAAATCTATCCTTACTCTACAATCCCAAATAGACTCTGGCAGCAGTGACTCTCCAAAACCACCGAGGCCTAGACCTCCTCACTGCTGAGAAAGGAGGACTGTGCACCTTCTTAGGGGAAGAGTGTTGTTTTTACACTAACCAGTCAGGGATATTACGAGATGCCACCCGGCCTTTACGGGAAAAGGCTTCTGCAATCAGACAACACCTTTCACAACTCTTTTTTTTTTTTTTTTTTTTTGAGACGGAGTCTCACTCTGTCACCCAGGCTGGAGAGCAATGGCTCGATCTCGGCTCACTGCAAGCTCCACCTCCCGGGTTCACGCCATTCTTCTGCCTCAGCCTCCTGAGTAGCTGGGACTACAGGTGCCTGCCACCACGCCTGGATAATTTTTTTTGCATTTTTAGTAGAGATGGGATTTCACCATGTTAGCCAGGATGGTCTCGATCTTCTGACCTCGTGATCCGCCCGCCTCGGCCTCCCAAAGTGCTGGGATTACAGGCATGAGCCACCGTGCCCGGCTCCCTTTCACAACTCTTATACCAACCTCTGGAGTTGGGCAACATGGCTTCTCCCCTTTCTAGGTCCTGTGACAGCCATCTTGCTATTACTTGCCTTCGTGCCCTTTATTTTTAACCTCTTTGTCAAATTTGTTTCCTCTAGAATCGAGGCCATCAACCTACAGATGTTCTTACAAACGGAACCCCAAATGAGCTCAACTAACAACTTTTCTGGAGGACACTACAGCTGCAGGGCCCCTTCTTCGCTCCTATCCAGCAGGAAGTAGCTAGAGCGGTCATCGGCCAAATTCTCAATAGCAGTTGGGTGTCCTGTTTAGAGGGGGGATTGAGAGGTGAAGCTGGCTGGGCTTCTGGGTTGGGTGGGGACTTGGAGCACTTTTCTGTCTAGCTAAAGGATTGTAAATGCACCAATCAGCACTTTGTATCTAGCTAAAGGTTTGTAAATGCACCAATCAGCGCTCTGTGTCTAGCTAATTGGGTGAGGACTTGGAGAACTTTTGTGTCTAGCTCAAGGATTGTAAATGCACCAACCAGCACTCTGTGTCTAGCTAAAGGATTGTAAACACACCAGTCAGCACTCTGTAAAACGGACCAATCAGCACTCTGTAAAACGGACCAATCAGCACTCTGTAAAACGGACCAATTAGCACTCTGTAAAATGGACCAATCAGCACTCTGTAAAATGGGCCAATCAGCACTCTGTAGAATGGACCTATCAGCACTCTGTAAAATTGACCAATCAGCAGGATGTGGGTGGGGCCAAATAAGGGAATAAAAGCAGGCCAGGTGAGCCAGCAGTGGCTCCCGCTAGGGTCCGTTTCCACGCTGTGGAAGTTTTATTCTTTTGCTCTTCACAATAAATCTTGCTGCTGCTCACTCTTTGGGTCCCCACCGCCTTTATGAGGCGGTAACACTCACCATGAAGGTCTGCAGCTTTACTCCTGAAGTCAGCAAGACCACGAACCCACTGGGAGGAATGAACAACTCCGGACGTGCCGCCTTTATGAACTGTAACACCACGAAGGTCTGCAGCTTCACTCCTGAAGTCGGGGAGACCACGAACCCACTGGGAGGAACGAACAACTCCAGACGTGCCGCCTTTAAGAGCTGTAACACTCACCGTGAAGGTCTGCAGCTTCACTCCTGAAGTCAGCAAGACCACGAACCCACCAGAAGGAAGAAATTCTGGACACGTCTGAACATCAGAAGGAACAAACTCCGGACACACCATCTTTAAGAACTGTCACCGTGAGGGTCTGTGGCTTCATTCTTGAAGTCAGCGAGACCAAGAACCCACCAGTTCTGCACACAATCTGATAGCCACAGGTGTGCTTGTCATGTCCATCACTCCTTTTTAGAAAGTATTATTCACGTTCAGAGTCTAATTGTAGATGTGTTTCTGTGTTCTCTGAAATGAGTCATGGAAGGCCCCCCTTGGCCCTTCATTATCTTCCCCGCACATGGCGCCCAGCAACTGTGTTGTAAATAGGGTCGATATGAATCATTCAACTGCCTGCAAGTAGTGGGCCTTTATCCTGGCCCATTCTGTGGGAGTGTCTCCCAGCCCTTGACCTACGTTTGATTACAGGAAACATTCCGTTTAGCTGCCACTAATGTAATTCAAGTTACCAGGAGTAAACAGAGATGGATCTATTTATGGTTTGCTTTGTCTGTTCCCCACCCTACCGAACCAAGCCTTTCTCCCTGAATGTATGTGTGTTCACAAAGCAGTGTGGTACAAGGTTCGTCAGAAACATGCAGTGTTGTTCTCACTCATAAGTGGGAGTTGAACCATGAGAACACGTGGACACAGGGAGGGGAATATCACGTATCGGGTTCTGTCGGCGGGTGGGGGCTAGGGGAGGGTTAGCATTAGGAGAAATACCTAATGTAGATGAGGGGTTGATGGGTGCAGCATACCACCATGGCACATGTATACCTATGTAACAAACCTGCACGATCTGCACATGTATCCCAGAACTTAGAGTATTAAAAAAAAAAATGCAGTGTTTTCCTGAGGCTGAGAAGCTGGTGACAGGCCTGCAGGGCCTCCTTGATGTGTGCCCTCTCACCTGTTCTTTCTTCTTCAGTTCTGCTGCTTATCCCAGTGTCTCTCCTTGGAACATCCTTCCAGCCATATCTGCATGTCCAAACTTCTGCAGTCTTAAAGGCCCAAACTAAATGACTCTTGTTTGAAATGCATTCCCTCAGCTCTCTCTGTGCAGACCTTCAAATAGCTCACTGGGCAGTGGATACTTTGTTATGTAGTTTATTCACATACCTTTCATTTCCTGTTCTCAAGAGAAAGCTTCTCCAGGAACAGCACTTCCCTTTTGATTATTAGGTCCCTTCAGCGCCACTGGCTTCTTAGCAGTTCTGGCAGTTACTATGCAAAGGTGTGAATGGGAGAAGGGACCCAGCTCCTATTAAACATCTGCTGTGTCTCAGATACTATTGAATTTAATCCACACAGTGGCATTATTATCACTTGTGTTTTATAGGTAACCGTTTTGAGAAAAGTTAAATAACTTCCTTGTTTTCCACAGCTGATGTGGGGTCAGGATTAAGTGTTCTGACTCTTATGTCCAGCTGCCTATGTACCCTGCTGTCTAGGGCCTCTTGTGCCAAGCGTGCCTGAAGCTGCAGTGCTGTTTTCCCTTCTCAGTCAGCTTTCTCCTCCTAGTTAGTTACCCTGGTCAAAAACCTTGGTGGTTCCAGGTATGAAACCCCACATTGGATACATTATCGAATCCCATTGACTTTCCTTTCAGAATAGATCTAGAGGTGACTTCAGACCTCCTGTGCTGTTACCCTGGTCTGAGCCACCATCTCCCCCTGCCCACCTCCCCTGCCTCCTCCCCCACCCCCTCCCCCTGCCTCCTCCCCCACCCCCTCCCCCTGCCTCTGGTGCCCCCACAGTCTTTTTTCAACCTAGAGTCAGAATATATTCTTTTAAAACCAAGTCACTCTTTTGCCTAAAATCCTCCAGTAGTTTCCCGTGTCACTCAGATCCAAGCCTGTGTCCTCGCTCTGCAGAGCCTGCTGGATCCGGTGTCCTGCTTGCCATCTTTAGCTTCTGTTCCTGTCCTCCTTGCTCATCACATTGGCCTCCGTACTGATCCTCCAACATGCCAGTCACACTTCTTCCTGGGGCTGTTGAACTTACTTTTCTCTCTTCCTGGAATATTTTTACCCCAGGCCTCCACAGAGCTTGTCCTCTATTTCACTGTCATCTTCTGGGTGAGGCCGGTTCCCACCTGTGTTCTGTATTCCTTAGGCCCCTTACCCTGCTTCATTTCACTGCCCAGGACTGGCAGCATCTGACACACTGTGTCTTTTACCTGTTTATTTGTTTATAATCTGTCTCTCTCCAGTACAGTATAAATTTCATAGCAGCAAGGACTTGGCCTGTCTTGTTCACATTGTATCTTTGGCACATAGAACAGTACTTGGTGCATCGTAGGTGCTCATTAATTAAATACTTTTTTTTTTCTGAATGAAGCAGTAAGTAAATGAATGAATGGATGACTAAGACCAATGGACTTTTCCATTATCTCTCACTTTGTATTCATTTGGTGTTAGGTAAGTGGGGTTACTTGGTGTCAGTGGATCTTGTTTGGTTGAAAGGGTACTTGTACACTTAGGATAACTGAGGTGAACAGTTAACAGTTTGCCTCCGTTGCTGGGTAACACATGTCCTGGTGGCAAGCTGTTACCTAGTAGATGCTTTTAGTTGATTTGTAGCATTAATATACAGACTTCCCTTAAGCTTAGTGGTCTCCCAGAGATAATGGAACAATCATGAAAGTAATTGTTCATTTTTAGCATTCATTATCTTGTAATGTTTAACTACATTTGAGTTTTACTGTGTAATAGAACCAAATCCTACTATTCTTGTTCTTTGTAGAGAAAAAAGTGTGTGAATATATTTTTTAACTTTTTCATCCTTTGTTTTATTTCAGAAAGTCTGGAGTTTTTACTTCAGCTGAATTTTTTAATATTAGCTGAAACTGTTACATCAGTTGAAGTATTACTTTGGACAGTTATATTTCATATTTTCCCACATTCTTAGCAGAGTATCACTGGAAGGAAATTTCGGTAATACCACTTAAATATACTAATGTTGTCCTATAGAAGGAAACGGAAGCTCCATCCTGAGGCCCTGACCTCACTCTGGAAGTTCCAAAGCCTTCTGCCTCTCCTACCTTCTTCAGCTTCCCATTTCCATCCTAGGGAAACAGGAGGTTCTTTCCAATTCGTGTCAAGGTATCCCAGACTTTCCTAGGGCCCAGGAAGTGGTTAGATACTGAAGCTCCATTAATACAAAGTCAACAGATATTTAATAGTTAAAATGTCAGTAAAGATGTAAGTGAAATAGTTGTGTGAATCACCCTAATTGTCCTGAACCAGAGATTTATGAACAAAATATGCTGTTAAGAAAGCCCACTGCAGTTACCTCCCTGTGCACCATTGCACTGTTTTTGTTGTAAATGCTTCCTGCACAGTCGTTCCTGCTGCGGAAGGGTGAGATATGCCCTTTCCCATCAGTCTTTCTTGTCTCCCAGCCATATACCTGCTGCGTTGGACTCATATGTCTGTTTTGCCCTCCAATTTGCATTTCTGAGCTCTCTTTAATCTGCTCATCCCTTACTGAACTTTTCCTATAATCCTTTCTTATTTTCATCCATAACATACTCCTGCATAGTTCCCTATGATAATTTTGTCTTCTGTCTTTCTGTTTCTCCATGTGCTACGCACCGGCTGATGGGTTGGACCAGAAGCCTTGGGACTGCCATCCACTTAAAACAAAGGGAATGTGTTGAGCTAATGACCATCAGGAAATGAAACCAAAATATGATGAAGCATTTCTATAAACCAGTCACCACACTGATAGTGTATTAGGTGCCAGGTACTGAAGGCACAGAAATAATTAAAGCTGTGTTCCTAACTGTTGAGTAGCTCATGGGTTTTTTGTAGTAATAGAAAAGTAAACAAATCATTACAATATATAATAAATGCTTTCAAGCACAGATGAGAAAGAACAGATGGGAGAGAGTATAATTAACCTACAGAAGGAATAATAGATCTTGACTGGACACTTAGATTCAGTTTATTTGATATTTTAAAAATATTTATTGGCCAGGCACGGTGGCTCACACCTGTAAGTTCAGTACTTTTGAGAGGCTGAGGTGGGTGGATCGCTTAAGCCCAGGAGTTTGAGACCAGCCTGGGCAACATAGCAAAACCCCGTGTCTACAAAAAATTTAAAAATTACCCACGTGTGGTAGCATGTACCTGTAGGGTTAGCTGCTTTGGAGGCTGAGGTGGGAGGATCACTTGAGCCCAGAAGGTCAAGGCTTCAGTCACCCGAGATTGCACCACTGCACTCCAGCCTGGGTGACAGAGCGAGACCCTGATGAAAAAGACATTTTTTTACATTTAGCACATATTTTGTGCCAGACACTGTGCTACATGCTGGAGATTCAGTGGTGAACAAGACTGTTAGGTTCCTTGCCTCATGGACTTTCTTAAAAAGGGAGAGATTTTAAAACAACCACTGAGATTTAATAAAAAAAACAACTATGAATGTGAAAACACCTTGAAGGAAACAAACAAGGACTAAGATGAAATGAAGAGTATTTGCGTGCGCGCGTGTGTGTGTGTGTTTTTGTGGGCACAGGGGAAGCTACTTGAGATAGAGTTGTCCAGTGGGCCTCTTGTGTGAAGTGACTCTTCAGCTGATTCATGAAGAGGGAGGAGTAACTTATCCTTGTAAAATGCTTCGAGGAAGAGTAGTCTGGGTAAAGGGAGCAGCATTTGGAGAGAGGCTGGAGTATTCAGGTCTGTTTCCTGCCTTCCCTCCCGCTCTGTTAGAGCATGATTCTTGGAACCAGCAATACAGCTACATGTCACCTGTCCTCCTAGCTACACGTCACCCATCCTCTCAGGTACATGTCACACATACTCCCAGCCACACCTTACCCGTCCTCCCAGCCACATGTCACCCGTCCTCCCAGCGCAGCTTACTTTCATAAGAGTTTCTGTGTCCTTTGCACCTGATGGAATAGAAGTTGCATGTGGGTTCAGGGGCCCAAGTGGGCACAAGAAGGACACTCAGAGCACTTATTTGCATTTTTTTAACATCTTGTCTATGTATACCTGACAGCTTACTGTGTCACTGAATTGACAAAATAAATGTAATAATTATTTTATCAGTTGTTACTATGTTTTAAGGTGACGTGGAAATTAGAATTTAGAACTGAAGAGAATTTTATAACTCACCAGTGAGCTAAACTATGAAAAGAATTAGGCAGTGTGAGAAAAATGATTCTCTCCCCCAGGGAAATGGAAATTATAGGGCATTTTTATCATTTTCAAGGGCTTGAAGGGTATCTATCTTGCAAAGCAGAAATAGCAATCGGGTGTTCCAAGCCACCTGGGGGATTAGGTTGGTTGAAGCATGATTTCCTGAGGAGTGAGTATGTAAATGTAAGAACTGACTTTTTAAGGGAACCTAAGAGAAATCTCCTCCCTTAAGCACTTCCAGTTTAAGAACATTTGTCATTGATGAGACCTTCCCGTTAGTTGAGGAGAATGAGCTGTAGCTTCTCAAGGGCCCAGGTCTGTGAATCAAATTTCCAGTGGTAGGAATGTTTAAAGCAAACCCTTGCTGCCGTTTGCTGACCTTGTGAGAAAGACACCTCTGTTTGCGAGAGGCAGCAGTTCGAGCTTCTGCACTGAGCGGTGTGGACTGCTGGAAGAGAGCAGGTCAGAACTAGACCCACGGGGGTCTAAGCCTCCCTAGGCTGGGGTCCTCTCCCCTCCTGGCCCCTTTCCTTGGCAGTGCATGGGGTGATGCTGCGTGCGCCACACTGTCCTCAGGATTCCGTGAAACATGTTCTCCTCTGCATGTGTATAGAGCACAGTCTACCTTGAGGCAAAACACAATTTTCTGGGTTTATTATATTATTGTTTCAAAAAATTAAATAACTTCTGGTCAATTGTTCTTCAGTATAGTTTGTAAGCTAATGTAATAAAGGATAAAAGCCTTCCTGGTGGTTTTATTTATTCTTATTTTATTTTATTTATTTTTATAGAGATGGAGTCTTGCTGTGTTGACCAGGGTGGTCTCAGACTCCTGGGCTCAAGCGATTCTCCCGCCTCAGCCTCCCAAAGTGCTGAGATTACAGGCATGAGCCACCGTGCCCAGCCTTAACTGTTTTTTAATACTGTCTGTAAGCTAATGTCATCTTTAAAGGTTAAGATGCATCCTGGTGGTTTTCTTATGTGGATGTGTTTTTTCCTTTCTAAGTTATTCATTCAATTATAGTAATTATAAGATATGGGAAAATAATGCCATTTTTTTCTTATGATTTTAAAGTCCTTTTTCCTTTAAAATACATCATGATTTCAGTGCCTTAGATGGCTGTGTTTAGAGTCTGTAACTCCTGGGTGCCTAGTTTTTAGAATAGGGAGTTGAGAGTCTGTCCATGATATGTTGAAGAAAGTACTGAGCAGAAAGCAGGAGACTGGGGCCACATCTCATGCCTGCGTGCTTCTTACCTCCGGGCCTTGTTTTCTAATGTGTGAGATGAGGAGGCCAGGTTAGATCACTGGGTCACTGGAGATTTCTTTTAGGGGTGGAGCCTTTTTCTTTTGTTTTTCATTTTTTGAAGCCTCGGAGAAAGTCCAGATCCCCATCGCCTATGCTGTCCTCAAATACATAACTTCTGAGTTATTGCTGAAATCCCTTGGAGGTCTTTTTTATGTTAAAAATTTCAGGATTTGTAGTGATAAAAGCAGAATAAACTCTTAACTCATATGTCATAAGTATTGTTTTAACTTTCTTCTTTTAAAACACTAATTTTTTTTATCTTGTCACAGCCCAATGATGATCATTACTCAGAAGATCACTAGTTTGGCTTGCGAAATTCATGATGGTAAGAATTCTGAAATTAATTTTTATTGCTGAAAAAATTTAATTCCAATAATCTTTTGCTTGAGATATTGCCATAACTTTCTGCTATTAGAGTAAGGAAATGGAGGGAGGTAAGATAGGGAAATATACTTAACTGTGCTTAGGATTATGAAAAATGCTTGCTTTCTTGCTTTCCTTCAGTGTTTTATCTTCGTTTTGAATTCAGTGCAGTGACAGTAGAATAGTGTGATTTAGTCATATGGCCCACAGTAGTGATAATTTGACATATAAAGGAAAGAGACATTTGGTCTAGATCAGGTTTTATTATTTCCTGCTTCAGCTCCTCGTTAAATTTTTATTATAATTTATGTGCCTTCCCCCACCTCTTCTCCTTGATATACACACATTCATAATTACCTGTTTCCATGTATTTTTATTAGAAATATTTCTGTCTTCAGTGAGTGGACATCTAGTCCTGGCCTAACAGGACTCTGAGTCGTGAGATTTGGGCTCTGATTCCTTCGAAGACTGAAGAAACGAAGCATCCTTGTTAGAATGGTCATTTGTATGTAGCCTGCGGAGCTTTTGAGATGAGTTTGAGCCCTACTGTGTCTCCACCCATCCTGTGCCCACTCCCCGGGCAGGTTTTCCCTCTTATTGTCAGAGAACCAGCCTTGACAGTACAGTGCAGAGAGAGAGAGAGGAGAATTTTTCCTCTTGTCCCCTCTGGCTACTAACAAGCAAAATTAACACTTAGTTTTTTGAGGGGGTGGTGGAGGGAAGGAGGTAGATTAAAAACTCTCTGCTACTTGTTTAATCAAGTCTGCAGGTTAAACAGCAACTATCTTTCTGCCCTTCAGAAAAAGAAACACCACTGAGGGAAAATTCTGCATACAGGAGGGAACATGAGGATGTGGTTGGAGTGTGGGTTTTGATGGATGGGCAGATGTACGCTCAGATTCCAGTTCAGCTTCTTACTGCTTCAGTTTTCTCCTTTGTCAATTAACAGTATGATTCAGCTTGGAGGGTTTTTTCTTGGATTATAATTTATGCACAGTGTCTTGTAGTTCTTGCATTGTGATCAATGAAGTGGGTGAAACTCACTCGACCCTGTTACTAGACTGTAGTTATAATAAAACTTACACTAGGAAACACTGTAGGTAAAAGCCTATAATTATCTTCAGGTGCTAGAACTTCTGTAGTATGCTGGTAACAGATTACTCCTGTGACACTGGAAAGAGAATATAGGAAAGTCGTGGATCAAGGATATAATTTTGTCCATAGATCTAGAAGTATCTGATGACAATATATATATTCAACTCAGAAGAACAACAAACCCCATTTTGTAACCTGTTCTTTTAAATGGATTTAATGGTAATTATCTCTTTAGAACAGTTTAGATTGTGATTAGTCTTGGCAGCATTTGAGGAGTTCATACACTTTAACTTTTCAAACTAGGTTCCTCTTCCAGTTTGCTTCAGTACATCCTCTGAGACAGTTTGCTGCAGGCCTGCCACATCCCATACCACCTACCCCTTTATTCCCAAGGGATAGATTGAACCCTGTCTAAGCCATATTTTCTCAGCTAATCTTTCAGAGAAGGGCCTTATTATCTGTGTATTGGGGGACCCCAAGACCACTCCCAGTTTGGTGATTCACAGGACTGAGCATGTAGTTGAATTCAAGGCTAACATTTATTACAGTGAAAAGATTCCAAGCAAAGTCAATAAAGTACAAAGGTGCCTGTAATGAAGTCTGGAAGAAACCAGGCACAAGTTTCCAGAAGTCCTCTCCCAGGGGAGTCACAGAGAACGGACTTATTTCCCCCAGCAACAGATTGTGACAACACCTGTGAAGTGTCCATCAGGGAAGCTCTTTAGACGCTCAGCACCCAAAGTTTTTACTGGGGGCTGGTCACATAGGCCCCCGCTGCCTAGCGCACACCAAAATTCCAGGCTCCCAGAAGGAAAGCAGGTGTTCAGAATAAACCACATTGTTGGCACAAATAGGCTAGACATAGGGGACATTTCCTATCGGTGTAGGGGACTGTGGACCAGCCAAGTTCTCATACACCAGCCGTGGGCACACCTCATAAGCAGGCCTTTCTAAGGATAGCATTCTCAGAACTATGTTAACTTGTTTCTGCACAGCCTGGTTCAGGACCACCCCTAGATGAAACCAAATAAATTACCTACAGCTGTGTCTGTTTTTCAACTATCAATCCAGTGGCATCATTCATATTTGCATCTTCAGGAAGCAGGTGTTATTTTATCTTTGGGTATTTCTAGGCATGGTTTTTAAGACATTTCATCACCCTCATATAATAGAGCCTGCTTGCCTTTCTGGCTTTGAATCATGTATATGAGATTGCTGAGGGCTTAGGATGAATGACTAAAATAACCTGCTGGCATGTTTGCTCATGAAGTCTGGCTTGTACTGTGGCCTTTAGGGATAGTGTAGCTGGTTGTCTTGCTGGCAGCTTCATTGATGTCACCTCACAATAGGAATACTTGAACCTAACAGAATGTTTGTACAGGTTGAATATCTCGTATATGAAATACTTGAGAAAAGTGTTTCCGATTTTGGATTTATTCGGGTTTTGGAATATTTGCATACATGTAATGAGATATCTTGGGACCCAAGTCTAAACACAGAATTAATTTGTTTTATATATACCTTATACACATAGACTGAAGGTAATTTATACATTATTTTTAATAATTTTGTGCATAAAACAAAATGTGTGTACATTGAACCATCAGAAACCAAAGGTGCCACTATCGCAGCCACCCATGGAGATAATCAGTGGTTGTTTGGCATCGCCATGATTCCTGACTCCGAATTTACATGAAAATGATAAGCAATCATTTTCTTTTACCTATTCATACATAAGTACTAAACAGTGGAAGATACGCCATTCCATTAATTCAGTGAAAAAATGGTATGTTCAGGGTAACTAAGCAGCAGAGTAGAATCACTGGACTACCCGTATCAGCTGTTAGACACAGCAGCAGTGGCAGGCTTTCAGTCTCCACCTGCAATGTGGTGTCATGCCAGGGCTCAGAAGTCTTGTCATACCCCATTGTTTGCTGCACTGCCTCACTTGGACTTGGTTAGACTTCTAGCTTTAAAAAATGATATCTTGTCTTTAATTGGTTTTTGTTGATTCTTTTGGCCAGTTCCCAAGTTTTGAACTGAGAAGGAAGGCTGGGTTTGTTGTGCGTGTAGACTTTTGACACAAGTTTGTTCTATGCAACTCTATCCTTTAAGCTCTGTGTCTACTTTTCTTGGTTAGTTTACACTTCGAAAGCAGTAATCGCTTCTCTGAGCAACATGGCAGACTGAACTGGTGTAGAGGCCCACCCTATGCCAAACACTTGGAAATGCTGACTAAATATAATGACATAGTTTATGTATGGCAAAGCTTGAAATCACAAAGAAGGCTATTAACATGTCACTTGCCTGGTAAAAGCATGAGGGAAAAAAGGATAAGGAGTTTTTAAAAATTGAATACTTATCCTCATTTCTAAAGATGGCTCTTTTTTTTTTTTTTTAAGGAAAAGGTGGACAACATATATCTGATATGGGGGAAGAAAGTAGAATTGTCACAAGTAGGAATTACCCTTTTTTGGGGTTTAAATCCTGATAATGTTTTACCGTTCTCTAATCTTCGATCATCTTTTTTTTTAAGTGTTTTTTTCCTCCTGATTATAAAAAGTAGGTATGTGATCATTGAGGAAAATTTGAAAAATACAAATTGGAAATACGAAGAAAAAATAATCTTCCATGTCCCTCCCCCAACATTTCTCAGAGCCAGACTTTTTTTTTTTTTTTTTTTTTTTTTGGCTGAGTCTTGGCTCACTGAAACCTCCACTTCCCAGATTCAAGTGATTCTCCTGCCTCAGCCTCCTGAGTAGTTGGGATTATAGGCGCCCGCCGCCACACCCAACTAATTTTTTTTTTCTTTTTTTTTTTTTTTAGTAAAGACAAGGTTTCACCATGTTGGCCAGGCTGGTCTCAAACTCCTGGCCTCAGGTGATCCACCCGCCTTGGCCTCCCAAAGTACTGGGATTACAAGCGTGAGCCACTCTGCACCTGGCCCCTTCTTTTTTATTAATATTTCCTTTATCATCTTATGAGGCATGGTTTTCTTTTTACATAATTGTCAAAAGTGGAATGTGTAATATATTCCCATTCCCCAATTGTTGCATATATAGGTTGTTACTTTTTTTCTGCTATTACGTATAAAGTTGTGATGATCCTTGTCATAAATCTTGAATCACACCTTCAGTTATTTCCTTAGGGCTAGAGTTGTAGGAATAGAAGGTAGAAAGATTTCTAAAGTGTTTGCTATACTGGTTTACAGCAAGATGATGTGAGTTCCTCTTGGTACCTCATTTATTTGTTTATCTTCTGTCTCCCTACTAGAATATAAGTGCTATAAAAGCAGGGAGTTTGTTTTTCGTCTGCTCTTTCCTCAGTGCATAGAATAGTTCCTGAGGCATTTTAAGACAGTAATTATTTTCTTCTCATCTTTGTTTTATATACATATAAAATACATAAAATGTGTGTTTTACATAATTTAGATTGTATTATATGAGTAAGAGCCCTTTAAAATTTCTGCATACTTGTAATAGGTGAAAATGGCATCTTGCTCTTTTAATGTACATGTAATGATTTATAATGAAAACATTATTAATCGTGAAATTAACATTTCACGTTAGTTGGCTACATGTATTCTACGATTTGTCTTTTCATGTTTTTAGTTTTGTCTATTTATTTCACTGTTTTTTAATTGCTTTAGCTTTGGTTCTTTGGGGGAATATTACTACTTTACTAATATTAGTTTATTAATTTATTAATATTAATGTTGCTATTTGCTTTTTAATTTCATTCCCCTTTGGTCTTTAAATTGGATTTGAGGTATATATTTTTAAAGCATATGGATCTAGTAAATTGATGTGTAATCTTAAATAATATATCCTCCTCTTTGAAGAGAAACGTAAATAGATGGATGAAGATGATGTATTTGAGTTTGGTTTTCATGCATTGGAGTCATGGAGGAGTAAGGAAATTGCTCTTTGCTTTAGGTTGATCTTCTAGTTTATAGTACTCATGTGTAGTCATTTAAGTCATCCCATAATAGAAAAATTGTAATGCCCCTTTTCGAAAAGTCATAGCATTTACGATTAAGGATAATAACATTATAATTTTTAAAGTGCCAGCATTTGGGAATTCTTTAATTATAACTCCCCTTAGAGTGGAGTCAGATACCCAACCATGTGTTATTTTATAGAGACTTTTCACATGATCGAGGCTGTGTTGCCATGAGAAGGAAAGGAACAGTCATTATATCAAAATTAGGAATATAATAGCATGAATTTCAAATGAGGAAAGTAATGAAAGTGTGCATGGGCAAAAATGCCATTTTGGGGAGAAATCTTAATTGATGAGTACCTATTTTTGTTTCTCAGGGATGTTTCGGAAGGATGAAGAACTGACTTCCTCACAGAGGGATTTAGCTGTAAGGTACGTGCCTTTGCATCCTATTCTGCCATGCTTCCTGCGCCCCTGCCTAGGACCCACGTTCCTTCTGTGGCTGAGGCTGACTAGTCCTTCTAGAGGTACTTACTTCTGAAAATCAAGCCTCACTCTCTCCATGCACTTCCCTCCTGCCAAAGCCTGCTGGGCAGGCCTGGGCATCCCTTCTAGGGCTCCTGTAGCACCCTGCCTCTGCGATTGTACATTTGCGCCTCCTATGGGCCACGAGGTTAGCTGCTAAAGTTTTCATCCCTATGAGACTCTGAGTTCCTTGAAGACAGGAGGATAGTATTGTCTTCATGTCTGCCATGTAGTAATTACTGGTAATAATAGCAGCTACCATTTACAGGCCAATAACTTGATGGCAGGTACTGGGCTAAGATATAATACATTAATATAGCACATCGATGCCATATTTTGAAATAATAAAGAACCAGTCAGATAATTCTCATTATTATTTGAGGAATTCATTCTGGGATAAGCTTCTACTTCATTTATTAAAGGCACTCTGATGACTAATCTAAGGAATGGCTTAATTTCACAGTGTCTATCTCAACTAATATAATTTGAGATGGAATACTCATTATACTTAAAGAAAAATTTCCCACAGATTACGTTGTTTCCAAATCTAGAATGAATAAGTGCATAGCTGCTAGAAGAATGAGATTGTTTGTGATATTATTTAGAACTACACTAAGTATTCATCTTTCATCCCAAGTAGCATGTCTTGGGGGTCTTTTTGTATTTTCCTGTCTTTAAAAATGTTCTATTCTGATATCCCCTATAGTCAATCTTTATGTATCAATAAATAGACACTTGAGTAGCTTTCCTGACGAGAGGTTGATTTGGTCTTGGTTCTTTGATCTTTAGGAGCCCTTGTGCCATCCCAGTAGCTATTCATTTACAGACACTCAGCTGCCATTTCCCCTGTGCCTCTCACATCGAGAGCAAATCCCCAGACCTGGGTAACCCCACCTCTTCACCTACCTGAACAGGGGAAGAATGCTGAGTAGAAAAACACTGTCTTGCTGACTGGACTCATTTTGAATTTATTACCCCAATTTAAAATTAGGATCCTTAGTATCGCCAGTAGTACTGCATTTCCTCAGTCCACTCACTTGCCCACACTCTTCTAAGATGATATAGTCTCCTTCCTCCCAGACTTCTAACACACCGTCCCCCATACTCATGTTGGTAGCAAAATTTTATTTTTTGGAGAGAAAAAAAAGCAATCCTACTTTGATTCTGCAACCACCAAATCTCCCATGCTGCCTGAATCTATAACACAGTGCTCTACTTTCTTTCCTGGTGTCAAGTACTAGCTGTCCATCATCTAATCGAAGGCCAGCTTCTCACTGCTGCACGGAGTTCACTTCCTTCTCAAGGATTTAGCTGCGTCAGTTACTCCTGCCTGTTCACTCACTGATTTCTCCCTCTCTGTTGGGCCATCCCCACCACCTGAACAGAACAAGCTCATGACACCTCTCATTCCCTTCTGGCCATCACCCCATTACTGCATGTTCCTTTAGAGGAGCACTTCTTGAAGGCTTTGTCGACATTCAGTGTCTCCCCTCATTCTCCCCTCAGCCCCCTGCATTCAGGTTTTTGTGCCCACTCTTGGTCTGAACTCATTCTTTCAAGATTGCCCTTAATCTTGGCCGATTTCACTGTCAGCCTTTTTACATGATGCTGAACCTCGCAGCATTGGCCAGTTGGCCACTCTTCTGAAATACCTTCTTCACTTCCTTCCAGGACACTCCCTTCTTTCAATTTTTCTCCTCCTTCACTGGCTCTTTCTCTCTGTCTCTTCTGCTGCATCCTCTGCCCCTGCTTCTGCCTTACCACTAGCCTGGCCTCAGCCCTGGACTTCGTTTTCTCCAGGTGGTCACATCCATTGGCTTGAAAGGCCATCTTCGTGTTTGAAGGCTCCTTAATTTATATTCCCGCCCAATCCACTCCCCTCGGCTCCAGCCTCATTTATCCAACTGCCATTTCAAGGTCTTTGTATGGATAGTGACAGGCAGCTCGAACAGAACATGTTCAAAACAGAACTTCTGATTTGTCTCCCTCCTCCTTCCTCCTCCCGCATCTGTTCCTCCACCATTTTCACCCAGTTAGCTAATAGCAGTACCATTATCACTGGTGGCTTGGGGGGACTTCCATTTTCTTACAGCAAATCCATTTCACCAGCAAGTCAAGTTAGCCCTTCCTTTAAAATTAATCTCTAATCTGACTGATTTTCACCTCTTCCACCCGTCACATCCCAGTACAAACCCTCATTTTCTGCTTGGTCTGCTGTGGTAGCTTTCCTTCCTGGCTTCCCTATTTTCTCCCATGCCCTGTGCAGCCTACTTTTCAGCTAGCAGCCAGGGAAGCTTTTAATGTGCATTGGATTATATTACTCCTGTCCCCTGATGAAAATCCTCCAGTGGCTTCCCCTATAATTTAGAATAGAATTACAAACCCCTGACCACAGCATTATAAGGCCCAGGAAGAGCCCAGAGCTCGACCACGCTTCCTCACTCAATTCATTCTTAACTGTGCAGCTCACTCTATCAAAAATACCCCTCCCTTCCTGCCATCACTTTCCGTCCCTTTGCTCCGCTTTGTTTTCCTCATAGTAGGTATTACTGTCTGATGTTATACAAGACATTTGTTTTAATTGTCCCTCTCCCTGCCCCTGTCACTGAGGACAGGAACTTTGTCTCATTTATTGTCCCCATCATCCAAACCGTGGTCATTATTTGGAGTGATTTCGCCTCCAAGAGTCAGCTGACAATGTCTAGACACTTTTGGTTGTTACTGCTGAGGCGGGTGGTGCTACTGGCGTCCGGTGGGTAGCGCCTAGGGGTGCTGCTAAACACCCTGCACTGCACAGGGGACCCCACCACAGAGAATCATGGGCCCAAAGTGTCAATAATTCTGTACACGAGAAGCCCAAGCTTGAGACAACACATAGTTGATATGAAATAGCAATGGAATGAATGAATGAGTCTTTTGTTTGATATTATACATTACAATTAGACTTAAGTTCTCATTTTATAAATAAATACAGTTACTTACTTCGGTACCTAAAATGACTTGTTGTTTGATATGACAGTTGAGCCAAAAATTACTTAAGCCAGTTTCATGGTTTAGAACTATCTCCTGTCCTTGCTAACGGTGATACATAGTTTGACTTGGTGTTAAAATAATTGGTATTGAGAATGGAGCTCTGCTGCTAGAGTACAAGGAGTTCTTTTGTAACCTTGTGACTGCAGGGTACTTACCCTGGTCTTTGATACAGTGAGAAAGCATGCTGTTTCATCATTAAATAGAAAGAACTGAAAGAGAAAATCTGCCAGAAACATTTTCTGTCATCAGTTTCAAGCCCTAAAAAGAAAATACTTAAGGTTCAAGACATTTTTTTTTTTTTTTTTTTTTGAGACGGAGTCTCGCTCTGTCGCCCAGGCTGGAGTGCAGTGGCGGGATCTCGGCTCACTGCAAGCTCCGCCTCCCGGGTTCACGCCATTCTCCTGCCTCAGCCTCCCAAGTAGCTGGGACTACAGGCGCCCGCCACTACGCCCGGCTAATTTTTTGTATTTTTAGTAGAGACGGGGTTTCACCGTTTTAGCTGGGATGGTCTCGATCTCCTGACCTCGTGATCCGCCCGCCTCGGCCTCCCAAAGTGCTGGGATTACAGGCGTGAGCCACCGCGCCCGGCCAAGGTTCAAGACATTTTTAAAAGTGGAAAAATAATTCTGGAAAAGTTAGAAAAGTAGTTTGGGCTGAGTGGTAACCCAGATAGTATCAGATGGACAGGAATCACTATTTTGTTCTATTTAATTTATCAAAGAAAAATAATATATGCTAAGCTAGGCAAGGTGGTGTGTGCTTGTCATCCCAGCTACTCAGGAGGCCAAGGCAGAAGGATTGCTTGAGCTCAGGAGTTTGAGTCCAGCCTGGGCAACATAACAAGACCTAGCTCTTTAAAAAACTGTTTATGAGGGTATTCTCTCAACCTCTCTTGTCCACAAGAGTGTTTGTATTTTTTAAGGAGAGAGCTTATCATATTCAGAGAGGAGCATGGACTGTAACATGTTCAAGAAGCCTGCCTGCTGTCCACAGGTGCAGTTGTGCTTTCTTTGTGATGGTTTATCATTAACAGTGGACAGTAGGCTTTCTTAATGCAGCTGTTTTTTTTAAATACACTCCTTATTCATTTATATGGTAACATAAATAGTCTAAATAGTCTCCTGTGTTAACTACCCATTTTCACTGTTACCCATAGGTACCATGTATCATTTGGACAGACCTCTAAGGAGTGGAATTGACTTGACTCCCTTTTCTCCTCCACCTCACAGCCAATCCCTCCGCAGCCTTCAGGCTCCACTGCCAGGATACGTGCAGAGCATCTGCCCCCTCCTCCAGCCATTGTCACCTCCTGCCTGGAGACCGCAGGAGCCCCACACATGGGCTGGAGTGACGCATTGAGACAGATCTTTTAAACCCCTGCTGTGTTTTTTCATTTCAGTCAGAATAAAATCTGAAGTTCCTGCCATGGCTTGTAAGGCAAGCCCCATCTGATCTCACCTCAGCTGTCTTCCCTGCTCCCACCTCTTCCCCCGGGTCCACTCTGCTCCAGCCCCACGGCTGCCTTGCTGCCAGCCGTGCCCAGCTCAGGGGTCTTCACGCATCATTCCCTCTGCCTGGAACCCCTGTCACCAACATCCACACAACTCCTCTCACTTCTTCCTGGTCTCTGCTCAACTGTCACCTTACCAGAGAGGCCTTCTCTGACTTCTTAATAGAATAAAAGAGTTCCTTCTTTTTGTAACACTTAGCACTTCTGAAAATATGTTTTATAAATTTTATTATTGTTTTCTGCAACCAGTATGCAAGCTCTGTGGATGCAGGATTGTCCTCTCCTTTGTTTACTGCCGTATCCAGGCCCTGCAGCAGGTGGGGCACACAGTGCACAGCACGTGTTTGTTAGAAGAGCAAATGATTGCCTAGGAGGAGACAGCACTTTGCAGATAGTGCGTCCATCTTTGATTTGTCTCATCGTGAGAAATCTAAGTTGAAACCTTCATATTTGCTCATAAGGATCTGTATAGAAACTCTTATTCAGACATACTTTTGAGCATGACTATGTTCTGATCCTTAAAATTCTTATTGTATGGGTACAAATGAAAATGAAAGCTTGTTTTACTTTGGAAATGGAGAGCAGTGAGGTGGATCGTTATTCTATCAGATGTTCTGAAGCTTATGCTGCATCTCACTGGTTGCATGTCTTTTCATTGCAGGCGCATGCCAAGCTTACTGGAGTATTTGAGTTACAACTGTAACTTCATGGGGATCCTGGCAGGCCCACTTTGCTCTTACAAAGACTACATTACTTTCATTGAAGGCAGATCATACCATATCACACAATCTGGTGAAAATGGAAAAGAAGAGACACAGTATGAAAGAACAGAGCCATCTCCAAATGTAAGGTCATGAGATTTATCTGGAGCCTTTACAGCATGTATTGGTTAGTCTTATTTAAAGATACAAATATTTTCACATTGTGAACTTATCCATCTGTTTCTTTAAAAATACTTTTCAAGATAAATAACTTCACACTGCACCTGGTAGAAGTACAGTCATGATTAAGAACACAAATAAGGTCACTTGAGAAACTATGTGGTAAATTCCTCAGTGAGAATAATGCTTTATGGTTATAGGGGATTTTACAAGAAAGCTCTTAGCATGGAATTGGCCAGCCTAACAATTTTCCAGGCTCCCTTCCCCCTTCCCCCTTCCCCCTTTCCTTCCCTTCCTTTTCTTTCTTTCTTATTTCTTTCTTACCTATGCCTTGTGTTCCAGCAGATTGTAAACACTCTGTATCCTCCATTTCTTTTTTGCTTTCCCTCTCCTCTTCTTAATTATTGCAAGTTGAAATCTTTCTTCTCTTTAAAAGCCTACTTCAAATACCACCTTTTTCCACAAAACAGCTCCTGATTCCCACAATGAAGAGATTAGTAATATGATAAAGATATTAATAATAGCTAACACTTTGACAGTGCTCACCATGTGCCAGGCACTGTGGTGTGCACCTCACACGTAGTTACTCTTTCAGCCTTCACAGCATTCATACAAGGTAGACACTGTTTTTCTCACCATTGAGGAAACTGAGACTCAGAGGCTAAGTGATTTGACCAAGATTCCCCAGGTTGGCAGTAGAACTGGAATTCAAACCAGTGCAATCTGGTTTCAAGTCTATGCTAAGTTGCCTTACAACCAAACATAATGTTTATTTTCTTTAAGCCACTGGGGCACTTGAAATTGCTGGGATGCTGCTTCATAAAGAAAGGCAGTGAGGCTCTGTATAGGCTAAGTTTCTGTTAGATTTCATCTGGTAAAATCTATAAAGTTTCCATGAAAAAGAATAGGCCAATCAGGAAGTCTGTGAGATGAAGGAAAGGGGCTGGTGTGTTTTCTGTGAATGTAGGGCTTAGAGCAAGGGGTCACCTTCTTTCTCCTGCAAATCTACCACCCTCCACTGTGTGGGCAACAAAGAGTCAATGTAGAAATGTACCTGCACTTGCAAAAGATAGTATATTACCTCTTTCCTACCATGTCGCTCATTGTATTTTATACCAAAAAGGTGTTTTGTCTTCATATTTTCTATTACTGGTTAAGTGTTGAGAAATGTCATATCAAACTGAGTGGGATTCCAGACTTGAAATTGGTGTCTCTTCACTGACTGTTTTGTATCTCCAGGATGACCACTTAATCTTTTAGTGGTCTCCCTGCTGTAAGAGAAGGTAAAGACAATTGTAGACAGCTTCTTAGAAGTTTATTCGGGAATGCTGGAAGGAGAATAAAAGCCTAGGAGTCAAGATGCTGGACTGTCAGTGACCAGTTTGGCTCATCATTTCGGCACATCACTTAATGTGTATGAGTCCTTGTCTGCAAAAGGAGAATCTTAATGTCTTCCCCATTTTACAGACTGTATGAAGATCAAATGACTTTGTAAAATACTTGAAAATATCAAATGTTATAAAAGTGATAGTAGTAAATCAAACTTGACAAAGAATAATACAAATGTATATATTCTATCACTTCACTGAGTTTTTATGGGTTTTACTATCATAAAATATCACTTTCCTCTTTTGGGTTATAGACATCCTAAATCAGAGGTTGTTGATAATGGCAAATATTCTTCATGTATTTTCCCACCATTTTAATAATATATTTTATTTAAATTTCACGTGCATATACTTTATAAAGTCAAATAGTGGTAGTTAGTCATAAGTCCCTCAAGGGGCATTTGGAAGCTCCTTGTGCATCAGTGAAGTGCATAGATGCTCAGGATCCTAAGGAGGATGCTCACGGAGCCCACTGGCTCTTCTGTTGGGGACCTCTCCACTGTTCTCTCCTCTATCTGCATCAGTTAGGATATGGGTTTGGCTGCTGAAACAAGGACCAAAATAACAGGAACTTAAACAAGGTGGAAATTTGTTTTTATGTTATATGTGGGACAGCTCACCTGTAAGCAGTGCATTGATAATATGGGGGCCCCAAAGTGTTAGAGATCCAAGCTCCATCTTCCCTGTACATATTACTTTTGCTCATATCCTATTGGCCAGAACCTAATCATATAGCCACACTCGGGTGCACCAAAGGCTATGATGTGTCATCTTTAGCTAGACTTCCAAGCACCCAAGAGAAACTTCCTTTTCTGTGCAGGAAGGGGAGGAGGGCTCCTGGGAAACACTTGGCAGTCTCTGTCATGATGTCTGTAGGCTATTTCTCTGGGGCTCTTTGGTTTTTTGGGTGAAGGATTCTCCAGTTTTCTGCCTAGGGCATACAAACTTGACTGCTGGGACTCTGGGTCTGGGCAGGGGAAGGGGGCTGAGGATATCACCTCTCAGGATACAGGCTGTTTTCGTGTTCTTTACATTTTCGTTGCAGCACCATATCCCTGCCCTACTTCAGAACCATATAGTCTCGTGGCCACAGTACTTCTTATTACATTACTAAAATGATAAGCCTCATTTTAAAATTAAAGTATGGGGCCATTTATTTCACCTTGCTTCATTTATAATTACAATTTTTTTCTCTACCATTTTAAAATCTCATAATTCAAATGTATAGGTAAGATATTTGGGAGGCACTGAAGAAAGAGTAGCCTTATTTTATTAAAGAAAGGGATAAAAGACAATGGAAAATGAGAATAACAACTGCTGCAAGGAGTCCTTGAACACTGAGTTCCACCTCGCAGGAGCAACCAATAATAAAATACTGTTCTCAGAAGTGCAGTGCATCCGGCATATGCTTTGGCTCTTGTCTTGGAGCTTTTCTTCTGGCACTATTATATAAAGTGTTAAAATGTGGAGCTTCATTGATAAATTACTGCAGTTAATTTGAATACTATTTGGTTACTGTATAGAGCACTTCTAAATCCAGATATTTTGTTGCATACTTCATCTGGATCTAGCCTTCTCTTCGCTTGTTTCTTTTTCTTCCTAGCCTATATAATCTCTTTTATACCAAATGAAGTTGAAATATTCTGGCCTTCTACAAATATAAAAACAGCATGAGTTGTAAAAATACAAAATACCATGAGTTGGTGATGCGACCTTACCGCACTATTGCTAAGAATAGCCTCTTCCTTTCACCAGGGTCTTTTATGCAAATTCTTATTCTTCTCAGGTGTATAGCTCTTTTGGTTTTTATTATTCTTGAACAAAGTTGTGTTAACTTTCAGATTTACAGAGATGCATAGATTGTTTATTGTAAAAATAACATCCATGAGATGCCTAGAATTTGGAAAATACAGAAAAGACACAATGGAAAAAATATATATATCCATATAAAATTTATTGCCAAAAGTAATTAGTGTTAATTTTTTATATTCACTTCCATTCACACCAATACACTTATGCTTGCTTTTAGATTTTTTTATTTCCTGAAAATTCTGAATACAAAATGGAGATTTTAGTATGAGTTGAGCAATAACCCCTAGGTAGTACTTATAGATACAGTTGGAAAAGTTCATACCATGAGACCATGGAAGACTTTAAATGCCAAGTGCAATGTAGCTCTTGAATTTTGACCAGGAGAGTTGTAGGACTGATGATCCATTCAGGAAGATTAATCTGTCGATAATACATAGAATGAATTAAAAGGAGCATGGATAAAGTTGATGAAGTCTCGCCTTGCGCTTTTCAGACTGCGGTTGTTCAGAAGCTCTTAGTTTGTGGGCTGTCCTTGTTATTTCACTTGACCATCTGTACAACATTACCTGTGGAGTACAACATTGATGAGCATTTTCAAGCTACAGCTTCGTGGCCAACAAAGATTATCTATCTGTATATCTCTCTTTTGGCTGCCAGACCCAAATACTATTTTGCATGGACGCTAGGTAAGTAACATGTAAATAGATTTCCCTGTGTCTGGTTGAAGCGTTTCTTACCTTGTCGATAGATTGCTATCAGTGCGCCCTCTTGAGGATACATAAAGACCAATTGGAAAAATTAAGTCATCTGTGTAGAAAAAACAGCCCTCGCAACTCATATGTAAGTATATTCTAAAAACTGAATCAATTTTATTATAATACAAAATAAAAATACATGGATCAATGAAAGACAACAGATATTTGTTGAATGCATATTATATTCTAGATTCAGTGCTAGCCAGGATAGATACGAGTATGTATAAGACATAGTTCTTATCCTCCAGATGGTTATAATTTAGTATGATTGTATTCAGCTTACAGTTATGATACCTGTTAAATAGACCATTAGCCATAGTATAATATGATCAGTAGTTTATCAGCAAAGTGAATAAAATGATATTGGCACATTGATAGGGGGTCATCAGTTATGCTTGGCAGGTAGAACAAATTTTAGAGAAAAGATAACATGCAATCGTGGCTTTAATTGAATGTGGGCCAGTTATGGTGGCTCACCCCTATAATCCCTGCACTTTGGGAGTTCAAGGTGGGAGGATCACTTGAGGCCAGGAGTTCAAGACCAGCCTGGGCAACATAGTGAGACCCCTCTCTCTACAAAAAGATTTTTAAAAATCAACTAGGCCTGGTGGCATGTGCCTGTAGTCCCAGCTACTTGAGAGGCTGGGGTGAGAGGACCGCTTGAGCCTAGGAGTTTGTGGCTGCAATGAGCTATGATTGCACCCCTGCACTGCAGCCTGAGCGACAGAGTGAGGTTTTAATATGAGTTGAGCAATAACCCCTAGGTAGTCTCAAAAACAAAAACAAAAAGATGGAATGTGATTTCAGCAAGTGGAAAATGGCTAGTTTTGCACTCATGAGCAAAGAGACATGGAGGTACCTCGCTTTGCGTGGCAGATGTTAGCAGGGGCATGTGGGAAGGAGGGACCTGGTCAGGTGAAATGGGCTTTCACAGGACCTTGCCTGCTCTGCTGAATTAGCCACAAAAGGCTTCAGGCAGGCTGATGGCCTGATCCTGTGGCAGAAGAAGATGATTCTGGCCACGTTTTGAAGGTTGGACTAAAGTAGAGAGAATGCTTCATTGGATAAATTGAAACCTCTTTTATATATGTATTGTCTTTTTATCTCACCCACAAGATTATAAACTCCTTTATTCTTAAGATTGTGTTCTGCTTGCCTTGTTTATATTTGTTACTCAACAAATATTTGAATGAATGCACAAAGAAACACATCAGCCAATAATTAGGCCTCTAAGGATTAGCATTTTACTGTCGGTTTTATTTTGATTACAGTGAAATACAGTTTGGGGCTGGATTCATTATTTTCAGTCTTTCATCATACAGCTGTGCACAATAGCATCATTAAAAGTTGCTGTAACCTAGTGAGTTAATGGCCAATTAAAATATGTTACCTTATGGATTTTAATCTAAGATTTCTTTAAGGATTGAACATTTTTATTGTAGCCAAATTTAGACATCAATAATACCGAATTAAATTCCTGTACTACTTAAATTCTGACTTTAAATTGAGACTGAGAACTTTCCTAAACAAACCTGGTATTTTTAGGGTTTTGTAAGAATTCTGACCTGTTGGTTGAATCGCTAGATTCATAGAATATGAGAGTTCTGCATGTTTTTGGATTCGGTTGGACATCTAGTTGTTGGAAATCTTATCAATAGAACGAGGTCCTTGAATTTATAAGGCTTTTGAGAAAAATCACAAGATCTCTGTAAATATGTAAAAATATACAAGATTTATCATTAGGCCGGGCACGTGGCTCATACCTGTAATCCCAGCATGTTGGGAGGCTGAGGAAGGAGGATGACTTGAAGCCAGAAGTTTGAGACCAGCCTGAGCAACATGGTGAGACCCCATCTCTTCAAAAAAAATTTTTTTAATTAGCCAGGTGTGGTGTTGCACACCTGTGGTCCCAGCTACTCAGGAGTCTGAGGTGGGAGTACCGCTTTAGCCAGGGAAGTTGAGGCTGCAGTGAGCTGTGATCGCACCATTACACTCCAGCCTGGGTAACAGAGTGAGACCCTGCCTCAAAAAAAAAATCAACCAAATTTATCATTAATTTTTTATTTGCAATTATGACAATTAAAATGATTCTTAGGGTACTTCTGATCCTCCGACCCCAATATTTGGTTTGAAAAATGAATCTTGTGCATTTTTACATATTTACAAACCAAAGGTGAGTTAATTCCTTTTCCCTGATTCTTCCTTAAAGAAATAATCATATTAGAATATATATGAATGACAATTTGAAATTGAACTATATTTAAAGAATTTAAAGAATTTTTAGCTGTAAGGCAATAAAGTTATTCCATGCAATAAATACTTGTACTATGTCTGTACTGTCTTAACACAAGTAATGGTTGAGTTCCTGGTAATGGTTCAGCGCTGAGGTTCAGGTTTCAACTCTGTCAGTGGAGAAGCCAGCTGAGGCTCAGCATGCATGTGCCCACGTTCATCTCCACCCCTGTCACCTTTTTGTAATTGTCCATTTGGTTGTAAAATTGGAGTTTAATGATCTCTGGAGGTCCAAAAATCTGTTTTTTGGGAAGTCCAAGAGTTCCAAAATTCTTTAACTTTGTTTTTGTATTTTACTAATAATTTATAAAAATAGTATGAATGTATTCTGGATCATATGGACAGTTACTTTCTGATTTTTGTATCCACATGTACATTTTTCAAATTATAATTTCATGGATACTAGTGGCTAGGCAGACTATATTTAATTCCTTAATTCAGGCTTCTCAAAATGGGAATCAGGCTTCTCATCTCCACAGCCCTGTGGCCCTGCCCTTTTCTCCTTATCACCTCAAAAAAATGATTTACTGGGATCTGAGCACTTTTTTTCCCTTTAACTCAAGTTTGAAAAACATTTAGTCCATGTAGGGACAGATTAAAGTTTAAATTGATGTTAATGGTCAGTTATTTGGAATATCTCTATATAATGACAACTTGGAAGCTCTCTCAGGATTTACATTACCTGAGGTAAAGATTAGGCAGGGTCTGTGGTGGGAGACTGGGGGGCAGGGGAACATGGAAGGTGGACTCCTGCAGTTTGATATCCCCAGTTCTCTTCTTGTTTCGTTGCTGTTGACCATACCCTGGGCCAATCTTGTTGTCACTTGTGAAGTTGGTTAGGAGTTTCATTGCTCTTAGATCACAGTAGGCTAAAAAAGATGGAGAGGATGAATACATGAACAAATCAGAAGTGTTGGCAACCATGAGGGAGGGAAGGAGTTCCCCAGCAGCCATTTCTATGGGTATGCTGCCCATGCGGTTAATAGATTTTTAATTCTGTTGAATATGTTACTATGCTAGCAGGCTTACCTTAGAGGCTCATATTTATGTGAATTGAACAAAGGCGGCTGACCTCATTAAACCTGACAGAGGAGTAAATCTTGTTTATTCTTTTCCCCCAAAGTGTAATTTTTAAAGGATTTTGTTTGATGTACTAAAAAGCACTAATAAACAATAAAACAATTTAAGGATACATGTCTGTATAGGTATATTATTTTGCTGGGCTTTGATGGATTTGTTTGTTTTTTCTTTGGTCATGATACAAATAGCATGAACAATTTTCCAGTTGATTGGAAAAGGGCTTATTTGAGGCAGAAATTTTTTTTGCAGCTTAAGCATGTACATAAAGCAAAAATAACTAATTGAGCATTGTGGTGAAAAGGATTAGAAAACAAATTCTGGGTCGGGTGCGGTAGCTCTTGCCTGAAATGCCAGCACTTAGGGAGGCCAAGGTGGGAAGATGGCCTGAGGCCAGGAGTTCGAGACCACCTTGGCAACATAGTGGGACCCCCATCTCTACAAAAAAAAAAAAAAAAAAATAGGCATGATGATGTGCACCTGCAGTCCCAGCTACTCAGGAGGCTGAGACAGGAGGATTGCTTGAGCCCAAGAGTTCAAGGCTGCAGTGAGCTATAATCCTGCCACTCCAGCCTGGGCAGTGACACAGGGAGACCCTGTCTCTATTTTTTAAAAATTCTAGAGACATATACACAGAGTAGGTTCTGGTGAACCAAGAAAGAAAAAAAATGGAAGGAAAATATTATGCCTCACTTATATATTATTGTTTATAGGACACTTCAAATATATGATTAAAAAGAACATGGTGCTCCCAGAGCAAAAACATCCCCTTAGCAACTTCTTGGCAGCTGGTTGAGCGTACTCTGCTGTGTTCCAGTGGCACAGCTAATGTTGGGGAGCGTTTCCTGTTCGAGTCTTCACCTTCACCTATTGGTCCTCAGCAGCTTTTAAACTCTACCCGCCCCCAACTCATGCATGATGTCTCATGTATTACTGACTAACCAAATTGTCCTAGATATGTTATTTTCATTGTATGCGATGTTGTTTCTGACTTAAAAATCAGAATAAATCTACTTTTACTGTTTAAGAATAAAAGATATAATAACACATACCTTCTGGGAGAATATGGTAAATTGTTATGGAGATTCTTAATACTTTTTTCTAATGTTGTTTTCTATAGCTGATGCCATTAATAATGCTGCAGGCTTTGGTTTCAGAGGGTATGACGAAAATGGAGCAGCTCGCTGGGACTTAATTTCCAATTTGAGAATTCAACAAATAGAGGTGAGTCAATCTTTAAGAAGTTAGTTACTATATACTTTAAGTACCATAGTTTGCTTTCATAAGTTATGGTGTGATGTCCTAGGAGTGGTATTGAAGGTTTTTTAATATTAACACTCATTCTTTCATTTAACCAATACATATTGGTCGTCAACTATGTGCCCTGGGCACTGGAGACAAGGAATAAGATAGGTGCAATTCAGGCCCTCATGGAGCTTTAGTTTCCTAGAGGTTACAGAATAAGGTAAAACAGGTGGTGATCAGAGAGGGGTAAGGCATGTGGGTATTCATGAAATAGGAATCCAGGTTAGTTGAGGTGTTTGGGGGAAGAGAGTCCTAAAGAAAATGATGCTTAAGCTGAGTCCCAAAGAAGTAAGAGACAACCGGACACTCCAAGTAGAGGGAGCAGCCTGGGAGCCGAGAGCTGTGCAGCTCATGTTGCTTCATAGTTTAGGGAGTCATGAAGGATGAGGTTGGGGAAGTGGAGGCCAGGCAGCCACACTCTTACAGGCCATATTAAGAGTTTTGATCTTTCTTATAAGAGCAATGGGGCACTGCGGATGGATTATATGTGTAGCCAAGTGAGGTGATCATATAGGTGTTTTAGAAGGATCTGGCATGTAGAATGTATTTCCCTCAAGAGGCAGAGAGCTCTGTTAGGAGGATGTTTTGTTAATCCAAGATAATGGTGACCTAAACCATATACTGCCAGTGGGGCTAGAAACATATAAATATATTGGAGAGATGTGTAAGAGACTCAACAGAATTTGGTGATAAATTGGGATCAGCAAGAGAGAATGAGTTATGAATCAGGCCCAGAAATCTGGTTTAAACATCTAGGTTTATGGTGATAGCTTCCACTTAGATAAGGAACAGAGAATAGATATGAGTTTGAAGGGACAGATAATATCTTCAAATCACAGACTTAGTGAGTTGTCCACGAGGCAGATCATGGTCAGACACTCAGCAGAGGCACCCGAGCTTGAGAGTGAAATCTGGGAACTATCAGCACGTGGCAGTTCAGGCCCTGGAGGAGAGAATCAGAAGAGGTGAGAGTCTCTAAAAGAGCACCAGTACTGAGAGGCTGGGCAAAGGAATTCAGGAGTAGCCAGAAAGAAAAAAGGAGAAAACCAACAGGGCTCTGTGGCTCACACCTGTAATCCCAGCACTTTGGTAGGCCAAGGCAGGCAGATCATTTGAGTTCAGGAGTTTGAGACCAGCCTGGGCAACATGGCAAAACCCCATCTCTACAAAAAATACAAAAACTAGCTGGGCATGGTAGTGAGCACCTGTAGACCCAGCTACTCAGCAGGCTGCAGTGAGCCGTGATCGTGCCACTTGCACTGTAGCCTGGGTGACACAGCAAAACCCTGTCTCAAAAAAAAAAGAAAACCATTGTTTTGCTAGCCTGCGAAAAGGATCATTCCAACATTCCAAATAGAAGAGATTACTAAAACTTGAGGTGAAGAGGCCAAGCTGGATCCTCTGATGAGCCCTAATATTGCTAAAAGTGGGCAGTCAGGCAGTAAGTGCCCGAGACGGGATGCCATAAGAAATGCAGGCCATCACTGAAGTGTGCTGAGATAACCAAATCTGAATCGGATTTCTAGATACTTACAAATTTAGAGGGGATGTGGAGTATAGAGGGTAAGTTAAACACCAGATCAGATCAAAAGTGAGAAGTTCTATGGGACATATGACCCAAGCTGTTACAGATTAAAAGAGGCTTTGGCCAAATGCACTGTATGAACTTTTTTGGGATGCTGATTGACCAAACCAACTGGAAAAGACTTTTCTAAACAATCAGGAATATTTGAATACAAAGGGGGATTAGATAATGTTGAGGAATTATTAATTTTGTTTGATCATGGTCTTTTAAAAAGTCTTTATTTATTGGACATATATTCTGAACTAATTGCAGGTGAAATAAGTCTGGTATTTGCTTTGAAATATTCTTAACAACAATGTTGGCAATAAAAATGGAGAAGGAGAGGGAAAAATTGATCATTGTTGAAGTTGAATGATGGATATAGCAGTGTTTCTCACCTTTGTTTATTATTAACACCTTAAGAGGACTTTTGAGACACTCTTTTCCTAATAATTTCCCCCCTGAAATTTTAATACCACAGATACACTGTGTATCTGTATACCTATTGATACACTACTGTATGTATATATGTTCTTTATACATAAAAAAAGATATTTTTGCCCCTTAAGAACGAATTTTCATCTCCTGGGGGCGATATCACCCCTGCTGAGAGTGCATGGCATGAGAAAAAGTAAAGAAAGGAGTTAATTTTTCTGAAGGAAAAAATGGTCATCAATGCTAAGTGCCACTGAGATACCAAGTAAGAGAAGGACATAAATGCCTTTATCATTTATGGTTTTATTTATTTATTTATTTATTTATTTGAGACAAAGTCTCGCTCTGTTGCCCAGGCTGGAGTGCGGTGGCGCGATTTCGGTTCACTGCAACCTCTGCCTCCCGGGTTCAAGCGATTCTCCTGCCTCAGCCTCCTGAGTAACTGGGATTCCAGGTGCCTGCCACCACGCCCGGCCAATGTTTGTATTTTTAGCAGAGACAGCTTTTCACCATGTTGGCCAGGCTAGTCTCGAACTCCTGACTTCAGGCGATCTACCCACCTCGGCCTCCCAAAGGGCTGGGATTACTGGCATGAGCCACCGTGCCCATCCTTGTTTATGGTTTTATGAACAACCGTTTCAGGAGAGGGATTGGCATAAAGGCCAGATTACACAACTCCTAGGAGTTCATTCCCCGTAAAGGGAAGAGGGTAGAAATAGGGCAGTAGCTGAGGGGAACAGGGAATTGAGGGGAGCTGTTTGTTTAATTTTGTTTTAAAATGGAGAGAGTAAAACATATTTAGTGATTAGGAGATTATTTGGAGGGGAGAGTGTGAAGCTTCTCCTACAGTTGAAGGAGAGAGACCTATTGATTGAAGTCCCGGAGAAGATGGAAGTGGAGACATTGGCCCTAAAGGAGAAGGACCACTTCTCCTGTTATAAAGACAGGAAGGAGGGCAGGATAAGTGTGTGTGCAGCTGAGTGTGTAGTTCGATGATGAGAATTTGGAGTCTGATGATTTTATATCATCTCTGTAAAGTAGGAGGCCAACTTACCTGTTGTGAGGGAGAAAGGAGGTGATAGGACCAGAGATATAGATGGGGTATTAGGTTGAATCATGCGAAATTGCTGACACTTACCTCTTCTTGACTTTATTTTGAAAAAAAAGAGAAAAGAAAATTTCAAATGGTTCAGTCCAGTAGCTTTTTTCAGGAAGAGGAGAATGAACTGTCTAGGAAAACAGGATTGTAGGTGAGGGCTCAGTCGTGGTGGAGAACCATGAACTTAAGACAAAGGTCTGAAATGTGGTGATACTCTGCACTCAGCGCACAAATGTTACCAGTGGGGAAAGTGGACGGTGTGTTTGATCTGGAATTAGGGTTTTGATAGGGAGGTGAATGGAAAGGAAAAAGAAACAGAAGCATTGAAGATTCTGACATAAGAGTAGTAATTTACATAAGGGAACACAAAATCTAAAATGGTCAGAAGTGAAGACCAGAGGAGGAGAGAGTTACATAGGATAAAAGTAGACAGGGTGGGAGATGAAAGGCCCCCTCTGAGATCAAAGAATAGCTTTAGTGGGAGTAACTTGAGAGAGGAAGCTGGGAAGGTGGGATGCCCTGTGAGACCTGGGTGTGCAGATCCACTCTTTCAGGGGCAGCACAGCCAGGCAGCGCCAGAATTGAGAGTAGCCAGGGCACCGAGAGACGATGGCAGGGCAGGATGTCGCGGTGGATGTCTGCTTCACCCAGGACCATGGCGGAGCTTGGCGGGAAGGAGGTAACAAGGTGGGCGCCCCAGTTTTCAGTGTGAGAGGGAGGCCATCAAAAGGCATTTGTACACATTCTCAGGAATGTCTTTGGAAGAAATCCATGACATCCCTTGTAAATGTTAACATACAAGAGAAAATGGTGATAATCCATCACCTCATAGATGTTCCCAACAATAAATAAACTTGTCTTACGTAGAATGATGTTACCACATTAGAAAAACAAGATTAAGGAAAGAGAAATCACTATACTACCATCGATGTTAAGTAATTTTTGTTTTTATTTTTTAGCATAATAATATATTATTATATTTAAAGCTTCATTATTTTGTGACACAAAGAAAAAAGTTTCCTTTTTTTTCAGATGTCAACAAGTTTCAAGATGTTTCTTGATAATTGGAATATTCAGACAGCTCTTTGGCTCAAAAGGTGCGTTCCTTCAAAAACGATCTTTAGATGTGCTTTGGCGTCTAGTTCTCGAGGTTGAGCTTCATTGAGTTCAGGTTCTTGATTAAATTAACGGTGTTGAGTGACATTGTGACCTCAGTGTCAGCCGGGAAACACTGTTAGCCTCCTCCTAAGCAAGTCAGTATCGAATGAGAACTATTTTGGCTTGAGTCACGAATGCAGCTATCCTGCAGGTGCAGCTATCCTGCCCTCTCAAGCCTCCTTTAAAGGCCTCTGCCAATGTCAGAGGTCACCAGTATCCTCCTTTGCAGCTCCTGATTGTGTTCAGTAGAGATGTGGTTTAAATTAACAAGTGCCTGCACAAGCACAGTACTTATGCCTGGGTACTCCAGAACAGTCCTGGTTTTAAATATTTCAATTCAACAAATCTTTATTTGTTAGGCAAGGGAAACAAACATGAGTAAGATAAAAAGACTCAGCTCCTGAAAGTGAAAGAGTTCACAATTTTATTAAAGACACGGTGGTGTAATCAGACACATGCTGTTCCCTGTGGTGAGGATGAGGAGAGAGAAAGCAGGAACAGCGAGGGCACAGAGGGATGCGGGAAGAACTTCCTACAAGTGTGGGTGCTTGAGCTGAGGTTTGTGTCAGGAGCGTGTCTCGTGAACAGGGCAAGGTAGAGGCAAGCCAGGCTGGGTGGAGTAACAGGTGCGAAGGACAGAGCTGGGGAACAGCACACCCTCCCAGGGGTTCTCTTATCGTCCCTGTGAGCACATTGCCCTATCTTGAATTTACTTCATAAAAAACGGCCCCTATAACGATACGGTGATAAGCAGCCTTTTTTTATAGTGTCCTTTTTTAAATGACAAATTAAACATCTTTATCCCTTGAGATGGCTAGCATACGCTGTCATCTCTTCACAGTGCCTGGCAGTCTCCCCAGTGGCTGCAGATCCTCTGAGCTAATCTGTTGTGTTATTTTTTGTTATTGTTATAATTTAAATTTGATACCTTAGGGAAACTTTATTTTCAGCTGAGTTCTCTATCCCTGTCATAGAAGAATTGTAGACTAAGCACAGTCTATCTGCCGGAAGGAGTAGTGTTATTAGGTCAGTTGAAAGTTATTGATTTTTTTTAAATAAAATAATGTAGGATAAAAGCAACCTTACTCTTTTTGTAAATTGTATAGACTCCCAAATACTAGAAATGATCATTTAAGTTACTATATATACCAATATATATACTATATATACCAATAAGAAGATGAGAATTAACTTTATGTTCCTAAATTTGACACTTAATAGCTATAGCCTCCCTGAGATCATAGAGAAGTGATTGCCTAAGATAAGTTGTATTTGTTTTTCTAGTTACCCTAAATCCTGTCAGGTAATAAAAGAATGATCATTGCAGGCTTTGTAAACTCGGGTCACTCACTCCACTTGGCTCTCCATGTTTTTCATGGTTTCTAGGGTGTGTTATGAACGAACCTCCTTCAGTCCAACTATCCAGACGTTCATTCTCTCTGCCATTTGGCACGGGGTATACCCAGGATATTATCTAACGTTTCTAACAGGGGTGTTAATGACATTAGCAGCAAGAGCTGTAAGTATCAAGAATTTTATTTTACAATTCAATGGTCCACTTGAACTGTTAAAAAGGCTGAGTACATCTCTCTTACAAGGTAGACCCTCTTTCCTTGGTCGTGGTCAGTATTGTCCTTTCCACTAGAAGCGAGGTGTGTACTGCGTGCATGTTTGCTGAGCGCTCACCACGGGCTAGGCTCCATGCCCAGTTCCTGTGAGGAGAAAACACGTTTCTATGTGCCCGGCAGGTAGGAGGCACTCACAAAATGTTACTTTGTCTTTACAGAATTTTCTGAAGGAGAGATAAAAACTGAGTTAAATAAAGATGATCAGAATGGGTAGGTTTATTTTAGAAATGTTTCCTGAAAGCTGTAACCTTTGAGTCCTCTCTCAGATGAAGACTAGGCTGTGCGAGGCCAAGACAGTGGATGAGCCACACTGGAAGAGGACACAGTTCTTTAGAGTATTTGCCTAGACAGAACATAGAGTAATATTTTGGGGAAACAATTGAGAAATTAGGTTGGTGACATGAAAGAAATAAGGAGAAGGATAATTTAGGGTAAGCCCTTGAAAACCAGTTAGAGGAAAGTGACGTGACAAAAACCATGTTTGAACAAGCTGGTAATGGCACTTACAGGTAAGAGGGCTTCATTTAACAAACTAGCAGATATTTACTGTATTCCATTTTGAGGAACTTTGGGGATATATGAGGGAAATTTCAAGAAGTATTAACTAAGGGTAGCTTCCAGTAGTTTGTAGTCTAATTTGGGATAAGGTGTATATGTGTGTACATACCTTATGCATGTGTGTGTGTGCATAAGACAGATTCTGTGGGTGTTATAAATACTAAGTAGCATAGGTGTTTAGAGATGGAAGAAGTCTCTTTGGGTTGGGTTAATTAGAGATGGCCCCATTAGGAAGGTGTTTGGATCTGGACTTTGAGAGATGAAAGTTATTTCAATAGTGAGTGAAGTATAATGGGGAAGAAAATGACATTCTAAGCATCGGAAGGACATTAGCAAAACCCATAATTCTTAGTGGCTAGGCTCTGCTATCTCTTGCCTAGCTCACCACCATGGCAGTCACCTGCTCTTGATTCCATCCTGTTCACCAATGACAAATCCATTTGTCCTGAGGTACGGGCTTTTGGCATTCCATTCTTGCGCTTAAAAACTGTACCTAACTCCCTCCCATAGCAGACAGAATAGGATAGGCTTCTTCCCTACCTGGTGTTCAAGTTCTACCACTGCCCTCCTCCCTTCCCCCATTTACCTCTCTAGAATTACCAGGTATCTATGCATACATGAATTCTCTGCTTCCATTAGATTTACTTGTCATTCCCCAAATACACCATGCACTTGCATATTAGCAAAGCCAAGTTTGTCTTTCACAAATGCAGAGGTTAAATAAGAGTTAAGGATGAAGGTAAACCAAACTTTATTTATATACTATATTTTACCAAATATGATTTAAGGATCTCTAGGCAGTGTTGTCTTAAACTTTTCTTTTTTTTTTGGAAACTTTTATTTTAATACAGAATCTAATCTACAGAAAAGTTGCAAAGAACTTCTATATGCCCTTTACCCAGACTCACCAGTCATTTATGTTTTCCCTGTTACTTCCTCATCTCCCCTCTCTCTGTCTTTTATACACAGTGTGTACAATGTGTATTCGCTTTTTTAGAACGAACTTTATCCATAGTAGCAGTGTACATTCCCACTAGCAACTTAGGAGAGTTTCAGTTACTCTACTCCACATCCTTCCAACAGTTGATATCACCAGTGTAACTGCATAAGTAATGTTAATTTAAAGATACAGCAAATGTTTTTGTTTCTTTATTTCAGATGAGAAATAACTTTAGACATTATTTCATTGAACCTTCCCAACTGAAATTATTTTATGATGTTATAACATGGATAGTAACTCAAGTAGCAATAAGTTACACAGTTGTGCCATTTGTGCTTCTTTCTATAAAACCATCACTCACGTTTTACAGGTAAGTGTTACTCTTAAAACTTTGTCAGTGGGAATAACTCTATTTTCAAAAGAAAGTTTCTTGCTATTGGATAGAATAGAAAAACAGTACCATAGCCACATTTCCTGCTGATAAATGCATTATCAGTTACTTTTTAATTCTGAACCAAGCAAGTCTCAGCGTTTCTCTGTGGAATGACTCATACTGCTCAACCCTCAGATGAGTGATTTAGACAGAGAAATATCAGCCAGGTAACCACTGCCTCAAACCTCTCCTAAATTTAACAAAAAACTTGTTAGCTTAATTGTCCTGAACTTCTTTGGGGAAAAAACCAGCTAACCTCTCCTAAATTTAACAAAAAACTTGTTAGCTTAATTGTCCTGAACTTCTTTGGGGAAAAAACCAGCTATTTACAAAGAATTATTAATTATCTTTTTTTTTTTGAGACGGAATCTTGCTCTGTCGCCCAGGCTGGAGTGCAGTGGTGCAATCTCGCTCGGCTCACTGCAACCTCTGCCTCCCAGGTTCAAGCAATTCTCTGCCTCAGCCTCCCAAGTAGTTGGGATTACAGGCACCCACCACTACACCCGGCTAATTTTTGTTTTTTTTTTTAGTAGAGATGGGGTTTCACCATCTTGGCCAGGCTGGTCTTGAGGCTCCTGACCTCGTGATCCACCCGCCTTGGCCTCCCAAAGTGCTGGGATTACAGGCATGAGCCACCACACCCAGCCTAAGGAAAATAAATTATATTTTATTTGTTCCTTTTCACTGTGTCTTTTATGTTTGATTGATACTGTGGTGATCTGTATATTATAGAAATTGTCTTGTCTCGAATTCTGTATTTTTATAATCTACTTATCTCCTCTCCCTGCCCACCAAATTCCACTTCCCCATATTAGATGGTGATATTTTAGAGATCAAAAACTTTATTCTTTTATAAATTCTTTATTACTCTAGCATTTAGAATGACTTAGCACAGAGTCGTAAAAAAATTATTGAATCAAATATGACAATAATTATACAGGAAGACATTAAATAAGTCCTGCTACAGTTTCCATTTTAACAAAATTAGTACATGTTTAAAAATGTGATTGGGCTGTGGGTTAGATTTTCTATCCCAGGAACTTTGTTCAGAATCACTTGAACTTACAGTTATAGATACAGTTTAGGTTACATTTGGTTTATATAATTTGAGAAATGATGTTTTCAATATTTTTAATAATGTGGCCTTTCTTTGCTTCATGAAAGTAACCATCAAGAAGCAATATTGCTTCTCTGTCACTCCCCTCCGTTAGAATATTTGTAACTTAGAGACAGTAAATAGCAGGTGAGGCCAGACTGGTAAAAGTCTTAACTATCTCCACATTTTCTTTGTTGACTCAACTTTTGATTATCTGGATTGGGGAGATTTTCAGATTGCTACCGGTATTAATATGTACATTTTTGTTTTTATTCTGTTTAACCATGGCCTTCTGACCCTTACAAAGGAATGTAATATGCTATCTAGAAAATCAGGCTTCTAATTAGCCTGGATTTATCCAGTGCTATAAATACCCACTGGCCTACACTGTCAGGTTTCTTCTCCTGAGGGGGAAAAATAAAAGAATAATGTAGTAATGTAGTAAACAAATACATCCTAAGGTGGGCCATGTGACATTTTGACAAGTGTGCAGTTATTAAGGATTATTAATTATCAAGTTTTAATAAACTTTTTCCCTTTTTCTTTTAGCTCCTGGTATTATTGCCTGCACATTCTTGGTATCTTAGTATTATTGTTGTTGCCAGTGAAAAAAACTCAAAGAAGAAAGAATACACATGAAAACATTCAGCTCTCACAATCCAAAAAGTTTGATGAAGGAGAAAATTCTTTGGGACAGAACAGTTTTTCTACAACAAACAATGTTTGCAATCAGAATCAAGAAATAGCCTCGAGACATTCATCACTAAAGCAGTGATCGGGAAGGCTCTGAGGGCTGTTTTTTTTTTTTGATGTTAACAGAAACCAATCTTAGCACCTTTTCAAGGGGTTTGAGTTTGTTGGAAAAGCAGTTAACTGGGGGGAAATGGACAGTTATAGATAAGGAATTTCCTGTACACCAGATTGGAAATGGAGTGAAACAAGCCCTCCCATGCCATGTCTCCGTGGGCCACGCCTTATGTAAGAATATTTCCATATTTCAGTGGGCACTCCCAACCTCAGCACTTGTCCGTAGGGTCACACGCGTGCCCTGTTGCTGAATGTATGTTGCGTATCCCAAGGCACTGAAGAGGTGGAAAAATAATCGTGTCAATCTGGATGATAGAGAGAAATTAACTTTTCCAAATGAATGTCTTGCCTTAAACCCTCTATTTCCTAAAATATTGTTCCTAAATGGTATTTTCAAGTGTAATATTGTGAGAACGCTACTGCAGTAGTTGATGTTGTGTGCTGTAAAGGATTTTAGGAGGAATTTGAAACAGGATATTTAAGAGTGTGGATATTTTTAAAATGCAATAAACATCTCAGTATTTGAAGGGTTTTCTTAAAGTATGTCAAATGACTACAATCCATAGTGAAACTGTAAACAGTAATGGACGCCAAATTATAGGTAGCTGATTTTGCTGGAGAGTTTAATTACCTTGTGCAGTCAAAGAGCGCTTCCAGAAGGAATCTCTTAAAACATAATGAGAGGTTTGGTAATGTGATATTTTAAGCTTATTCTTTTTCTTAAAAGAGAGAGGTGACGAAGGAAGGCAGGAATGAAGAAGCACTGCGTGGCCTCCGGTGGAATGCACGGGGCACAGCCGCGACTCTGCAGGCAGCTTCCCCCCCATGCCAGGGCTCTGCGCCGTCATGTGAGACTTAAAAAAAAAGTTGAATGACTTCGTGATACTTTGGACTTCTAAATTAAATTTATCAGGCATAAATTATGTAGAATTAGAGGCTTTGAAAATAATACTGGTAGGTTGCTCAAAGGTTTTGAAAGAGAAATCGCTAGGTAGGTTACTATCTGGCTAATCCATTTCTTATCCTTGACAATTTAATTCATATTTGGGAAACTTTTAGGGAAATGAAAAATAAAAGTCACTGAGTCTGGGTGACATTTTTTAAGAATAATATAAATTCAGTTTCAAACTCTTCTCACATTAAAATTTTGCTGTGAACTCTTACTAAAATGAGTTTTAGGTTCTGTAAGTGGAAAAATGTGCTTTTATTTTATGGGCCATTTTTACCACAACTAATCTTGCCTTGGATTACTAAGCATCTCCTGCGATCCCACAGAGGACTGTGGTGGCCACAGGAGCTGAAAGCAGAAGAGTGGGATTTGATGCCAGGCAGTGGAGTGGCCTCAGCCCCAGATTGTACCTCCTGCCCTGTAGGAGGGGAGGGGGCAAAGCCTTCTGACTTCACCTTTGTTTGACCTATGTATGGAACTTACTTTTACTTTTTGCCTTAAATTTTTAATGAAATGCAAATTTTCTGTGATGGGGTTCTCTCTCTCTTTTTTTCGGGGGGTGGAGTCACTAATAAATTTGCAAATGAAGTTAAAGACAAGGCAACCATCTGGCTTATGCTATATAATACTTCATTTAAAGAAGAAAGGAAAAGCAAATGCACTTGCAGCTTTTGAGGTCTCAGCAAAAATGGGCATGTGTCTTTTTTGAAGTTTAGAAATATCCTAATCTATTTTTATTTATCTAAAAGTAAGTGTTTTCCGGCTGATAAGGCTAACCCTACCCAGGAAAGGATTGATAACTAAATAAATTTCCTCTGTTTTCCCATGCATTGAAATTATGTTGGCTGAGCATGGTGGCTCACACCTGTAATCCTAGCACTTTGGGAGGCCGAGGTGGGCGGATCACTTGAGGTCAGGAGTTGGAGACCAGCCTGGCCAACGTGGTGAATCCCCGTCTCTACTGAAAACACAAAAATTAGACGGGCATGGTGGCGCACACCTGTAATCCCAGCTACTTGGGAGGCTGAGGCAGGAGAATTGCTTGAACCTGGGAGGTGGAGGTTGCAGTGAGCTAAAATTGTGCCACTGCACTCCAGCCTGGGTGACAGAGGAAGACTCCGTCTCACAAAAAAAAAAAAAGAAAAAAGAAATTATGCCAGCTGTTTAATGTGAGAGAATAGAAAGAATGTTCATGGAATGTACCTGCCCTGTAAAATGTTTGATCATTTTCATTAATGTTGCAGAGAATCCGACTGCTATTAAGAGAAAGTGAACAAATTAAGAATTTAAAAGACAGGTTCAGGCATGTCATAAGTGAAAACAAGAAGGCTTAATACAAACTTGTTGGGTTTTGTTCGTGTGTGTGTGTGTGTGTGTGTGTGTGTTTTTTTTTGGTTCAGCCTATCTAGCCACCTACAAATAATCACATTTCTGTTACCTGAATTTATTTCTCAGCCTGTAAACCTTAGTCACTGTTACCTGTTTCTTGCTCAGTGAATATGATCTTGGCACTGTCATCTAGAAAGCAAGATATTTGATTGGTTTTCTGGTTCCTTCGAAGATAATAATTCCATATCCAGTTTGACTGATTTTCATACCCCTGAATCAACTAGTTATTTTCATGAAATGGTTTTTGGATATCTCTCCTCTAGTTTGGAGAAGTAATAATCACAAAGATTAATATTTTGCTTCTAGTACTTACAGTAGAAGAATTTTAAACTGGTACGTCTACTCCTGTTAAATAGAAAGGGGATTCGTTGTATTATGTGCTTGCTTTTTTTTAATCAATAGAATAAGATTCAATGCATATTTATGTTTTATATTTTCCACTATTCAGGTATCATGAAATCACTCTAGAGATGATCAATCAACATCATATTTATACTTTTGGTTAATTATATACTACTCAGGGAAAAAATGAACAAAAATAACTACTCATCCTTCAATTTCATTTTCTTGAAACAGTAAGAGTATAATTTGGTATGCCTCAGCTGTCACCATTTTATAAGTGGCTCATTCTGTTCTTAAAGTAAGTATTTTTATTGGAACTCAGGGTAATTGGGGGAATTTATTTAGCTTCTAAAATATCCGGCAGGATAGAGAAGATTTATTTGGCTTCAAAAATGTCTGGTGACCACTTCTCTTATTAGCCACTACTGCCCATTTGCTTCAAAAATATATTTATTGGTCTCCACCATGTGTGACACACACAGGATTTCCAAACATACCACTTTTGAGAAAAATGTGCAGTAAAAAGGAGGTTTCTAGAAAGTGACAGTAACTCACATTTAAGCACTAGCTGACCTAGGAGGAGACCTGGATCTTCATTCTGGTTCTGCCTTTCATGAGACTTAAGACTTGGAGGAGCCACCTGTCCTGTAGACCCCAAGTTCCTCAGCCATAAGCAAACGGGTTAATCCTAAGAGTTCAGGACCAGTTGGGTGTCGTGAACGGAGCCATTAGCAAGGTCTGTAGGATTCAAGGACTTGGGCACATTCACAGTCCACACTATTGTCATGGTCATTGACTTACTACTTGAGCTCAAAGCCCTGACATTTCAAAAGGTTGTCATGATAACAGTGAAACCTCTGAATCCCTTAAATCAGAAGGCATGGCAACATACTTTTTCTACTGGCAATAGCTCTTACAATGAGTGTTTCATAATGAAATAGTCTCTGCTGAAGAAAACATGTTTTCCTTTTGCTCTCTCTGCTTTGTTGGTTTCTGTGCTGTGTGGAATTGGAGAAGATATATGCTCTGAAATATTTTATACAGATTACTGACTACTGGACAGGGTTTACCACTATATAACATCTCAAAGTTATTCAAGGATATTTAAAGCATATTTAGTTTAGTTACACCTTATTTTAAACCGCAGAAAACAATAGCTTTAAAATTTTTGCCATTAAAATAATTATAAATTTATACTTTTACTCAAGGACTAGATCACAGTTTTAGGACAAAAATCTCTCCTATTTAAAGTTCATACCTTGTAAGTATTTAGTTTGTATATTCATGAACAAATCTGGACATTTATACTTTTTTTGTTTCCTTATCAACTGTTCACAATTATTAGTTAATTGGTCTTAACAGTTCTACATTATAATTGAAAGAAAAATTACTTGAGAAAATAATTGTTTCAGAATAGTGCCTACTATATCTGTGTCAGCTAAAAATTTGTCCAGAGTTTTAGATATAAGCTAGTATTTTGTGGAGTTTTATCCAGGCGTTAATAGTTCTTCCTGGCTGAAATTTAATATAGGTGCAGAATCCTAAATAACACTGTGAGATGTAATCTTAACTGCCCTCAATACCTTATAAAACTGCTGCATTTAACCCAGTGTGCATTTAATGAGTGGCTGGTCGTTGATACACTCATCTTAGATGCTGAAATTTCTGTTTTCTCCAGCCCTTGTAAAAGTGGGTTTCTTGATGAACGCGTGCTCCCAATGCTGAAGCAAAAGATTTGCATTTAAGGAGAGAAATACACCCTGAAATTTGAGTTTGAAAGATTAGAACATAGAGGGTCTCTACAGTGTTTTTCTGCAACACCAAGTAGTCAAATCTATTTATAGAAACTCTGATTACAACAGAAATTTTAAAATGAAATTTTCCACATCGGTATTTTGTAGGAAAGCTCTTATAATCAATGCTTAAGCTGCTTTTTGAGGCTTTTCTTGTACAGAGGTTGCAGCCAATTACATTTTAATTGGTAGGCTGCTGAATAATGTTTTTGTATGTTTTAAAATAATATTTATTTTAATAGGTTTTTTAACATTATGCAAATCCCAATAAAGAACTGACACGTTCCATAGGCCATTGACTGGGAAATTTTGTGAAACACAGCCTAAATACACAGTTTTTACACCAACTAATTTGTCTTGCCTTTAAAACTGATTATAACTCTTCTTTAAGTACAACTTTTATAAAGAAAAAATACAACACTAAGACTGTATGTTCTGTAAATTATAGTGTGATGACCCATGCAGAACCGCTGTCTGAAGCTTACTCAGCGATTCATAGCCATCTCCAGCCATGTTTTATCAAATCACACACTAAAAATAAATGGAAATGCTACAGTGAAAAACCAAAAGTTACAGAGCAACATAAGTAAAATGACTAGGCAGTTTCTTAGTAACATGTTTGAAATGGGAAAGGTGACTGACTGCCTTTCACCAGAGTCTTAGCTGTTTCACGTTCACTATTTTAGGTTAATTTTCTTGGGAAATCAATTTGAATATTCCCCCCTGTCCTTTTGCATTAAAGGACGAAAATATATGTTGAGAGTTTGACAGACTTTTTAAATATGCCTCTTTCCCAATTTTATGTATTTTTGGTTCTGCGCACACAGATTTATCAATGAAGTACATTTGCCTCTGGCTTTATCACAAGGAAAAAGGAATCAAACATTGAACACAAATGTGTTCCAAACCAGTCTTGTCCATCTTGTCACTTTTATGTGACTGCTCCTCTGAACCAGAAGGGGCACGATAGAAGGCCATAGGAATGAAAGTAAATCATTCAGGTGAAGTGAGAAATTCTTCCATATACAGAGTGAAAATGTGTGATTTCATTCCTGCCTTCCTTTAAACGTTGTCTTGATCTCTGCCTAGTAGTAGTTGAGCCCTCAGTCGCCCAAACATGAGGAGAGACCCAACTCCAGCAGCCAGAATTTAGTATTTACATTTGCCTTCCCAAGTTGAGAATAGAATGTGGTGTTCTGTGCTTTCTGTTTTTATTATTCCAAAATATTTTTTTAAAGAAGTGTTATTTTTCAACAGATTCATAAATTAGTTCCTGATGTACGGTAAATTAAAACTCCCACTGTGTCAGTCAAACTGAGATGTGCTCATTTCATAACCACTCATTTCTAGTCTGTCAGAGCTGCACTGGTGGCTTATTGCTGGTTTTTAAAGGTGTTTTTAACTTACATGTAACATGTTTAGGACATGTTTTTTTTTTCTAATTTGTGTGTCTTTACAACTGATTAAACAGTAGTTTAAAAATATGCGTGTGTGTGTTTGCTAATATCTTAGGCTTTTAATTCCACTTATAGAACAATACTGGCCCTGTTACGAGAGTTAATGGTCATTTTTATTGAAGGATTCTTTAGTAATATGGTGATAATATTCTGAAGAGTCATTGACTCTTTAACTGCTTAAAGATTATTTAAAAGAAACTATTGTCATAAGCACTTTGGAAGGTAATTAAAACAACCTTAACTTAGTGTATAGTATCTGTATTCTCTCCTACAACAGACTTGTCAAGTGAAGAAGATACTGACTTTGCTCAGCTGAAAGGGAACGCCCACCTCCCAGGCCCTGCAGTTAGCTGGTTCGCAGCACTCCTGTGGGAGGACGGGTGTGGCTACTGGGAAGCAGAGCGCTGGGACTCTGCTAGATTTCTGTGTCATCACAGACCTAGAAGAACTTCAGAGCGTGCCTGGGGGCTCTTCCTTTATGCCGTTGTGAACAATTGTAGGGAAACGTCTTCTGTTTTACGCTTGTATAGAGATGCTAGGCTGAGCAAACTCACAGGTCCATTCCTAGTGCTTTCTCTCTGGAAGACCTTAGAATTTCATGCCAGATTTAAGTTACCCCATTTTGAGGTTCAAGACCATGTTGAAACTGGGCCATGACCAAAAGCAGTACAGACTCAGAATCCCTCCTACCCACGTGCTGGGTAAGAAGAATAAGTCATTACCCTTGTCCTCAAGGTGTTGGTGAATAGTGACCATGTGACACCATTAGTGCTTTATTGGAGGCATTCACAAGGGGCCTTGGCAATAGGAGGAGGAGTGAGGACCCAGAGCTGAGTGCGAGAGAGCTCCACAGAGGAGCTGGCTCCTGGATCCCTGAGGAAGGCTTTTCCTGGGCTGAGAAAGAGGAGGTGGGGAGTTAGAGAAAGAAAAGCTACGCCAAGAATTTTATAAAGTATTACACACAAATATAATAAAAAGTGAGTTAAGCAAGTTTAGCTCTATTATGTACCAACAATATGTCTATCTGTTTAATAACATTTCCCACAACTGGGAAAAGGAGTAATAGGAAATTAGCCAATTTTTTAAAACGTCAATGAAATATTTCACGCAGGTGGTTCAGTACAGAACAATATAATAGACACTTGTGTGCCCACCCTCAGACTAAACAGATGTTACTGCTTTGCCACATTAGGTTCATTTTTTTTTTCGCATGAGAAGAATGTTGCACATAAGGACAGCATACCCCCCTGTCCTGGTCTTCTCTCCTTCCCGAGGGGTACCGGCGATGTCAGCATGGGCCTCTTTGGGGGGCTTTGCCTTTGGCTGCCTTTCTTGTGAGCTTAGCTGTGTGATTTTACAACATAACTTGGTGTTACATTTCTGATAGCTTTTCTCAGTGTTTGTGGCATGATGGGTTGTGTTGGCTCAGTCAGCTTGTTGCTGGAGCCAGATGTCAGCTCAGATTTTAAGTCTTTAAATACTGCATGTCTCTTTCCTGGTGAAAGCTTTTCTGTTTTCCGACTGTGTACCTACTGTTGAAGTTTGTTTTGTGCTTGAATCTTCTTTTTTGTTACCTCCTGCTGAGTGATCCCAGTTGTATCTTTTGGTACAGGCTGAGCCTCACCATTAGCAGGGGCTCTGGTCCTGATGGGTCAGCAGCGCGGAGCTGGATGCATTGTGGCCCAGGACAGGGAGACCATTTCCTGGGTGCCGTCCCTTTGTGAGGGGTGAACATGAGAGTGACCCTAGAAAGACAGGCCTGAGATTTGAGATTAGATGCCAGCTGTTTTCAGCCATTACTGGGAAAGTCGGCTGCCTGGCACCAGAGACTGGAGAGTTGAGATCCTCATTGTCACTCCACCCTTTTTTAACGCATGCATCATTAGCCTCAAGAAGAATACTATATTCACATTGCCTTAGGATCAAGCCTCTTTCATAGGAGGGAAGGACCAATTAAAAAGTAATGGCAACCTGTTCTACAACCCTAGCCTTTCCAACGGAGCTTCTCAGAGGAGTAGGCAACACCACCTCTGTGTTCCTTTTGTCCCCAACACTCTACTGAACCATTTTTACAAAGGTCATTTTTGGCCTCTTTGTTGCCAAATTCAATGGTTTTCATTCTTTATGTCACTTTATCTCTGTAGCATTTGACTATATTGACAAGTCAAATGTTCTTCTTGAAGTTATTTTCTTGGCTCTGTGTAACGATCCTTCTTTCCTTCTCTTCCTGCCTCTCAGGATAATCATTTTCAGTCTCCTGAGACTCCTCTTCCTCCTCTCAGAGCATACACACCTACTGTTACAGCTCCTCTGTGCGGATCCTCCCTCCAGCACACATCTGTCTGCCTAACTCCCCTCCCGCCAGCCCTTCCTCCCTTTCCCATATCTGACCAATATGTATGCAACTCCCTGCTAAGTATCTCCATACAAAACTCAAAGCACCTCCAACTCATAACATCTAAAACGAAACCCATCATCTCATTCCATCAGCCCCAAAGCTTGTGATAACTCTTATAGTCCCTATCTCATTAATTATTATTTCCCTGGCTACCCAAGTCAGAGACCTGTGTACCATCTTGACCTCATCAACCCTGTGTGCCCACCCCCCAGATAACCGACTCCATCTCATTGCCCTCCCTCCCAATTGTTCATCTAGTTTATAGGAACAGCCTCCTAACCGGACTTCCATTCTCCAGTCATGCCTTCCTTCAGTCCATTCTCTACAATACAGAATGGGGTCATCTTTCTAAAGATATTTTTTTAATTTTGCTTCAAAAGTGAAACTGGGCTGGACGCAGTGGCTCACACTTGTAATCCCAGCACTTTGGGAGGCCTAGGTAGGAGGATCACTTGAACCCAGGAGTTCGAGACCAGCCTGGGCACATAGTGAGACCTTGTCTCTACAAAAAATAAATTAGCCAGGCCTGGTAGTGTGTGCCTGTGGTCCCAGCTACTCAGGAGTGTGAGCAGGGAGGATCGCCTGAGCCCAGGAGGTTGAGCTGTGTTCTCGCCACTGCACTCTAGCCTGGGCAACATAGCGAGACCCTGTCTCAAAAAAGAAAAAAAAAAGGTGAAACTTCCTCTGAAATGCTTGTGATAAATGCAAACTTTTAATGTGACATAAAAGACTTTTGTGGTCTGGCAGCTGCTTGCCTTTGCTTCGTCATGTTTCCCTCTGATTTGCTGCCCTGCCAGTACACACATGCTCACTCTCATCCTCCAGCCATGCGGAGTAGCTGGACCTGCCCCACTGTCTGACTTGCTCCTGCCTCCTAGCCTGTGTGTCTGCTGCTCCATTTACCCAAAATTCCCCTCCTCCCCACATCCACCCCACCCCTCCTCCCTGGCTGGCTCCAGCTTCATCACCAGGATTCAGGTTCCTTGTCACTAATCAGGAAACGTTCGATGAACTGGTACTATGCTCCAAGCACTATGATGCATGTTAAGCATTCAAAGAGAAGGTGTTTTTCTCCAGGCAGCTTTTCCTGTGTCTTCCAGACACAAGTTCTCTGCTCAGTATTCTCATGTGTGGCTTACACTAACCACATGGTGTTGTCATTGTTAATATATATGTTTGTAGAAAGTCAAAAAGTACTTCACAACCAAAGAAGGAGATAGAGTACTCAATATAGAACAGTCTACAAACTCATGAATTATCTAACGTTTACTTCAGCTTAATTCACTCAGCTATGGGACTTCTGTTGCCAAGGGCCTTCATTACTAGCCACTAGTTATAGCTGATGTGCAGATACAGTTCCCAAAGTCTCTACACTGATTCATGGTAGCCGGCCACATTTTGTCAACATGTTTAGGACCTTGAGGCTATGTTGAAAGCATGAGAAACACTTAAAACACATACATTGGAATTGGGTGTAAGCAGAATCACTTAGAAAATCAGTCATTGTTAAACAGTTGCTAAACTGAAATAACCTATACTTCTTAAATACATTTCATATTCACACAAACCACAGAATTTTGTGAAATTTGATGAATTTTAGAAAATTTGCAGTAAGGCAAAAAAAAAAAAAGCTTAATACTAAGACTGAAAGTGTCCTGTGGACAAGATTAAATATTTTTCACCTAAACCCTCAGATTAGGAATTAATCGGTTCACCACACACACGAATTGGTGACTCCCTCCCTGATGTTTATATTAGGCATGACCTGGGCAGTAAAACACATTCAAGCAGTTTATGGGTCCACATTCCTTAGGGGATAAAATGTCAGGAGCACATGATTGTTGGTGCAGCGTTTCCTAGTTCTTCACTGATCCGTTGTCCTAACACTGATAAACAACTTTAACATTTTGGTAGATTTCTTTCTAATCATTTTTCTATCGATAGAAAAAAAAGATGGAGATATATTTTACAAAGTAAGTTTGTGAACTTCATTTTGGATTGAACATATTTTCGATTCCTCTCTTTTCCTGTTACACTTAACATTTTTTGTTTTGTTTTGTTTATGAAACAGGGTCTCACTCTATCACCCAGGCTGGAGTGCAGTGGGCAAGAACACGACTCATTGTGGCCACGACCTCTCGTGCTCAAGCAATCCTCCCACCCCAGCCTCCCAGGTAGCTGTGACTACACGTGTGCACCACTACACCCAGCTAATTTTTTAATTTTTTGTAGAGACGGGGCCTTGCCATGTTGCCCAGGCTGGACCTAAGTTTAATTAAAAGGACGACAGCAAGACAAAAGCAAAATGATAGATGTAGTTAATATGCAGATTAAATAAGCCGCATGTGCACGAACCCTACTGCAACCCATCAAGACAGAAAATGAGCTGTCAAGTTACATTTGTAGACTGAAGCGGTAAGCAAATTCCAGACACGGGGGCCATGATATGTACTTCTCTTCCTTGACCCTGGTGCACGGTAGTTTCCCGAAAAATTTTTTCCAGGGGGACAGGAGGAACATAAACAGAAAAAAATTAAAACTTTGTCCAGAATAATAGAAAAGTAGACAGTGGAATAATTCAGGATATACCCAATATAAGGAAACAGCCTGTCTGACTTATCATCTGACTTTCTGAGTCAAGTTTGCTCACAGAAAAACTGACGAATGATGAAGAACTAGGAAACGCTGCACCAACAATCATGTGTTCCTGACATTTTATTCCATAAGGAATTTGGACCCATAAACTACAATGTGAGTCGTGCTTTTTAAGTACACGATGATGGTGCTCTTTGTTGGAACTTGCTGTGTGAATGGCTCAACAATCAGAGCCTAATGCTGCTGTTGTAAACACGGGACTGTTTTTTTTTTTCCTTTGTCCATAGTCGTAGCATTCAATATATTTAGGTTTGCCAAATCATCTCCACTTTTGTTAATATTCAAACTGAGCTGGGCATGGTGGCATCTATCCCAACCATAGGGATATATAAGACCCAGGTCATGCCTAATTTAAGGCAGGAGGATTGCTTGAGCCCAGGAGTTTGAGGCCAGCCTGCTAGTGAGACCTTGTCTCTTAAAAAAAAATTCAAATTGAAACCTTGCTATCCCCCATGCAGCTCTATGCAGTCCATCCACCACCCCTGCCTCCAACTCCCCAAACACTACCACTGTCCTTGGGAATTCATGGCCCATGACCAGTAAGACCAAAATAAAAACAATCCCCATTTGCTCGCACTCCACCATTCACCTTTTGGTCTAATGAAAACCCACATCTCACGTAAGGACATAGCTTCCTTGTAGCCCTCTGAAGTGATGGTGTCTCTCTGAATCCTCTCATCACTGGGCCTTCAGGGGAGGCAAGTACTCTCCTTCCTCCTCCATATTATCTGCAAACAACTGTCTCTTCTTCCTTCCCAAGATACCAGCATCCAGCTCAGGCTAGCTGACATCAAACCTCCCATTCCTCCTTGCTGCCACCATCTACAGACTTTTCTGGGTCACCCCCTACTAGAAAATAGAAAATATTAGAATTTGGTTATTGTCATTCTCTTCAACACAACACATGATTCTTAATGATTTCAGTATCCCTGTAGAAAAACCTTCCAACACACTGGCCTCTCACTTCCCTGATTTGCAGTCCTCCAGTGATCTTCCCCCCTTTCTACATAAGCCGCCAATAGACATGCTTTAGACCTTGTTGTTACCAGTAGTCTTCATTTCAAGCATTCTATTCTCAACCACCTCCCAACTTTCCATCTCACCCCCTCTAGCATCCAGACTGTATCAGCTCACCACCATACTTCTATCCCCTTGATCTTAGCTCATGTCCTACTCAGGACCCCACTGAGACTCAGTGGGGTGAAATTCTAATCATCAGTTGCATATCCCTTCAAGTCCTTCCTGTTTCCCTCCATCAGCTTCACCTGACAAAGCTAAGCCAGTCCTCCTGAAATCCACTGGCGTCCTGTGCTGCACCCGCTCCTGCACCTTGGTGGCTGACATCGTCATGCTGCCTAGTTTCACCTTAGTAGTGCCTAGCAGTGCCAGGCAGTTCTGCCCATGTCACTCTGCTTTCCCTTCTCCTAGAAGATGATTTAATACCTTCTCTCATCCCATCTGCCGCACATCCTCTCCACTCAATCATCAATAAGATAAACAGAAGCTGCTGCTGCTAAATGACATGCTGACCTAAAGTATTAATATACCTTTAGCAAGAAAAAATTGTTTGATCATTTAACATATGATCAAATGAAGCTAACTAGCAGATCCAAATTACAAATTTTTTATGGCACAATAAAATTAATATTAACCCATAGTTCTCATAGAGTTGAAGGGGTTAAAAATGCACCAGTGGACCGAATGCAATATTAACTGTCTCTATTCCAGTTCTTGTTCCCTTTCATGGGAATCTGTGCTGTGAGTGAACTCTGGCTTTGGAGGTTAATGGAGATTCAAGGTGCCAACCTACATTGGGTGAGATGCCAAGACCCTGGAAATGAGCAAAGATCCCAATTTTCAAGAAAGAGAGGAAGGAACTGAACCTCTTGCTAACTTGATGTTGCCCTGAAAATACTTTTGGTTTGAGACTGTGAGCCAGTGTGGTTGGACGGCCGTCCTGAGCAGAACTCCTGGCCATGCGGTGCCCATCCCACCTTATGGTTGCTATCATTCACCTGACCCCTGCCGGACCGTTCCCGTTCTTTGAGGGCATTTACGCAACTCCCCTTAACCCCGGAGACCACTCATTCTTCCGAGCTGCCACTTCCTCGGTTCTTGCCTATACTATCTTGTACTGATAATATCTTCCATTAGTATATCACCTGTCTCACTAACTAGATTGTACTCCCAAGAAGAAGGACTCTCTAAGTCTTCCATCTCTATTAATGGGTAAGAATTTGATGATGAAAACAGCTTTACAGCCCTGGCAAGACCCCATCTCTACAAAAAATTAAAGAATTTAGCTGGGCGTGGTGATGCATGCCTGTGGTCCCAGCTACCCAGGAGGCTGAGGCAGGAGAGTTGCGTGAGCCTGGAAGCTTGAGGCTGCAGTGAGCCCTGATGGCACCACTGCACTCCATCCTGGGTGACAGAGTGAGACCATGTCTCAAAAAATAATAATAATAAAAGCAAGCAGCTCTAGAGTGTGAAGCAGCTGTGGCCAGGCAGTGGGTGGGCAACATGAACATGGTCTGCCCTGTATGTTGAGCTTGCGAAACCCCACTGAAACCCGACAGCTTTTCACATGAACTGATGAATATGACCTGCAGACAACAGATAACTCAGTTGTCCCTTTCTTTGTCCTCTAACCATCTCTCCCTGTCTCTGTCTCTTGCTCTCTGTGTCTCCCCATTTGAACTGGGCCTTTGAACACAGGGTTGTGCATTTGCCTCTCTTCTCCTGCCTCTCATATTTGTTCTAAACGTTGTCCTCTTGTGTATTCCTTTTCTTTCTGCTGCCATCCTGGAGTTAGGCAAACTTCCTTCTACATATTTTTCTGTAGAAGGAATGTACTGATTAAAGGGGTCAGGGAGGCAGCTGGCAAAGATATCAAGAGAAGTGACATCAACAGCATCATACCCCACAAAACATAACATCTCAGGAGCATCCTTCCTACCCCTCCCCTTTCCAATAGCGAGTTTGGTTAATAATGATTATTGTTTTCCTTTTGTTTTGTTTTGTGTGAGATGGAGTCTCGCTCTGTTGCCCAGGCTGGAGTGCAGTGACATAATCTTGGCTCACTGCAACCCCCATCTCCCGGGTTCAAGCGATTCTCCTGCCTCACCCTCCCACATAGCTGGGATTACAGGCACGTGACACCATGCCTGGCTAATTTTTGTATTTTTAGTAGAGATGGGGTTTTGACATGTTGCCAGGGCTGGTCTCAAACTCCTGACCTCAAGTGATCTGCCCACCTCAGCCTCCCAAACTGCTGGGATTACAGGCTTGAGCCACCTCACCCAGTCAATAAAAATTATTTTTTAAATCTCCGTTTAAGAAGTCAGAGTGATAAGATTAGGGGACCTATCTCTTCAAATTTTTACGTATTTTCCAAATTCTTTATAATGAACTCATATTCCTTTTATAATCAGAGAAGAACAATTTTTAAAGCAATGTGGTACGCAAAACATCTTCAGACTTCTATGGAAAATGTAATTACCATGAACTTGAAACCTGGACTGCTGAAATCATCATCTCGGTATGCTGATACTGTTAAAAAAGATGAAAGGGCGATTAAATTATAGTCTTGATGGGCAGAGTGGTGAGGAATGGAAAGATAACTCCTATTTTTCCCTCTACATAAAAACCACATAGCAAGTCCAGAAGACAGACCCTTCAGCTGATATGAGTGATTCTGCTGGAGTGAAACCCTGGGGATGCGTTTGCCAAAAAGATTTAGGCTCCAGGAACCATGAGAAAAACTAAAGAATGTGGAAAGAGGGATATATTTGAAACAAAACTGAGGAGAAATAATTTTTGTTATACTTTACAACAGTTATATCTTTGTAAAATATGAGTTTTAGAGCTCATAAGTATGAAAGAAATAAACAGCATTTGGCATGAGCGAGGAAATATTTGTGATTAAAATAGATATAATTTACTAAATGTCACCATCATATGAATTTTTTTTTTTTTTTTAGACAGAATCTCATTCTGTCACCCAGGCTGGAGTGCAGTGGTGCAATCTCAGCTCACTGCAACCTCCACCTCCTGGGTTCAACTGATTCTCTTGCCTCAGCCTCCCAGGTTGCTGGGATTACAGGCATGTGCCACCACGCCTGGCTAATTTTTGTATTTTTAGTAGAGATGGGGTTTCGCCATGTAGGCTGGTCTCGAACTCCTGACCTCAGGTGATCCGCCCGCCTCAGCCTCCCAAAGTGCTGGGATTACAGGCGCAAGCCACCGCGCCTGGCCTAATGTCACCATCATTTGAGACAGGTGAATGCAGTACAGCAGAATTGCAAAGCAACTTGCCTTTTCCTCAGGACGACTCCTGCGAATGCCTGGGCCTATGGGCCTATAGACCTCTTGCCTCCCATCCCTGGAGGAATTCTGAGTAGGGCTCATCATTTTCATAATTTTTCTTGTCGCTTTTACATCATAAAATGTTATCTTGCCACTTTTAGTCATTACAAATTATCATTTTTAGTAATTAAATGCCTGGCCCAGTATAATAGCAAAAATAGTGAACCCAAGGATCTCCCCTCTCCAGTTCAGATCTGCAGTGGGGGAAGGGGCTAGGGTTTCTCATCACCAGCCCGCCATCATCTGCCCCCTGCCACACCTGGCGTCCGACCCTCCTTTCCTCCTCCATCAAAATGTGGCTACAGCCGAGCCTGTTTCCAATAACTTCTTTCCAGGCTGTTATCTGGATTGCTTTCCAAAACATTCCTAAGAAAGAACAAGTTGCATGCTGCGTATCCTCAGGGATTTTTCTTTGCTGGGGAGAGGAGCAGGAGGTTCAGGTGGCATGGGCATTGTCTTATTGGTGTCTGGGACTGAACCTCCTGTGTCTTCTGAGATGGACATTTGCAGAGTTCTTTACTGAGAACCCCCAGGAAAGTTCAGCGGTGTTTGGACCACCCAAGCTGGAGAGCCCAGCACTCCCTCGCTCTCCTTCTGCCTTGCTCACTGTTGTGTTCCAGGTTCCTCAAAGAGACGTGTTTCAGTTGTGCAGGTTCACACACACTCAGTATGGCTCACACCCGGTGGGCAGAGCTCGGCCTGGGCATGAGCCTGGAACTGCTTAAAGCCAGTGTCCTGGGCTTGTTGTAGAGGGATGGAGTTACAGAAATTATGAGGGCAGAGGTACTAGGGGGTTTGGGGTGAGAGGTGGGGTAGAGAGGTGGGGTGGGGGTTAGAATGAGGGCGGCCCTTCTCAAAATGGAGCTTGATGGGGGAGGCGAAGGCTTCAGGAGCCCCATCTTCCTGGGTCATCATTTCACTAACCAGCACACTGCAGTGAGCCCTTTCAGTGACCCCTTTCAGTGACCAACCTCTGATAGAGAACCCACACTTCCTGTGTCCACAAACCCACCAAGAAAAGCTGTCAAATGCCTTGCTGATTATTCGCATAGTTCCTTATGTTTGGAGCACAGCTTCCCATTCTGGGGCTACAGATCCCTGCGAGAACACAAACTGCAACTCCCGTGTTGCTTTCACAATCGGTGATGACTAGAAGGACACCTGCTGTCCTCTGTGGGTCCTCCAAACATTGCTTGACCTTAAAAAAGGATGTTGGTATTTGAAATCACTGATTGGGACACAATGGAACTGAAACCAAGTCTGACAGGGTGTTTCATTAGAATCAGCTGGAGAGATCTTTTAAAATTCACATTCCTAGGCCTTGCTGCCAATAAATGTCAATCTTGATTTTTAAAAAGGTGATTTTAAAAAGATGATTGCGGTGTGCATAGGTCGGGAACCATTGAAAAGCACCACCCATGTGTCAACCCGGCAACTCAGGTGAAAGCCAGCAAGGAGCATGGACGGCTTCATCAGAAGTTGTCAGCGAGGAGCATGGACGGCTTCATCAGAAGTTGACGTGACGCTTGTAAGCCAAAAATAAAATCCTAAGGCCTCCCAACCGTCTGCATGGACCCCTCTTCTCTGCCAAGGGCATTCCAGAGTTAACCTTAACATCTAGTTCAGGCCATGATGGAAGAGGGAGTCAGGCCTCTTTATATCCCTCCAGCATTAACATCAATGTAGACATAAAGTCTGATAAGAAACATTGACAGTCTATTCTCTCTGAAGCCTGATACTTGGCGGCTTCACCTGCTTAATAAAACCTTGGACTTAAAAAGTAAAGTCTTAAAAAGTAGAAAGTAAACCCCTTTCTACTGATAATAACTCTTTCAACCAATTGCCAATCAGAGAAATTTTAAATCTACCTATGACCTGGAAGCACCCCCTCCCTTCCAGCTGTCCCGCCCTTCCAGATGGAACCAATGTAAATCTTACATGTATGGATTGATGTGTTATGCATCCCTAACATGTTTAAAAGCAAGCTGTACCCTGATCCCCCTGGGCACATGTCCTTAGGACTGCCTGAGAGTATGTCACGGGTGCTCCTTAGCATTGGCAAAATAAACTTTCTTAATTGACTGAGACTGTCTCAGATATTTTGGGTTCATACCCTCATGAAACAAGGAGAGAATACCCCCACACATACAATGAAGACCTAAATGGTGTGATTTCTTTGGTAATGGCTTTGCTAAGGGCAGCCACTCTTGTAAACAGGGCGGGGTGGAGGAGGGGGTGTCGGAGGTATGGTGGGATATAAGGATGAAGTCGACCTTAGAGTCGGGGAGAGAACAAGGACAGAGATTAAATGTGCCTTCTTTAACACAGCCTTTCTGAGTCCTGACACTGTCCCAGGCACTGTGCAGTACGAAGATAAGCACGGAGAATGAAATGGCCAACTCTGTGGGGGTCCACTAGGAAGGTTCACAAAAGAGGTGACCCCCTCTGCTGTATCTTAAATAGAATTTGCCCATCACATTCGGTTGGATGAGGCTAGGAAGAATGTCCAGGTTGGAGAACATCACTTTGGAAAAGAATGGAGATGAGAAGGAGCACGGCTCAAAGTTCCAGGAACTGTCAATATTTACCAGCCTTGGGGTGGGAGTAGCAGCGTGGGAGGGGGCAGGAAACAGAGCAGGGCCAGCCTCTGAAGAGCCTCGAGTGTTAAGTACCATTTGGGAATTTGTTCTGGGGAAACAGAAGGCCACTGAAGAGTTTAATGAAAGAAGTGGCATTAGCTGGCAAGCTTGTGGAGAAATGGTTAGCAGGGCTACTGGGTTAGCAGGGAGAGTTGCTGGGGGTATTCGGATAGTCCCGGTTGGGAGCTCTGAGGCCTTTAAACAGATCACTGGGATGAAAGTGGCTACAGTCAGGTGATGGGCTGATTAACTGACCATTTAATCAGGGGGAAGATGACTTCCAACTTCCGGTTTTGGTGGTTAGGGTTGGAGCCAGGTCTCTGAAACTAGTGACGCAGGAGCAAGGGTGGGTGGGAGGGGTATGGGTGAGTCCAGTGGGGACAGAACTCTGCAACCCCAACAATTCATGGGAGGTGGAATCTGAGAAGGAGCTGCCAGAAGAATGGGATAGAAGCCCAGGAGAAGAAATATTTCCAGGAGGGGGCCGGGCGCGGTGGCTCACGCCTGTAATCCCAGCACTTTGGGAGGCTGAGGCGGGCGGATCATGAGGTCAGGAGATCGAGACCATCCTGGCTAACACGATGAAACCCCGTCTCTACTAAATATACAAAAAATTAACCGACCGCGGTGGCGGGCGCCTGTAGTCCCAGCTACTCGGGAGGCTGAGGCAGGAGAATGGCGTGAATCCGGGAGGTAGAGCTTGCAGTGAGTTGAGATCGCACCACTGCACTCCAGCCTGGGCAACAGAACGAGACTCTGTCTCCAAAAAAAAAAAAAAGAAATATTTCCAGGAGGGAGTGCTAAACTGTGCTACCAAGAGAGGGAGGGAAGAGGATGAGGGAGGACAGAAGGAGGACTAGGGGAAGTGGTGGGAGGATTGGAGAGGCTTGGGTGGCTGGAGGAAGACGGGAGGACAGAGGGGGGGATGGGAGGAAGAGGGGTGTGGGGAGAGTTGGGGGAGGATGTGGGGGCAGAGGGTGGAGGAAGCAGTGAGAGGATAAGAGGAGGATGGAGGGGATTGAGGGAAACAGCTGGAGGCTGAGGAAAGATGGGGTTGGGGGGTGGTGGGAAGGGTAGTGGATGCTGGGGGAGGCAGCCTTCTATTTCCATAGGACAAATTTGATACTCTTCTAATCCCTTCAGTGGCCTTCTATTTCCCTAGAACAAATTCCCAAATGGTACTTAACACTCAAGGCCCTTCAGAGGCTGACCCCTGCTCCATCTACTGCCCCCTCCCATGCTGCCACCCCAGCCCCAAGGCTGGCAAATATTGACAGTTCCTGGAACTTTGGGCCACCCTCCTTCTCATCTCTATTCTTTTCCAAAGTGTTGTTCCCCGACCTGGACATTCTTCCTAGCCCCATCCAACTGATGTGATGGACAAACTATACTTCAGATACAGCTGGAGGTGCGGGGGGGGGGGGTCCCTTCTTTTGTGAACCTTCCTAGTGGACCCCAAGCAGAGTTGGTAACTCCATCCTCTGTGCTTACCTCCTTACTGCACTGTGCCTAGGACATGGTCAGGACTCAGAAAGGCTGTGCTAAATAACGCACATTTAACCTGTTTCCTTGTCTTCTCCCCTACTCTAAGGTTGGCTTCATCCTTATATCCTACTGATATGGTTTGGCTCTGTGACCCCACCCAAATCTCATCTCGAATTGTATTCCCCATAATCCCCACGTGTCAAGGGAGGGACTTGGTCGGGGGTGATTGGATCACGTCAGCGGTTTCCCCCGTGCTGTTCTCGTGATAGTGAGTGAATTCTCACGAGATCTGTTGGATGTAAAAGGGGCTTTTGACCCTTTTGCTGGGCACCTCTCTTCCTGCAGCCATGTGACGAAGGACGTGTTTGCTTCCCTTTCCGCCATGATTTTAAGTTTCCTGAGGCTTCTCCAGCCATGCAGAACTGTGAGTCAATTAAACCTCTTTTCTTTATAAATTACCCTGTCTCAGGTGGTTCTTTATAGCAGTGTGAAAACGGGCTAATACACCTACCATACTTCTAACCCCCAACGCCTGACCCACCCTGCCCTGTTTACAACAGTGGCTGGCCTTAGCAAGTCATTATCGAAGAAATCACACCATTTAGGACTCCACTGTACACGTTGGGGTGTTCGCTCCTTGTTTCATGAGGGGCACACCAACTTCCGTTTTTGTTTGTTTGTTTGTTTGTTTGGAGATAGGATCTTGCCCTGTTGCCCTGGCTGAAGTGCAGTGGTGTGATCTCAGCTCACTGCAGCCTCGAACTCCTGGGCTCAAGTGATCCTCTCACCTCTGTCTCCTAAGTGGCTGGGACTACAGGTGTGCAACACCACGCCTGGCTAAGTTTTGTATTTTTGTATTTTTTTTTTTTTTTTTTTTTTTTGTAGAGAAGAGGTCTCTCCATGTTGCCCAGGCTGGTTTCAAACTCCTGAGCTCAAGTGATCCTCCGTCTTGGCCTCCCAAAATGCTGGGATTACAGGAGTGAGCCATTGTCCCCACCCCGCACCAACTTCTGATGAAGTCAGGCTCCTTATTGGCTTTTTCCTGAGTTGCCAGGTTGACACATTGGTGGGTGCTTTTCGATGGTTCGCAACCTACGCACGTCGTAATCATCCTTGGACCTTTTCAAAAATCAAGATTGACGCTTGTTGGCAGCAAGGCCTAGGAATGTGGAGGCTGAAGGAGGTGAGGGGAGGTGCTGGGAGACCTGGAAGGAGTGTGAACTACAGGCCCCGCGAAAGGCAGAGGTCTCGCTCCTGGATCCGGAAGAAGGCTGCTGAGCGGGCTTTCATTTCTTATGTATGTGCAGTTTCTTCTGAAGATATAATTGATGTTTATTTCTCTGAATAAGCTTGATTATAATGGAAAATAGGGATAATAAATTAACTGTAATAAGAGTGACATTGACACTGAAAAACCTTGCCTGGGGCGCTTGTCCTGGGTGTCCCCGCCCCGCGGCCCCTCCAGCCCCGCCTGCTCTACGCCCCGCCCCGCCCCTCCCCTCCACGCCCAGGGGGCGTGGCAACCCGGAGTCCCTCCCCTACCCAGGGCACGTGATCTGTCAGTTCGCGGAGAGGGAAGAATATGGCCGCCGGGTGTGGTGAGGGCGACGCGCTTGCAGTCGCCGTCTCTTGCTTCCCCGTCCTCTGACATCGCCTGCAGCCGAGCGGGCCCGTTCCGCCGGAGCTGAGGACCAGGTTGGGAGACCGTCAGTGTGGAGGCCGGTCCGCGAAGCTTTGCCGCGGGATTGGGGAGGAGTCGGGGGCGAGGCCGGGCTCGGGGAGTCGGGCGGGGAGGTGGGACAGCCGAGGAGTGCGCGGAAGGGGCGAGCTCGGACCGGGGGTCCCGGGGAGGGCATGGCGCGGGCCCCGGACGCTCGGGCCCCGGCTTTCGGGGCGAGTCCGCGTTTCCTGGAGCGCCGGGAAGGTCTCCGACCTTGGAGTCTCTGGTGGTCTGTCTCCTGAGGGGCCCCTCGGGTGGGTTGGGGTGAAGGGTGTTGGTAAAACCGTTTTTTTTCTTTTGCCAAGCAGCCTCTGGCACATCCACCACCTTGAGAGCCCCCTTAGCTGGTACCGCTAGTCTTTCTAGGTTCCTCCTCCTAGGCTTCCACGGGCCGGGAGGTGTTGTTTTCTCCCTTGCTTTTATCGTGGGCTCCATTGCTCCATTGTCCTGTGCAGGCTTTTAAACGCCTGGCAAAATAGTGCAAGCCATTGATTTCCACGCCTCCAAGATTTATTTATAGGGAAATAATTTCTTCATCACTTTGTAATGTTGGAATTTTTATTCTTTCAAGTTGACAGGTTTAAACCGATGAAAAATTTTTTTATGAATAACTATGCAGCCATCTCTGCTCCCTATGGGCGCTTGTTAAAAATGTAGATTTCTTAGCGTTTTAGAGATTCCCATTCCTTCGGCCTGAGGTGTGGCTCGGGAATCACCCCTTCAGGTTCGTTCCTGTCCACATTTTGACAACACTGAGGACCAGACATCTACACCTTTTTAAACCACCGTGGGGTATTGAGTGCAGAGCCCAGGTTGGGAAATGCCGTGGCCAGGTGTGTTCTTTGTTCTCTTCTAGCTTTACTAGCATGGACTACTTTCATCAGAATCATTTTGGGGTGCTTGTTAAAATGTCAGTTTCTGGGCACCACCCCAGATCTAGGGAATGGGATTCTCCCGGGGAGGAGCTCAAGGGATATGTGTATTTGACAAGCTTCCCAAATAATTTTGGTGCACACAAGTTTGAGAATCCTTGTTCTACACCCTTTGTGTGAATAATTTCCAGATCATTCACACACAGTGTGAACGGTATCTTTTTCCAAGTATTGGGTGGGTTTCTCCAACCTAGTTCTTTTGGGACACTTCAAATTCAGCCTGGCCAAAGCCCCATTCGCCCAGCTGGGGTGGTGGAAGGGAGGAGGCATAACTTAAGTAGAGAAAAGTCTGCTCTTTCTCCTGCTTTTTTTTTTTTGGTTAAGGGCAGCTCCATTCTTCAGTCACCTATGCTGGGCATCTGGTCATCTTCCACCTGTTTTCTTTTCCAACCAGTCACATAGTTTTATCTTTATATCCAGAATATCTCTTCTGGATATTTTGGTAGTTCAGAAAGTTCAAATGTCAGGGATTTTATATTTTTCAAGTTAATATCCCTCATTTCTTCTCTATTCCCACTGCCTCTCTTGTGTACTGTCTGGTGATTCCTTGACTGGTATCTAGGGCCCTGATTCTTTGTATTTTTCCAGTCTGGGTCACATACACTGCCAGATTAATTTTTATAGGATCATGTATGAATGTGCCATCCCCTTCTTCCTGCTTTTGCTCAAGAACGGTCAGTTTCTCCATTTTATGTGCTACTGTATTTGTCAGGGCTGTTTAGAAGACAGTAGAAACTTAAACCTTTTACTTCAAGGAAAAGGAGATAATAGGATTGAATGAGAGTCAGAAAGAAGTCAGGATCCCAGGTACCTCCATTTTCTACATCTCCCTGGGGCAACTTTTTTTTTTTTTTTTTTTTTTTGAGACAGGGTCTGGCTCTGTTGCCCAGGCTGGAGTGCAGGTGGTGTGATCTTGGCTCACTGCAGCCCTGACCTCCTCTTAGGGGCCACATTTGTTCTCTTACTTAGGAGGAGTCTCTTTTCTGTTCATATCTGTTGTATTCTCTCTTTGCTGATTGGCTGTCTCAGAACTGTATCATTTTATGTGTGACCCATATTGATTGGCCCAGTCTCTGGTTTCTAATTCCCAGTTCTAGAGAGAGAAGTCTGATTGGCCCAGCTTATCTTTTTCAACAGTTTCATGCCACAGATCATATGCCCATCCCTGGGAATGGCTGATGCTAGAGAACATGGCTGTTGAGGGTAGCAGGGGCTGTGGGTGGGCAAAGTCCTTCAGAAGAGGTATCTTTAGCATACCTATGCAGTTATTTAATTTGATGGTTATCTATTAAGTTTCTACCTGTTCTAGATCTGTAATAGGTTCTGGGGATGTAAGAATGAAGGAGAGAGACAGCCCTTAATAAATTAGTTCAAGGCTGGGCATGCAGGCTCACACCTGTAATCTCAGTGCTTTGGGAGGCTAAGGCAGGAGGATCACTTCAGGCTAGGAGTTCAAGAGCAGCCTCGGCAATATAGCAAGTCCTGTCTCTACAAAAATTAAAAATGTAAACAATGATCTGGGTGTGTTGGCATGCACCTGTAGTCCCAGCTATTCAGGGAGGGTGAGGCAGGAGGATCGCTTGAGTCCAGGAGTTTGAGTCTGCAGTGAGCTATGAATGTGCCACTGCACTCCATCCTGGGCAATAGAGCCAGACCCTGTCTCAATAAAAATAAATAACTAAATACATACATACATACATACATATACATACATAAGTTAGTTTATAGGTGACCCGCGAGGGGGGTTTTGAAGGGTGTGTTTTGGCTTGTTAAGAATGTTAAAGTTGGGTCAGGCATTACAGGTGGTTGGATCAGCTTGGGCATGTCCATTCATTCTACCGATACTGGGTTCTGTGGTGTACCAGGCACTTCTCTTAAGTGCTGGAGATTCAGCAGTAAACAAAACAGATAGTCTTTATTCTCATTGAGCTACATTTGTTTGGCTAGGGGAAGCAGACCAAAAACAAAGTATGTGGTATGTGGAGTGATGCTAGGTGTTATAAAGAAGACCTTTAAAGTAGGGCTGTGGAAGGGGGATATAGTAGAGGGGGAGAGGGCTGTTTTATACACGTATAAATGGTATACACCATTTATACACGGTGGTCAGAGAAGCTCTGATCAGGTGACGTATGTACAGAAAGTCACTGTGGCCTGAGTAGAGTCAAGGAGAAGGAGCAGCAAGAGTTGAGCTTAGGGAGGTGGAGAAGGGGTGGAATAGATCAAGCAAGGCCTTGGCCCTGGTAGGGATCTGGGATTTTGAGTGAGAGGACAACCGTTGGGATGTTTTGAGCACAGAATGGTTGTAAGAAGACACGATTCAGGAGGACCACTTAGGCCTCTGTGTGGAGGGGGCAAGCGCTGCCACCCAGGCCCAGGAATGTCAGCACCAGGGTAGGCTCTGGGGACTGCACAGGGGTGATTGTTGCTGGAGACTTAAGTGGGAGGAGGAGAAGAGGGGCTGGAGATAGAGAACCATGGGAGGGGCCACATTCAGGAACTTACTGTGTCGTATCTGGAGGATAAGAAATAAGTAAGCCTTGGGCAGCATGGCACTATTGTTGCTTTCATGCACTGTGTCTGTAACCGGAGAAAAGTTATAGGGTGCGTCTATTAACCGATTGGCCTTTTGGTGAAAGCATTTTGAATACATTTAGAGATTTTGCCTATTAAATTGGCAAGTTCTAAAAATGGACTTACTACAACATAAATTTTTTGTTCTGACATTGCTGTTGGCTACATCTGCCATTTTCAAAACGGGTGGCAAGACATTAATTTTTTTGCTAATTGTGCAAAAGAATGTATAGCCTTATATTCCCATTAGAGAGAAAGTGCTGTGGACATTAGATTCAACTGATGTCCATTTATTCAAGAAATATAGTGTCTTGTATGGGCCAGCTATTAAGCTAAGTGTTGGGTATTTGGTATAGAACGAAAGAAAATAATTCATTCCTTTTAAAAGCTTATATCCTAGTGGGAGAGACAGCTATTAATCAGGTAAATATGTCCCATTCCAGCAGGTGTAGCTAAAAAAAAAAAAAAAAAAGACAAATTTAAAAAACATAAATATGTAAATTACAAGTTTAGTAAAGTGTTATGAAGGAATAAAAAAGATTCCATAATAGAGAACAATCCAGGTTATGAGAATCAACCAAGAAAGGGTGGTTAAGAAATGATCATATTCTGTTATTATGTAAAACAGCTAATATTTATTGGCTTCATATGGGTTAGGTATTATTTTAATCCCATTGCATGTAATTGTGCAGTTATTTGAAGATGGGGAAACTCAGACACTGAGGTGAAGAAACTACCCCAGGGGACAGGGAGTGATAAAGAGAGGCTGGTTAATAAGTACAGACATACAGTTAGGTAGAAGGAGTAAGCTGTAGTGTTCAGCAGCATGGTACTATGCTTAACAGTTTATTGTGTATTTTATTTTTTATGGTATATTTTAAAGTAGCTAGAAGATAAGATTTGAGATGTTCCCAGCACCAAGAAATGAGAAAAGTTTGAGGTGATGGATATCCTAAATACTCTGATTTGATCATCACACATCCTATGCATGTAATCCAAATATTACACATACCCCATAAACATGTACAATTATTATGTATTAGTTAAAAAAATTAAGGAAAAAAAAAAGAAACTAGCCTGGGATGATATAATGGTCAGTAGTAAAGTCAGGAGTCAAACCAAGGTAGTCTGGCTCTAGGGTCCATACTTTTGACCACTAGACAGCTTCGTTTTAAGCCGAAAGGGCTTTTGGAAGTGAACGTTGAACTGAAATGTGAAAGATGAGAAGCTGTAGTTTTCCTCCTGTGATGAAACATTTTTTTTTCTATTGAAAATGAACGTAGACTTAATACATCAAGTAAAACAATATAGCACAAAGACGCGTGAAGGCAAAGCTAATCATCTCCTCCTTTTAGTCCTACATGGTAAGATAACGAATTTTACAGCCAGGTGTGTGTCCTTCCACACTTTTCTTTTTGTTCATGTGTACACACTGGATAGATACATATATGGGGGTCTTATTTATTTTATCAAGTAGAATTATACTACACACGTGCTCTTAAACATGACAGCGTGTCATTGGTTTTACTATTGTGTGTATCAACAGATGTGGATTTAATGTTCTAATTTTATTTTGTAATTTCTAGGCACTTATATATGTGCTTACAAACATCTTATGACATTTAATAATCAATTATTCAGTGAAATTTATTAAACACTGTCAGTGCCCTCTAGTCAAAGACTGCCAGGAACATACCTCTAGTTGAACAAAGTTGGTCTTATTAACTCCCTGCAATGAAGGAGAATGCCTGTCCTAGGGAACGTTGGGGGTCTCTGTAACAGGTTGTTAGAAAGGACTTAGAAGATTCGAGATGATGTTAGGTGATTCGGGGAAGAGTTCAAGGAAGCAAAGCTTTGCTCAGTCTCGGGTGCTTCAGGAATAAGGAGGAGTGGGAATTCTGCAATTGGATATTTAAAATCTTAACGAAAAGGCAAGAGGTATGGAGTAAGGCTAAAGCTGTAATTGATAAAGAAGCAGCAATGCTTCATATTAGCCACGATAGGAAGATGTTTGGGCATTTTGTGGTTTGGGTGATGTTCATGTTTTTGTCTATGTTCAGATATGATTCCAGAGTAGTCTTATTTTTGTCTTCATATCCTGGTGACAGAGTGACCTTGTTTGATGTTGGCATTCTTTGAAATTGTTGCATTTATGTTAGAACACCAAGTCTGGCTGTGTGTGCCGGGTCAGTTCCCGACAGTCAGGGGCTGCTTTTCTCTCTCACCTCCTGTTGTGTAGGCATTGTGCTAGATATAAAGCAGATCCTGCTGCAAGAACTTCTAGTCTAAGGGAGATGTGGAGAGAGTGAGTAAAATGGAGAGGAGAGTTGAGTGTGATGTGAGCAGTCTACAACTAGATGTATACACAGGTGTGGAGGAGCCCAGGGCCTGGCCCAGCTTGGGGTAAGCAGCCAGTCAATGAAGGCTTCCAGAAGATCTGTTAGAGCCATGTTCTTAAGGATGGGTAGGAGCTGTTCAGGCATATATACGTGGAGAATGGACTTTCTAAGCAGAGGGGGCATTAAGTGCAAAGGTCTGGAAAGAACAAAGTGTGGGGCAGTGAAGGAGCTGCAAGTAGATCAGTCTGGCTGGAGCTGGAGGTGTAGATGTGACTATGTAGAGGGTGGGAGGGATGGGGCTGAGGAGGGGAGAAAGATAAGGCTGGAATGGTAAGATGGGGCCAGATTGTGAAGAATCTGCATGCCCTCATCATAATCAAGAATTGAACTTACTGAGTTTTCACTCTGCTCAGTGGAGAGCAAAGCTTTCCGTAGGAATTGTGTATTTGCATCTTTACAATGGCTTTAAAAGCCTTAGAAGGCGTAAGTTCCTTGAATAACTTGTAAGTAGTAAAGCTGTCATCTGTCCTCCCAACCTTGGTTTTAGGAGAGATGTATTGTAGGTCACTCTTGCTTCAGTGTGGCAAATGGATTGCAGGTGGCAGGCCTGGAGAGAGGAGGCAAAAGTTGCTAGCCTGTCACATTGATCTGGGTGAGAGATGGTGTAGTAGAAGTTTTTAGGATTGATGCCTAGATCACAACTGTTTACTCTTTTCTGGAAACAGTGCCAATATGGTGTGACCTTGTAACCCCCTCCCAACTTTGTGTCTCTAGTTGCTTGGTTCTGGGTGTGCAACAGATCCAGCCTGGGCAGTCAGAGCCCTTTTCTGGGACTGTTGGATCTGGGAACAAAGAATAGCCTGCTTTCTCTGGTGTTAGAGACTATCTGATTTAGGCCAGGTGCGGTGGCTCACACCTGTAATCCCAACACTTTGGGAGGCAGAGGCAGGCGCATCACTTGAGCCCAGGAGTTTGAGACCAGCCTGGGCAACATGGTGAAACTTCATTTCTACAAAAAATAGAAAAATTAGCTGGGCATGGTGGTGTGCACCTGTAGTCCCAACTACTCAGGAGGCTGAGGTGGGAGGATCGCTTGAGCCCTAGAGGTCAAGGCTGCAGTGAGCCATGATCGTGCTACTGCACTCCAGTCTGAGTGACAGAGTGAGACCCTGTCTCAAAAAATAAATAAACGATCTGATTTGAGGCTGGATGGCTGTGGGAAGCCATATTTCCCTTTGTGTAGAAGTAGTTGGTCTAGAAGGAAAGTAGATTAAGCCAGTAGAGAAAGAGAATCCTCCTGGCATTTGAGGTCCAGTGGCACCCACTCTTCCTGTAGTGTGGTTATGGGAAATAAACCATTATCCTTCAAATACATTTTTCTGTTTTGCTTAAGCTAGTTTAAATTAGTCTCTTGCAACCTTAGGGGTCTTGATTAGTATAGATGGTGAAGGTCTAAACTAAGGCACTGAGTGTGGGGTTGGGTGATCTCACACTTTAGGGGGTAAACTGGATGAAAAATGGTAGCTGTGTGACTCAGAGGGAGATGGGTGCCTTGGTAGAGTAGAGATGAGGATGGTGTTCTACATGGAAGGAGCACATTGAGCATAGGCGGGAGTGTGGAGCAGCACTGGGGGAGTGTGGTGAATTTGAGTTCTTCTGCTTGGCTGGGCTGTGGGGTGAGCTGGGGCTGGTATAGAGGGAGAGCCAGATCCTGCAAACCTCACTGAGGCCTTAGGCTTGATCCTAGAAGGAGTGGGAATAAATGAAGGTAGGTGTTGGTGATGACTGCTAATACAAACCCTCACTGCTTTCTAATGATAGAAGCATCACATTCCAGAACATGTAGGAGATAAAGGTTTTAAAGAAAATAAAAATTACACTAATGCCCATCACCATTTGTTCTTTTTTTATTTCCAGTATTTAAAAATGTATACATTTAAAATAGCTGAGATGCTGTATATATAGCTCTTAATCTTTTACCTCACTTCTTCTATCATGAGCATTTTTCTGTAACACATTTTTTGAGACATTTTGATGACTGTATATTATCCTACTTTGTGAATTTTTATAATTTATATAATATCCATTTCTAAGATTTTTGTTCTTATGGATAAAATTGTTTTACTTAAAATCTTAAAATTTTGTTCATGTTTCTCATGTTTTTAGAATAATTCCTAGAAGTGCAACTATGGGATCAAATAACATCATTTTTTAAAATAATAGTTTTTCACCCCAAGAGTATAAATTCAAGTTGTTCTGAATATATACTCCCTAAAAGTAAGGTATACTGATTTATACTTTACATGTAATAACATTCACCCTTTTTAATGGACAGTTCTGAATTTTGACAAACGAATGATTGTGTAACTGCCACAACAGTCAAGATATAGAACAGCCATTAACTCGCCAAATTCTCTTGTACTCTTTTGTAGCCATCTCATTCCCCTGCCTTAGACCCTGGCAGCCCCGATCTGTTTTCTGCCCCTGCAGTTTTCCTTTTCCAGAATGCTATATAAGTAGAATCATATAGTGCTATAGTTTCTGCCCTCTGGCCCCCAGAGATAGATTTCCTTCCTGTGTCAAAACATATTCACTCCATCGCAAGGCCTCCCCAAAAGTCTCAGTTCATTTCAGCATCAACCCAAAGTCCACAGTCTCATTTAAATCTCATCATCTAAATCAGGTATGAGAGGGTCTGGGTGTAGTCCATCCAGAGGCATGATTCCTTTCCACCTGGGAAACGCAAGAATCAAGTTATCTGCTCCAACTTAGAGTTAGGGAATGGGCATGGGATATCAGTTATAGACAGTCCTGTTCAAGGGTGGAGGAAAAGGAAGGCAAAGAGGATTCACCAGTCCCAAATAATTTCATTTTCATAACAGCCAAAGTTTTCAATTTTGACGAACTCTGGTTTATCAGTTTTCTTTTTTTATGCACCATGCTTTTAGTGTTATATCAAATCTTTCTTAATCTAAGGTCACTGAAGTCATCTATATTTTCTTCTAGAAGTTTTGTACTTTCAGACATTATATTTAGGTCAATTTTGAGTTAGCACCTGTATGTGGTACAAAGTATGGATTGAGGTTTATTTATTTGCATTTGGATGTCCAGTTGAATATAATAAAATTTCTACTCTTTTAGAACTTATAGTTATGGTAGACAGACAATAAGTGAACAATATGTCATTTTTTGGATGGTGGCAAGTGGTGTGGAGAGCAGTGAAAGCAGGACAAAGGGTTGAGAGTGCAGGGTGACAGTGAAGCCTGTGTGGGGTCGGTACCCTGACATCCCACATCCGGTGAGACTTTGTAACCAGGTGACCTGACGGGGTCAGGGGGTAAGCCGTGTGCATGTCCTGTGGAAGAGAATTTTAGGCAGACAGAAAAGTAGCACAGAGGCCTGGCGAGGTGGGACGGTGCTCAGTGTGGCCATGCAGCCAGGAGGGTGAGAGGGGGTGGTAGGAGCTACAGTCACAGGTGTCACACAGGTGAGAGGCTTGCCACTGAAGAGTTATCTTGGCCAAGGTAAAAACATTTGATTTTACTTTGAGCACCCCGAGAAGCCCTTAGAGGGCTTTGAATAAAAGAGGCCATGCTCTGACTTAGTACTGCTCACATTGTGGTTCTTCCTCAGTGTTGTCAGTGTCACAGGGAGCTGGATAAAGATGCAGAGTCAGGGGCCCCACTCAGACCTGCTGAGTCAGAATCTCTGACGGTGGGGCCCAGGAATCTGCTTTAAAAGCTCTTCAGGTGATTCTGATATATGTTAAAGTTTTAAAAAAAGTAATGTAATTTTAATTGACAAATTATATATATTTAGGGGTACAATGTGATGTTTTGATACATGTATCCATTGTGGAATGATCAAATCAGGCTAATTAACATATTCATCACCTCCCATACTTAATTATTTATTTGCAGTGAGACCATTTAAAATCCACTCTTCCAGGTAAAGTGGAGGCAGGGAGGCCAGTTAGGAAGCGATGATAGTGACGCAGGTGAGTCACGGTGGCTCGTCCAGGGTGGCAGTGATGAAGTGGTGAGTAGTAGTCAGATGTGAAATGTATTTTACAGGTAGAGCCAAAAGCATTTGCTAATAGATTGAGTGTAGGGTGTAAGAGGAAGAGGTAAGTCATGAACAATTTCAATGCTTTTGGCCTTGGAAGAATGGACCTGGAGCTGCCGTTTACTGGCATGGTGACAGCAGGAGGAGCAGGGGAGCATTTTGGAGTGGTGATGAGGAGGGTTTGGGGATGGATGTGGAGTTTGGTGTTTGGATAAGTTAAGATGGAGGTGAGTGTGAACCTAAGAGACATCACGGCAGCTTTTTGACACCTGAGCTATGGAAGCCGTGGGAAGTCGTATCTTCACTTCTGCCACTGGAGGTGTCCTTGCATGAGGTTAATGTTAAGAAGGATATTGTATTTAATAGTAACTTAATTTTTTCTAATTATAAATTATGTGTATTTTGTCTAATTTAACAGGTATTCAAATAAAGTTAATTGCAGCTTTCTGTGAAAATGTCAGTTTTGATATCACAGAGCGTCATAAATTATGTAGAGGAAGAAAACATTCCTGCTCTGAAAGCTCTTCTTGAAAAATGCAAAGATGTAGATGAGAGAAATGAGGTAAGACCAAGTTTGCAAAATTACATTCTTTCACAAATATTTGTTGACTGCCTGCTATGTATAGGATAGAAGTGTGTAAGAAATAGGTAGTTCTAACCCTTAGTAATACTGCACTGTACTTATGATAGAATGTCTTATAGTTAAAAGTACTTCAAATTTCATGTTTTTGGAGTACATTTTAACTTATATAAATGACTGTTGAATTTAGATTTATTGTTTTTTTTCCCCTGATGGAATAATTAATATTCAGGAAGCTTGATTACTGAAATCAAGTACTTCTGTGAAACTTTACAGATCATCTGGACCTGATCTTGATTAACCAGACAAAATCAGGGATTGTTGAAATACTTTCTTTTTTATTTTTATTTTTATTTTTTGAGATGGAGTTTCACTCTTGTTGCCCAGGCTGGAGTGCAATGGCACGATCTCAGCTCACCAAAACCTCCGCCTCCCAGGTTCAAGTGATTCTCCTGCCTCAGCCTCCCTAGTAGCTGGGATTATAGGCATGTGCCACCACGCTCGGCTAATTTTGTAGTTTTAGTAGAGACAGGGTTTCTCCATGTTGGCCAGGCTGGTCTTGAACTCCCGACCTCAGTTGATCCGCCCACCTTGGCCTCCCAAAGTGCTGGGATTACAATCGTGAGCCACCCCGCCCTGCCTGAAATACTTTCTTTAATGAGCCCCAACTATCATCCTCCATTGTTTGTCCCACACACTTTGGGATTATTAAAAACCCTACATCTTTATTAGAGAGTTAAATAGGTTATGTATTATATTTAGTAACACACTAATAAACATTAACTCAAATGAGATATTTCTCCTCAATGTTATGAGGTAAAAAATGTGGATCTTAGTTCATTATGAAAAGCCAAACTATTATTTTATATTATTTTATTTTTTTTGAGATGGAGTCTCACTCTGTCACCCAGGCTGGTGTACAGTGGCAGGATCTTGGCTCCCTGCAAGCTCCGCCTCCCAGGTTCACGCCATTCTCCTGCCTCAGCCTCCCGAGTAGTTGGGACTACAGGCGCCCGCCACCATGCCCGGCTAATTTTTTTTTTTGTATTTTTAGTAGAGATGGGGTTTCACCGTGTTACCCAGGATGGTCTCCTGACCTCATGATCCACCCACCTAGGCCTCCCAGAGTGCTGGGATTACAGGTGTGAGCCATCGCGTCCGGCAAGCCAAGCTATTATTATTTGGCAGGACATTTTAGGTGCTAATACAGTTTTGTATAAATATTGTAAGTATCAGGGTATGTGTTTGTTTTACAAAACTTAAGGAAAACAACCCTGTCTCTTAGAACTGTGTGTGTTTTCAAGAGTATAATATTTCTTGCCAGTAGATAAGATGAATAAGGAGTGGTTTTTTATTTTACACTATATGTGTATGTGTATGTATATATACTTATGTGTTTGTATATATTTGCTTACATATATATCTTGTGTAGACATATAAAAAGTTTTATTTATAATTTTTTTATTGTGATAAACACATAACATAAAATTTATTGTCTTTACTATCTTAACCATTTTTAAGGATACAGTTTAGGAGTATTAAGTATTTCTCCATTGTTGGGCAATAGATTCCAGAACTTTTTCTTTTTTTTTTTTGAGACGGAGTCTCACTCTGTCACCCAGGTTGGTGTGAAGTGGTGTGATCTCGGCTCACTGCAACCTCCGCCCCCTGCCTTCCAGTGATTCTCATGCCTCAGCCTCCTGAGTAACTTGGACTACAGTCGTGCGCCACCACACCTGGCTAATTTTTTATATTTTTAGTAGAGATGGGGTTTCACCATGTTGGTCAGGCTGGTCTCGAACTCCTGACCTCAAGTGATTCGCCCACCTCGGCCTCCTAAAGTACTGTGATTGCAGGCATGACCACTGCATCCGGTCTACCAGAACTTTTTCATCTTGCAAAATCAAAATTCTGTCTATTAAACAGCAGCTCTCCCTTTCCCCCTCTCCCTAAACCCTGGCAGTGACCGTTTTACTTTCTATTTGTATGAATATGACTATTTAGACACCTCATGTAATTGGACTTATATACTGTTTGTCTTTTTGTCACTGGCTTATTTCAGTTAGCATAATATCCTCAAGGTTCATCCACGTTATAGCACGTAACAGGATTTCCTTCCTTTTTAAGGCTGAATAATATTTCATTGTATGTACGTAGCACATTTTCTTGGTCTATTCATCTGTGGCTAGAAATTTGGGTTGCTTCCATCCCTTGGCTATTGTGAATAATGCTGCTATAAGCATGGGTGTGCAAATATTATACATGTTTTTGCTTGTGTTTTTTGTTTTTAGACAGGTTCTCACTCCATTGCCCAGCCTGGAGTGCAGTGGCAGAATCAGGGATCACTGCAGCCTCGACCTCCCAGGCTCAAGCGATCCTCCTGCTTCAGCCCTCCAAGTAGCTAGGACACAGGTGTGCACCACCATACCTGGCTAATTTTTTGTATCTTAGTCGAGATGGGGTTTTGCCATGTTGCCCAGGCTGGTCTCCAACTCCTGGACTCAATCTGTCTGCCCGCCTCGACCTCCCAAAGTCCTGGGATTACAGGCGTGAGGCATCATGCCTGACGTATAAATGTTTTTAAAGCTGCTGAATTACTTTATTATTACTTTTTCTGACCTGTGGTACCTAATATCATTTAATGTTAACTCAGTCGTTAAGGAAATGTTGATATAAAAATGTTGTTATTACAATAATAGCTAATGTTTTTATTGAATGTTTTCGTTCATTTTCATTAGCTATTGAATAATAGCTAATGTTTTTATTGAATACTTATGCAAATATTCTGGTATATATTTTCTATATCTTAGCTCATTTAACTTGCGTAGCAGCTGTATAAAGAATAATACTGTTATTTATCTTTATTTATGAGTAAATGACTGAATTCCTCAGTTTCCTATCTAAGATATTATTTGGTAGAGTCCATATTTGAACTTTGCTCTATTTGACTTTAAACAAATTATAATCTGTGTAAGCTCTATGTTTTTTTTTTGAGTCTTCAGAATAAAATTTATTTAATGATAATGCCTATATTTTCAATGTTTCTATATTGAACAAAATATATTTTCATTAGTTAACATCATTACCCCCTTCAATGATTATGAATAGTCAAAAGTTGTTATACATAGATAAGATATAACATTTATAATTGGAGGTTGTTACAAAAAGATTACAGAAGTAGTCATTTTGTTAGCATATGTTAGCATATTTGGAATAACCATATGATAGTTTCAAAACATTAAATTTTACTTTAGAGACACTTGTCTAGGGAATGCTAAGAAAACAGCTTCACTTGGAAGGAAAAAATAGCACATCAATAAGCGTAAAATTAATCTTATTGCTATAAGGAGTAAAGCACTGGCATAGAGCTTAATTTAGCATCATGCGAGATAAGCATTTAATGGATATTAATTAACATATCCAGTTTAATATTGTATCAATTTAAATTGGAGTTTTAACGTGATAATTTGAAACCATCTAGGCTTTTTCAGTTATGGCTCAGTGTAAAAGTTGGTATTTTTTTTTTTTTTTTTTAGCATTTTGCTTTTACAACTTCTGATAAAGTGTAATTTTTATAGAATTACAAAAAGTTGTTTGTATTTTTTCCCCTTTATTCTCATTTTAAAAAATATTTATGTAACTTCATGTTAATGTGTTTGGTTACCAGTTTTGAGAAAGATTCTTAAGTATTAGATCAATTAAAATAATGTGGGTAGGCTGTATGTGGTGGCTCACACCTGTAATCCCAGCACTTTGAGAGGCTGAATCTCTTGAGCCTAGGAGTTTGAGACCAGCCTGGGCACTGTAGTGAGACCCTACTTCTAAAAAATATTAGCCAGGTGTGGCACCTTTTAGACCTAGCTACTTGGGAGGCTGAGGTGGGAGGATTGCTTGACCCCAGGAGTTCAAGGCTGCAGTGAGCTATGACTGCACCACTACACTTCAGCCTGGGCAACAGACTGAGACCCTATCTCTAAAAAATATAAAATAAACAAATTTAAAAAGGGATAAAATTGCCTGATACTGTGCTTATTAGCACATAATTGCCCACAAACAGTGAATTCTAGTTTCCTTTTATTGCTTTATTTATAAACTAGATAAATCTTTGGCCTATGAATATTCTCAATGATGGCAAATCTTTGTCCTTTATAGAGTAGTGAAGAGTTTTTATTTTTATTTTATTTTTGAAAGGAACAAACAGTCACTGTCAGCTGTCCTTGGTATAAGGGAATAGTGTTGAGGCTGGTCATTTTTTTCCCGTTTAAGAAAATGAACTGAGACTTTAAACAATGGATTTTGCTGTATGTTTATGAGTAAACTTTATTTTATTTTATTTTTTTTGAGACAGGGCCTTGCTCTGTTGCCCAGGCTGGAGTGTAGTGGCATGATCCAGCTCACTGCAGCCTTGACCTGCTGGGCTTAAGCAATCCTTCCATCTCAGCCACCTGAGTAGCTAGGACTACAGGCGTGTGCTACCACGCCTGGCTCATTAAAAAAAATTTTTTTTGTAGAGATGAAGTTTCACAATGTTGCCCAGGCTATTCTACAACTCCTGGGCACAAGTGATCCACCTGCCTCAGCCTCCCAAAGTGCTAGGATTACAGGCATGAGAGTCACTGCGCCTGGCCTGTAAATAGACTTTAAAGGAAATTTCAAAGGAGGATTTCGAAATGTTTTAGTTTCACTGTGGTTATTGGAAGAAGTAGAAACCCTCCAGAAGGACTGCTTTAAAAAAACCAGTGGTTATTTAGGTCTCATACACTTAAATAAGTAGAAATGGGAACCTAGAAATTGGGAAGAGCAAAAAGATGCTTAAATAGTAGTTGTTTTTGCATTGTAGTCTTCTGGGAAGCTGAGATAAAGTCCAGTATTTCAGTAGGTGCGTAGTGTTCTGTTTTGTTTTTGGTGTGTTTTGGCTTGAAGTCACTATGAGTAGTAGAGCGGGGATTATGTGGAATGTAATCCTGTGTTTTCTAGAAGGAGATAGGCATGGAATTTGCTGGGATGTGTGGGGTCAGGTATGGAAAGGATCTTTACTGATACATTTTCAAGTAGAAAAATGAAAGTTTTCATGACATAAGTTACTCTATCTCTACAACTGTAGTTACTGGACTGGTTAAGCAAGAACTAGGAGAATCCAAAGATAGGCTTTATTTTCAGGCCCAACTTTTAAAATAACAATCGTTCTATTTTTGGGGATCCTATAAAACTTTATGGCAGCCTTTCCTGAAAGTCATTATCTTTTTGGATAGCGTAGCTACAAAAGGTGCATCAGTTAAGAATTGCTTTGTAGTGCATGGAACAGCTCTCAAAACAGTGATTTAGATAAATTAAGGTTTTGTTTTTCTCACATGACAAGCTAGATGAGCCATTTCAAGGCTGATAGATGGCTTCAGAACCCAGGCTCCTTTCTTTCTGGCCAGTCCTCACTGTGTGCCTATTGCGTCACATCAGTCATGTAGCAAAAGCTCCAGCACTGTGTCTCAGTATTGGGCAAGAAGAAGGAAAAGGCACAGACCAGCTGAATTAGTACAGCGCTTTCCTGGGAGAGCTAGCCAGGGCACCGTTGTGGGATTATTTCCAGCTGCAAGTGAGGCTGAACACTGGGTGTTTTTTTTTTTCAGCTGAGCTCATTGCCACCCGCAACAAGCCCTGTCTTTCTAGATACTGGGTGGACAGCTAATAGTTTCTGCAAGAGAAAATAATGACAATTCTAATCTTTCATTTGGCATGTTTCTAGGCTATCAAATTTATACCATCTTTCCTACTTGTGTTATATGTATTTATAACATTTATATTATGTTATATATTTATAACATTTATATTATTAAAACATTTATATTATGTTTTTCTCTCATTATCTAGAAACACTTACCTATGTGAACATCTGAAATGTAACTGTGACCCAGAGCGTAAACAGAAAACTTCCCTGAGTCTTTGGAATTATAATTTTGAAAACTGTGATGTAAAATTGATGTATTCTCAGGACTGTGGATTTAGAGTTTGTTGCTTTAATTTATATATTCTACCAATGACTTTGATACCTGACTTTTTATCCCAGTAGATTAGAAGGGAGAACAGTTCTATAGAATGTATACCAAAGAACCTAGAGCGGACAGAGGCGTGCGTGGCATAGTAATTGATGTTGGTAGTGACGACTCAGAATTCTAAACATAACTTTTAAGGCCATCTGCTTAATAACTAGCAGTACGTGCATAGCTTTTCAGAGTGATGATTATCATAAAAGTTATAATCAGCTTGAATGTTGAGAAGATAAATTTTTTCACCGAGAAAATCTATTTATGTGTAATACGTCATTCCCTAATGACCCTGGTTGGATGACATGTGGCTACCACGTATAATTTAGCATCCATCCTTACATAGGAATGTCTATATTTAACGTGACCGATACTTGAACTTTAAACCAGCGTTCGTGTTTAAATCCTTACTTGTATTATTCTTATAATAGCATCTGTTGTATTTTGGTAATCATTATAACTATTTGCTTATTTGGATGTTGTGCCTAATAGATTTTTAAATTCTTTGAGACTTTGCTCACTCGTTTACTCAGCAAATATTTGGGTACCTGTGTGGCAGCCACTGTCCCTCACACTGGGTATATAGTTTTAAACCCATAAGCAAAACAGACATGTTTCCCGGCGTTTAGGGGAGACAGACAATAATCAGTTGTTAATCACACAATGAAAATGTGGTTACAAACAAGGATTAGTATAGGAAAAGTAAATTATAGGGGATCAGTAAGGAGGTGGGAATGAGCAGGAGGACACGTTGAGGCCGGGGGTGGCACAGACTGGGTCGAGGGCCAGGCATGCCCTGCTCCGCGTCACTCAGGGTTTGTGTCAGCTTGGGTAAGGATGTCGGTTCTTATCCAGAAGAACTATGGGAAAACATTGAAGGGTTTGAAGCAGAGGAATAATGTCAGGTGGGCATTTAAAAGAATCATAGATTTTCCCTCCATACTAATATACATGTAGTAAGTAGGTGTTTAAGTGTTTGCATAATTAAACTTAATTTTTGGTGTACATTTTTCTCATATGCCTTAGTGTGTCTTAGTACCTTTAGTATCATCACTCTTTAACCTGGTACTTCCTTTTTTGAAAAATTTTAATTTAAATTTTTTTTTGAGACAAGTCTTGCTCTGTCACCCAGGCTGGAGTGCAGTGATGCGATCTCAGCTCACTGCAACCTTTGCCTCCCAGGTTCCAGCGATTCTCATGTCTCAGCCTCCCAGGTAGCTGGGATTACAGGCGTGTGCTACCACGTCTGGCTAATTTTTTGTATTTTTAGTAGAGACAGGGTTTCACCATGTTGGTCAGGCTTGTCTTGAACTCCTGGCCTCATGTGATCCGTCCACCTTGGCCTCCCAAAGTGCTGGGATTACAGGCTTGAGCCACTGCGCTCGGCCTAACCTGGTATTTGCCGATCTGTTTCCTGTCATGGCACTTACAGAAAATGATAACTTTTGTACTGCACTTGCAGTAGATGAGGCTTGCTGTTAGGGGTGACTTGTCTAGGCACCCAGCTGCCTGAGCCCTGCCCTCATCTCCAGGGCTGAGGGAGCATCGTCTCTGTACTCCTGTGACTCATTCTTAACACAAAGGCTGGGACACTGATTTCAGCAGTAGGAGCTTTATTTAGTTTAATGAACTAAGTTTCTAAGAGAAGGCTTTAAAAAACTACATATGTGTATTATACATAGCACCTGGTTGTTTTTATTTATTATTTTACTTTTCTTCTTCTCGTCCTATTTCAGACAAAACATATATATAATTAAAAACACATTTTAGATCATATTCTACCTGTATTGTTAGAGAATTTGGCTACCATAAGTATTCTGAAATTTTATGTATATTTCAGTAATTGCATTCCAAATCCTAGTGTTATTCATATTTACTTACTTTAAATGAATTTGCAGTGCCAAAAACAGATTATTAATACTGTGGGAAGAAAAATTATGTTTTATTTTTTCTTTGACTTTTAAATTATTAGTAAACTGAAACTTAAAGTTCAAAGCTGTTTCTAAATTAAATATAGTAAACACAACTAAACAATGCTTAACATACATTCATGAAAATGTGTGGTATATTTAACTGTGATGTTTTAGTAAAAGTGCAGTAACTTGATAAGTTCCCTTTGTCTTTTATATTCTCTAGTGTGGCCAGACTCCACTGATGATAGCTGCCGAACAAGGCAATCTGGAAATAGTGAAGGAATTAATTAAGAATGGAGCTAACTGCAATCTGGAAGATTTGGTATATATTAAAATAATTTACTCATCATTTACTCACTTTTTTCTTAGCTATTTTTTTGTTTTTCAGAAGTGATTCAAAAGTAGTAATTAAAACTTTTACATATATTTCAACTTTGCCTAGTGGGCTATATCAGTTTTTTTTAAAAGGAGTAATACAGGAGAGAAATTTTTACTTTCAATGAAGGATCTCAGCTCTTTGGTTTTTTTATATGGATGAGACTGGCTGAATAGAGAGCATGTGTACATATAGTTAAATATCTACCTAGAAGATATCCACATACGAGTCATGTTAAGTAACTCCCCATAATGGTAACTTATTATAAATAATATCATTACATGCGATAATGGCCAGGAATATATGGTCCCTTCTGATATCACTTGTGAGGGGTAAATCAACATTCCACACGGTTACATTTCCTCTGATTCTCCCTGTATTTTTGGAATTGCTTTTGAGGGTCACACAGCTACATCTATTTTGTTTCTTAATTGAATGATCATTTGAATTATATTACAGTTAGGAATTAAAAAATAAAAGAGAATAGTTCTTTATCACATGGTTTCTAAACACATCATATGAGATCTCTGTAGTCTGCTAACCTGTGAATGTGCTTTTAAATCTGATTACAGTCTCTTTAATTCCAATTTATATTACAGTAATGGTGGCTAGCCATGAGGATTAGCTTTGAGGTTTTGATGATCATCTTTTCTCGTTTTTAAAAAGCGCAGTATATGATTAGAAGTTCAGTGAGTAGACTGAACAAGCAGTTGTAAAGCCATGTTTACCCCATTCTTAGTGATGCAAGTGGACAGATAGAATCTTAAGAGAGCTTCAGTATGACTTTAGAGTAGTTTAGTTAGCATGGGTCACACCATGTCAACTTGGTATGATCATTTGGTATGTAAGTTCAAATGTAGTTTTCCTTACTTTGACGTGTTATTTTTGGTTTGAAAATGATAACTTTTAAAATATATGTTCAAGGATAATTGGACAGCACTTATATCTGCATCGAAAGAAGGGCATGTGCACATCGTAGAGGAACTACTGAAATGTGGGGTTAACTTGGAGCACCGTGATATGGTATGGACATTTTTATATGTTCTTAATTAGCTGAAATCTTATTTATAATCATAGATATGTGTGAAATATTTTATTTTTATGTGTGAAATGATATTATAATAATGTTTTTAGAATTTGGGATTGGGCATTGAAATGACCCTCAAGAATGTTTTAAAACCCAGGTGTTGTAATATACCTCTTAGAATATTCTTAGTCATCATTTTTCATTTATTTTGGAGTTTAAAATTCTGACATATTGTTACAAATAACTCATTACTCTTTAATATATCAATGTTTTGGAACTTCTGAGACAGTTGTTTCCTTTAGGTAGGACTTTAGGAGGGACAGCGTATGGTTTTAAAACTATTATCAGGTGTTTGAAGTTATACTTTTCAGAATAATATTTTTAGATTTATTTTTAAAAATGTGATTATTTTCAGACATGCTATCTGTGCATGACAGAAGTTTAACAAGATGTGATCCTTAATTATTACTTAGCTCTTACTTGAGTTTGGCATCTGGTTAAAGCATAAGGTGAAGAGAGAGGTCATTTCTGGCTAATTCTGTAAAATGTTCAGCCCTTTTAAAAGTTGATTTTAACAGTAGAAGGAAGGAAGAAAACGATCTGCTGTGATATATAAAATATTTATTACTTAGCTGATGATGGTTTTTGAAGTACAGACGGTCTGAGTTTTTAAGAAGCCACAGCATTTCACCATTTTGCCCTTAATAGCACATTATAATTTCACAGTAGTTCAACCTGTATAATCTTATATTTGTTCTCAAAACTAAGTGCAATGGGTGGTATCTTTATTTTTATAGGAAGATACAGGGAACCACTGGTATCTTACATATTTCCAAAAAGAACTTAAGTACGTTGCAGTGAAAGTTTAGGGAGAGAAGATAATGATGTCAGTAACTGAGGCAAAGACGGATATGACAGCCGAGAGTGAAATGTGGTTCTTGCCTTGTTGGTACGAAAGGTAGAAGGGAAATGCAGGGAGTTATCGAGTTCTCAATATTTTATTAAAGGTACCTTACCAGATTATCAGATGGGTTAATGACACAGTGGCTATAAAGCACCTAGAGAGGCCAGGGGTGGAATAGGTACCATACCAATAGGTACCATACCAGTTATTCCGTGCCTGGCTTCTTTAGGTGCTTTATAGCTGCTGTGTCATTTAACTGACTTCTCAGAACAATCCTGTGGACTAAGGTTGATTTTATTCTCAATGTATAGTTGAGGAAATTGAGACTGGAAGAAGTGAATCTTTATCCTAAGTCACACAGCTAGTAAGCACTTAGGCTGGGTTTTGAACCAGGTCTCCCTGCTCCAAAGGCTTTCTCCTCTATCATTGTTTTACATAGATCAGCAAGGGAATTAGGAACAATAAAATATACGTTATGAATGTGTAAAAATGTATTAAGATTTGTAAAAACTGATTTCTTAAACTTTTTTGGCTCTTCCTATTTCTTCAAAGTGATGACCAGAAAACCTTTAACATTTAAAGGATCTTTATTAAAGGTTCTTTATTTTGGCTTTAAAACACTGAAAGTTGGGGAAACTGAGGACCATGTCTCTCTTAGTAGCTAGTTTTGTGGGACCTTAACCTCAAAGGATTGGGTGGGTGGGTGGTAGTAACTACCCAAGTAACTACTCAACTTCCCAAGTTGAGGGAAGACAGAGTCCCTGGGACTTGCTTAAGGAGAGGAGAGTGACCACTGAGATCCTGTGGGGCTCAGGAAGAATTCCAGGATTTCATATCAGAAGTCTAGTGAGGACTCTTCCTGTGAGGACTTCTACTGGCACCAAAATGAAGAAAGAGTTCATGAAATATAAAGCTACACTATAGTTAATTGGTCTCAGTCTTTTGCCAATTTAGCTTCATTTTCTTGAGATTAAAATTTTATCTCATAGGTTCTTATGTAGGGGGCCAGAGGGACATTATTCTTTATTTTTTTTTCCCCCTGAGACGGAGTCTCGCTCTGTTGCCCAGTCTGGAGCACAGTGGCACAATCTTGGCTCACTGCAACCTCTGCCTCCCAGGTTCAAGCAATTCTTCTGCCTCAGCCTCCCGAGGAGCTGGGATTACAGGTGCATGCCACCGCACCTGGCTAACTTTTTGTATTTTTAGTAGAGACAGGATTTCACCATGTTGGCCAGGCTGGTCTTAAACTCCTGACCTCAAGTGATCCTCCTGCCTAGGCCTCCCTTTTTTTTTCTTTTTCTTTTTTTTTTTTTGAGACAGGGTCTCTGTCACCCAGGCTGGAGTGCAATGGCACGATCTCAGCTCGGTACAACCTCCATCCCCTGGGCTCAAGCGATCCTCCCATTTCAGCTCCCCCTGTAGCTGGGACTACAGACACACACCACCGTGGCTGGCTAATTTTTGTATTTTTTGTAGAGGCAGGGTTTTGCCATGTTGCCCAGGCTGGTCTTGAACTCCTGAGCTCAAGTGATCTGCCTGCCTCGGCCTCCCAAAGTGCTGGCATTACAGGCATGAGCCACCATGCCTGGCTGGGACATTATTCAAATTGAAGTGAGGACATGATGTTAAAAAGTTCTGGGCAAGTATTTTACAAGTTAAAATACAGATGTAAGACTTGACTTGATCAAATGCCCAGCTCTGTAATTTCACCTAAATTGTGTCTTTTGTGGCCTTGACACTTTAGAGGAGTACTCATCAGTAATTTTAGAATGTTCCTCAGTTTGGATTTGTGGATGTTTCTCGTGTTCAGTTGCAGATGTGCTTTAGAGGGAAGGATGTCCCAGAGGCGATGTGCTTTTCTTGGTGTACCCCCTAGGGGGAACGTGATTTCAGTTTGTATCACTGGTGATGTCAGCCTTCATCTCTTGATTAGGGTGGTGTCTGCCACTGTAAGAGCACTATTTTTCACTTTGTAATTACTAAATATTTGGGGGAAGATACTTTGACACTAAACAAAATATCTTTATTCTGACTAAAACTTTCACCTATTTGATTTAGCATTCATCAGTGAATCTTACTTGCAGCAGTTACTACCATAACTGTGGTGGTGTAATGATGATTTTCTGTTTCCCTCATATGTTGTACATTAATTAGTTAGAATTCTTCTGTAAGGAAGAGTGCCTACTTCCCTTCCCCACACCCTACTCTATCTGTCTATCATCTGTCTGTCCATCCATCCATCCATTCATCCATTCATCTATATATCTATCTATATCTTTCTATTTCAGTATGGACTTATGAATATTTATTCCTTGGGTTATAGCCCAGTACTAATATTACTGCTCAAGTTGTTCCAACTTTATCCATTAGAAGCTCTTTCAGGCTGGCTCTGTGCCCTTTTAAGATGCTCCATACTTAAAAAAAAAATTCCTTAGTAAGATTTGATTACATTGGTCTTTTTTATTGAATCGTATCGTAGTTAAGGAGAAAATTTCTCCTGTAGCTTAGCAAGTAGAACATCATCAAGTGTGGTGTTGATTCATACCTGATGACTTTGCCTACCTCTGGAAATTCTGGTCACAGATGAGATGCCTTAGCATCCTCTCTCTTTTAGCAAGAGGTACTAAAATGATCTGGGATTTAAAGGATGTGTTCAAATGCAGGAGTTGAATATGATTGTTAGAATCTCTCTCTGAATAAAGTTTAAATTCATAGAAAGAAGTGAATATCTAGGAACATAGCAAGTTTTCTGAAGAAATTTTTATTTTTTAAATTTTTTTTTATTTGAGATGGAGTCTCGCACTGTCGCCTGTGCTGGAGTGCAGTGGCGCGATCTTGGCTTACTGCAACCTCTGCCTCCCGGGTTCAAGTGGTTCTCCTGCCTCAGCCTCCCGAATAGTTGGGACTACAGGCACACGCCACCATGCCTGGCTAATTTTTGTATTCTTTTAGTAGAGATGGGGTTTCACCATATTGGCCAGGCTGGTCTCGAACTCCTGAGCTCATGATCTGCCTGCCTTGGCCTCCCACAGTGCTGGGATTACAGGCATGAGCCACCGCACCCAGCCTGAAGAAATATTTTTGGACAGCCAAAATAAATCTTAGAAGTTTGGAAGAGTTCATAATGAATGTTCTCTAATTCAGGTTTCATAATATATTATAAACTTTGGACTAACCATTTGTGGATGCAAGAGATTTGACTTATTTCATGTACTATTGTATTTGGGGAGCCTGGGAATTTAGAACTATATAATACTACCATCATGAAACAATGATTTATAAAGATATTTACTAAAGAAATTTCATTAGTGACATTTTTTATACTCAGAGATGATTTAAAGTTTGATTCCCTTACCCCTACATTTTTTGTTTAGGGAGGATGGACAGCTCTTATGTGGGCATGTTACAAAGGCCGTACTGACGTAGTAGAGTTGCTTCTTTCTCATGGTGCCAATCCAAGTGTCACTGGTCTGGTAAGCATTAACAAAAAAATTTGTTTGTATTATAAGTGGTAAGTTTTCTTAGGGAATACTTAAGGTTGATTATATTTGGCTTCGTGGTGGGTAGAAATATTCTTTATCTTATTAAACGTAACATAGAATATGATTTCAAAACACAGTAATGATAATTTTTTTCTAAAGCTAAGTATTTCTCAATTGTTGTCAGCAAAAAGGCAGCTCTTAGAGCTTAAATGTTAATTATAACTATATAACATTGCAAAAGGAGATTTTGAGATCTTTAGTCATCTTCCTCTTTTCTGTGTGTGAATCCTTAATCTGAACTTAAAGAAAAGAAACATTTACAAAATAATCATACTGTTTTTCTATACATTCTGTTATATATATTTACATTCCTCTTATTTTGCTTTCTTCTTACTAGTATTGCCTGTTGGCCAGATAACCACATTTTAATGTGTTGAATTTATAAAAATAAATGTGTTCATAATATATGTTTACTTAAGATTTATTATATCTTAGTTGCCAATTATGTATTATGAGTATTTTGTCTATTTTTAAAGTGGAGAATGGTTTGTAATCTGATTTAAAAAAAACATTACTTTGTGTTACTTCCTTTGATGTTTACTTTACTTAGCAAATGTGTGTTGTAAATATCTACCTAAAAGATTTTATTTCTCCTTCCCTCCCTCCCTCCTTCCTTTCTTTCTTTCCTTCCTTCCTACTTATCTACCTACCTACCAACCAATCTATCCTAGCAGTACAGTGTTTACCCAATCATTTGGGCAGCAGGGAGAGGCCATGCAGATATAGTTCATCTTTTACTGCAAAATGGTGCTAAAGTCAACTGCTCTGATAAGGTAGGTCAGCAGCATCTTTTCAGGTTCCAGTCCATGTTATGTCCACTCAGTGTCTAAGTTATAAACATTTTTATATGATTTCATGAGGCTTCTCTAATGTATTTTATATTTTTGTATATTAATGTATTTTATATAGATATATATCTCATAGATGGATTCCCTGGGTGTATTATGTAGTAAGTATCCTTCTGATGTTTTCTTATGTCACATTCATCATTCCCAAGAAAACTGACCGGGATAACAGAGTCCCTGTCTTCATTGTTTGAAGTTTTCTATTGTAACTCTCCTTCCTACATTCAGTCCTATCTGCTTTCTCTGTATTGTTGTGTGAGAGATCTTTCTGAAATTGAAGTTTGGTTATGTTTCTCTTGTGCTTAAATTCCTGAAGACCATCTCTGGTATGATGGGTGAAGATGGGCCTTGCCTTCCTTTTTCCCCTTCTCTTACTGCTTGTCCGCCATGGTTCCTTGCATGCCAGCCACTGAATGACCCACGGTCCAGGGCCCTTCACAGTGTGCCCGCCTCTTCCTCCTCAGCTTCACATCATCTCTGAGGCTCTGCCCATTTGCCATCACCTCCAGAAAGCACCCCAGAATGATGTGCTATTCTTTTTTTTTTTTAAATCCTTAACACTTACCTCAATCATTGCATAAATACCTACCTAATTATCTTTTTTTCTTCTTACTTTTGGAAAGCTTCGTTGGCTTTCACTGTTTCGGGATAAAACCCAGGCTTCTCAGTTTGGCTTCAGCCTGTCTTGCAGGCTCACTTCTTGCCATTTCTTTCCATATATGCTGTGTTTTAGATACAACCGATTGTCTAATGTTCTGTGAACGTTGTTTCTGTGTTTATTCTGTTCCCTCTGCTAGGAATGTTATTCCCTCCTCTGCCTGATGAACTCCTGTTTATTTTTCAAGGCTTATTTGAGGTGTTACCTTCTTTGTTAAGTCTCCTTACCCTAGGTGCCCCTTCCTGGGTACTCTGCACATTGCCATTAGGGCACATAACCTATTGCCTTGTAATGATTGATTTCCACATCCTTCTTACCACTAGAGTGTAAGTTTCATGAAGATAAGGACTGCTCTTTTTTTTTTTTTTTCCCATTTTGTACCTCCATTATTTCCAGTAGCGGTCTTAGAATTTGGCACATTGTGGGGATAGTCATAGTCTTTTCACATTTATAGCATTGTAGCTAAATATAGGAAAATAGCTATTACTTAAAGATTTGTTTTTCGTCATTGAAATAGATTCTGTGCATAAATTTCTTTAAGTACAACAGTATTGTTTAACCTTTTGGGGCTGTTGGAAATCATTCATATCTTGATCTGGGCAGTAGTTATGCCAGTGTATACATATGTAAAAAATCATCAAGTAGTACAGTGAAAATTAGTATATTTTTCGCACTTTGTGCATGTTATACCTCTTTTAAAAATATTACACAAAATAATAGCTTAATGAGGAGCGTAGGGAGGCTGTTGTAAATATTTATATTATGATATGGCATTTAAGAATATTGCATTTGTACTGTTGGTTAATTCAGATTGACTGAGGTTTGAGGTATGTCTAAAATGGATACAGTTTTGTCTGTTGATGGAATTTTTGTTTTTTTTTGACAGAGTCTCGCTCTGTCACCTAGGCTGGAGTGCAGTGGCATGATCTTGGCTTACTGCAACCTCTGCCTCCTGGGTTCAAGCGATTCTCCTGTGTCAGCCTTCTGAGTAGCTGGGATTACAGGTGCGTGCCACCACGACTGTCTACTTTTTGTATTTTTAGTAGAGATGGGGTTTCACCATGTTGGCCAGGCTGGTCTCGAACTCCTGAGCTCAGGTGATCCACCCGCCTTGGCCTCCCAAAGTGCTGGGATTACAAGCGTGAGCCACCACGCCCAGCCTGTGATGTAATTTAATTATCATAGAGAAGCCTTTATTTTATCCTTCTTGCCTATAATAAAATGTTTCCATATAGCTTGGCTTTCAAGGCCCTCCAGAATCAGGTAATAATGCTACCTAATCTGTCACTCATTAGCATTTTGAGAAAATGTTTAGTACCCACTATGCAGTGCCCTGTACCTGCACTTAGCACAGAAGATACAAAAACAAAGAAAAAATGATCTCTGTTTAGAGAAGCAGGGAGATAAGTGGGCCATGTAAAATGCAAAGGCCCAGGGTCAGGTGACTTAGGAGTGTGGAGGTGGGAGAATTCACTGATGGCGCAGCAGTCAGTCAAGATTTCATAAAAGAATGCGACTTCCTCTAGACCTTGAAGAAAGGGTAGAGTTTACATCCGTGAGAGAGGAGGAGCAGAGACGAACTGGGCACAGGGAAAATGAGAGCACAAGGTACCAGGGGACGGCTTCAGGTGGCCTGTTGAGCTAGTGTTGAGTGCACCCTCAGTGGTGAGGAGATGGGTGGGAGGAGGAAGCTGGGCTGCAGGTGGAGCTACCTTTGGGTGAGTCTTGGATACTTGGCTGAGGAGCTTGGACATCTGGCCTGTAGACACTCAGAATCACTGGGGGTTTTAAGTAGTGTAGTAGGTGGTTGCAAAGGGGTGTTTTAGAAAAAATTAACGTTTAATAGTACACGGTGGGATTGATTGAAGATTGAGAGTATTTTTATTTCTGACAGAAATAGGGAGGTTTCTATGGGAACTGATTTTTAGAGAAGGGAAAGGAAGTCTGTTTTAGACATGTTGGCCTTGAAGTGGTAGAAACCTGTAGTTGAAGGTGTCCTACTAGATAGCGGACATAGAGATTTGGGTTGCCGGTGATCCAGGGCTTGCCTAGAGGTGATTCTTGAAATGATGTGAATGCGGATTTGGCAGCTGAGATCAGTAGTAACGGAATATGGTGAGCAAAGGGCTGATTATTAGGAATAATAATTATTATTTTCTTAATTATAATACATAATTATTTATATAATTATTATTAATCTCCAGAGCTAGGAGAACTTGGCTATTGTAGCATCAAAGGTGGTGAATGAATCAAAAATTCAATTTGGAAGGGACAGTCAATATAGTTCAAGATACTGCAGAGCTTTCAGGAAGAAAAGAAAGAACTTAGTAAAAGATACATAGGTGGCCGAGTGCAGTGGCTCATGCCTGTAATCCCAGCACTTTGGGAGGCCGAGGCAGGTGGATCACCTGAGGTCAGGAGTTCAAAACCACCCTGGCCAACATGGTAAAACCCCATCTCTACTAAAAATACAAAAATTAGCTGGGCATGGTGGTGGGTGCCTGTAATCCCAGCTACTTGGGAGGCTAAAGCGGGAGAATCACTTGAGCCCAGGAGGTGTGGAGATTGCAGTGAGCTGAGATTGTGCCACTGCACTCCAGTCTGGGCAGCAGAGTGAGACTCCCTCTCAAAGAAAAAAACAAACAAACAAACAAACCAAAAAAAGATACATAGATCTGGAGTTTAGGTAACTATTTGGGTGACCTCTGAAATGGTGGTTTTGTAATGTTTATAGCAGAAACTAGTTTTTTAGGGGGGTTTGGTAAGGGGTTATAAATTATCTTGAAAAGCTTAAAAGAAAGAACAGTGATTATCTTCAGAGGGTAGCCTGTTGGAAAAATTTGTTAGAACAGGAGAGACCCACATGAGAAGGACCTCATTCAGAGACCTATTAGGAAGAGGGAATAAGAAGAAAAGACTGATGATGTGGCAGGAGATTATTGAGTAAGGGCCTGGGTGAAAGAGGACCATAGGGTCAGGAATACACATAAAGGGATTAGATTGAGAAGGGATAGAGACCAGAATTTGAGAGATGAGAGACTTATTGAGGTAGTTCAGACTGTGGCTGCAGAGCTGTTTTGAAGCAGACAGCATGCAAGGTGAGGGAAGGTCTTGCTGGATGTCAGGAATTCTTTGTAATGTTGAAAGTGGGACTGTCTCCCTAATGGGAGTGGGTAAGGACTAGCCGGCTCATGTGCTGAGGCAGGGGAAGGAGCAGAAATCATAGCATATAATCGTGGATAGTTCAGTTGCATCAGAAGGGCAGAAATCCAATACAATAGATATTCAAAGGATGAGAACTCAGTTACAATAAGTATATTTTTAAAAGGCTTTATGAAGGGTGATTTTCTATGTGTATTATGTTTGAAGATATCTAAGATATTGATATTGTAAAGTTAGGAAAGGCATTTTAGCCAGAGTAAGTATTATCCGCAAAAGAGGAGGCTAGAAAAGAGAATTTAGTTCTTTTTAGTGGAGAAAACCACAGATGCAGGAATGAAGTTGGGAATCTCCTCCTGTATTTCTTTTTTTTTTTCTTTTTGAGACAGAGTCTTGCTCTGTTACCCAGGCTGGAGTGTGGTGGCATGAACACGGCTCATTGCGACCTCCACCTCTTAGGTTTAAGTGATCGTCCTGCATCAGCCTCCCCGGTAGCTGGGACTACAGGCATATACCACCACGCCTGGCTAATTTTTTTGTATTTTTAGTAGAGATAGGATTTCACCATGTTGGCCAGGCTGGTCTTAAACTCCTGACCTCAGGTGATCCACCTGGCTTAGCCTCCCAAAGTGCTGGGATTACAGGCGTGAGCCACAGTGCCTGCTCATCCTGTATTTCTTATTCGTTCTTCCTAAGCCTGCTTTGAGGCGGTGGCTGTGGCAGCTGCTTTCCCTCCATTCTCTTCCTCGTTTTGTGAGGTGCTGGCTCCCATGTGCTGTATTGGCAACCTTGTGATTCTGTCTGTCATGGAGTCTTCATCCATCTGGGAAGCCTGTCCAGGGCTCCAGCCCTCAACAGTGTGGTTGGTTGCTGTGGTGCCTGACATGATTTATAGAGCGACTCTGCTCAGTACAGTAGCCACTAGCACAGGACTACTTAGACTTACATTAATTAAAATGAAATGAAAAAGAAAAGAACTCAGTTCATCAGTCACAGTAGCCACATAGCATTCAAGTGCTTAATCGTCATTATTTGACTAGTGACTACTGTATCTCACAGCACAGAATTATAGAGTATTTCCATCAACACAGAAAGTTCTACTGGACAGGGCTGTCACAGAGAGTAGATTAAATTAAATTATCTGTGGGCTCCATGTACTGAAAGGTCACTGTGGACATTCATGTGTCTGCTGATCGCTAGCCTCCCCAGAGGCAGGCAATGTGGCTAATGCATGATTTATATTCCTGGATGCCTTTTGAATCATGTTTCAGGGAAAGGTGCTTTTGAGTGCAGTTTCAAGGGCTCATGGGTCTTGTCCCACCTCTTGATAGCTTTGTGACCTTTGCCTATGAATTAACCTCTTAGGGCCTCAGTGTCCTCATCTGTGAAAATGTGATACTGTGAATTGTTCTTACGATAAGGATCACACACGTAGACCCATGTAAAGTGGTTAGGCCACTTTAGTTTGTTTGGCACTTGGTTGTTACTATTCCTGCCTACAGTCAGACTGCTGGACTTTAAATTCTGTTTCATAAGATATGGGAAGCGATGAAAGCTTGTTGAAAATTTGGGGCTATGTTACCTTATGATGGAAACATTGTCACTCATTATAATAGTTAAATAAGAGCCTGGCACAGTGGTTCATGTCTGTAATCCCAGCACTTGGGGAGGCTGAGGTAGGCAGATCACTTGAGGTCAGGAGTTCAAGACCAGCCTGGCCAACATGGCAAAACCCGTCTCTACTGAAAATACGAAAAAATGAGCCATTTGTGGTGGTGCATACCTGTAATTCCAGCTACTCAGGAGGCTGAGGCAGGAGAATTGCTTGAGCCGGGAGGCAGAGATTGCAGTGAGCCAAGATTGCACTACTGCATTCCAGCCTGGGTGACAGAGTGAGACTCTGTCTCAAGAAAAGGTTAAATAAGGTTGGTTAAAAGACATTTCATGGACTGGTTAATCTACTCAGGAGAAATAAAATGGGAGAAATAGGATTTATCTAAGATTACAATTACGATAAATGTATACAGTTTTATGAGAATGATAAAAAGTAAGATTTTTATTAAAATTCATGTTAAGAGCTAGTTTCTTTGAGTATACTTTTTATAATAATTTTAAATTTATTGTTTGTTTTAATAGTATGGAACCACCCCTTTAGTTTGGGCTGCACGAAAGGGTCATTTGGAATGTGTGAAACATTTATTGGCCATGGGAGCTGATGTGGATCAAGAAGGAGCTGTAAGTATCTTATATTTTAATGCTTGGCAATAGAAACATGTTTTTTATTTTAAGAGAGAGAATTTATTTCTTTAGTGTATGCCTAGAGAAATTTCCCTCTAGTTCTAAAATGATAGTAACAGGAAAACAAGCATTTCCTGTTACTCTAAGAATGTTATATTATAAACATATATACTATAAATAGATGCTTTTAAGGATCTGTTGCTAATGCACACACAACTGGGGAGGCTAAAAGTATAAAGAATAGCTTTCAGTGATCCTAGTGTGATATATAGAGAGTTATGTGTCGCTTAATGACAGGGATACGTTCTAAGAAATGTGTCATCGGTGATTTTGCCATTGTGGGAACATCATAGAGTGCACTTACACACATCTGGCTGGTATAGCCTACTCCGTTCCTAGGCTCTATGGTATGGCCTGTTGCTTCTAGGCCTGTGCAGTGTGTTACCGTACTGAATACTGCAGGCAGTTGGGAGACAATGGTATTTCTTTATCTAAACATACCTAAACACAGAAAAAGTACAATGAAAGTCCAGTATCATAATCTTATGGAACTTATGTCATATATGCCATCTGTCATTAATCAAAATGTGCTGTGCATATTTTGGTTTTTGTCCGTGGTTCCTGGCTGACTGCTCCTATAACCTGTGTAATTTCATAAGTGACTACAGCAATAAGAGTATCTTTGGTTATATTTGGCCTTTTGTCCTGGGTTCTTGAAACAGCTCTGGATCAGTTCCAGAGTGATAAAGATGAAATATAGTCTTTTGTTACTTATCATAAGCCCCTTTTAACCACACTTGAGCTTATGTTAATGAGGTTATTTTTGGAAAGTTTCTAGATAACCCCACTGGTTGAGGTGCTGGTTGCCAGGGACACCAACCATGTGCTCAGAGGGTTGGAACTCACAGCCCTAACCCACCACCTCTGGGGAGGGGAGAGGAGCTAAAGATTGCATTGATCATCATTGACCAATGATTTAATAAATCATGCCTTCATAATGAAGCCCACATAAAAACCCAAAAGGACTGAGTTCAGGGGGCTTCCAGGAAGATGGCCAAGAACACATCCCCGTACTGGGAGGGTGGCATAGCGCAGCTCCATGGGGACAGAAGCTCCTGTGCTCAGGACCCTTTCAGACCTCATCCTATGTGTATCTTCATCTGCCTGCTCATTTCTATCCTTTAAAATATCCCTTATGGAAACTGGTAAATAGTACTTCCCTGAACTGTGTGAACTGCTCTAGCAAATCAATCAAAGCCAAGGAGGGGGTTGTGGGAGCTCCAATTTACAGCCAGTCAGACAACCTGAGCTTTCATTGGCATGGGAAGCGGGGGCAGTCTTGGGCACCGAACACTTGCCTGTGGGGTCTGATGCTACCTCCAGGTAGGTAGTGTCAGAATTGAGTTGGAGAATACCCAGCTGGTGTCTGCTGCAGAATTGATTGCTTGATGGATGTGGAAAAACCCCACACATCTGGTCATAGAAGTATTTAGTGTTGTAAGAATTTATGTGAAATGGAGTTTGTTTTTTCCTATACGTAGTACAAATTGTTTAATAAACTGTTCAAATCAAATGGTTTTTAATATTGGGGAAAACATTGTGCTGCATTAAAATATTTTTCTTATAAAATTTAAAGTAATATTGTAATTTTTGGGATATTTTTAGCTGTGCCTTATTTTCCCTCTTCAATGAACAGATTTTTAAAAATCAGAAATCAGCTGTCAGAAGCCAGAAAGCTTAAAAACTGGTTAGATACATCTTACTGATTAGCAATTTTTAATTCCTCATTCCCCAGCCTGTGCCAGTTGTGTTGGAGAGGTGAAGAAGCCTGATATCACTTTTCCCTTGAGCCTATAAGAATATGGTTAAAAGAAACAATATTTATGCATAAGAAACAGTTAAAATAATACAGACTGCTATTTATAGAATTAGTATGTTACATGAGTGGATCATAAAGGATTCTGAGAAGAGACAGTACCAGATCTTGGGTCATAGTGAAACAAGAGTAAACTCTTTATGTCATACTTTTTGGCACACTATCAACCAGTTCCTCCTGTTTGCATACTGGCAGGAGCTGACTCATTGCAAACCTTCAAGGCGTAGGCCCTGTTTTTGTGCTGGTGGAGGCAGCATAGTCCGTAGGCAGCTGCAGATGACATACCTTCCACCTGCCTCCTCTGGACAGTTGGTCAAGTGAACAAGTGGCTTGTTTCTGTGATGATTGATGGCTCAAGAATTTGAAAAGGCTGTGTTATTTTAATATGTGGGAGAATGACAGCTCAATTTTGGGGGCTGACCCAAAATATTTCTATAGGGAAATTGTATGACAGCTTGAAGTAGATGAACATCTCAAGAAGCAGTTTTAATACTACTTCTGGTAGTGAGTCACATTCTTCTCTTAGTTGATTTATTGTTTGTTTATTTAGAGACAGAGTCTCATATGTTGCCTAGGCTGGTCTTGAACTCCTGGCCTCAAATGATCCTCCTGCCTTGGCCTCCTTAAGCTTTGGGATTATAGGTGTGGGTCATCGTACCTGGCCTGATTTATTGTTATAAAATAGATGTGCAATTTTTAAAAGAATTACTTAAAATAAGACAGGTTTTGAAAATGTAGTTTCTAGGTTACTATGAAAGCCAAACAGTATATTACACTTTTCTTGAAATAGCTCATGGCTATTAATTCATTGTTTACTTTAGTGTTTTTTATGGGTTTTATTATAAAGAATTCTTGAAGTCTGATTCACCTGACTTTGGATTATTTAATTTAGAATGTGTTTATATATAAACACATTCTATATAGGTGTTAAAATAGTCACCCTGCCAACTATTTTATCCTTCATTACTGAGTTAGTTTATTGTAAATGAGTCCAATTTCAGATTATCATTTAAATAACTGAACTTCATAATAGCTCTAATGACTGAAGATCATTAATGTATTTTCAAAAACAAAAGATACCTCCTAGCCATTTTTGGTATGTTTCTTGCTATTTATTTTGGCATTTTACTATTGGAAATGACAATAATAGGCCACCTATTTGAAAACATTAGTTTTATGATTATGGCATAAATCATATATTTTCTAGAATACATTAATTTCTTGGGCTTGCGTTTTGTTTTGTTTTTGTTGTTGTTGTTTTTAGAATTCAATGACTGCACTTATTGTGGCAGTGAAAGGAGGTTACACACAGTCAGTAAAAGAAATTTTGAAGAGGAATCCAAATGTAAACTTAACAGATAAAGATGGAAATACAGCTTTGATGATTGCATCAAAGGAGGGACATACGGAGATTGTGCAGGATCTGCTCGACGCTGGAACATATGTGAACATACCTGACAGGGTAGGTCATCTATTTCACATTTGTCTCCTAGTGGTGAAGTGGATGAAAGGTGACCTTAGTGTCTTATTACCTTTCAAGATTCTCATGCATGACATAAACTTGTTTTAAAATAAGTTTATTTCTGCCTTTGAAACTAGTAAGTTAAAAACTGTTCAATAGTTCTGAAAAATGTCCTTTTTAATTTTTGTCAAATAATGTTGTTATTGAAAATGTCACATGTGCTATTAGTCTGTGACTGACCTTGATGTGTCACTGTAGGTGTGCTTTCTTGTGCCCTAACTTCTTTGAGCTCACACTTACTGATCCACCTCTACCTGAACGCTCCACTTGAATGTCTAATTGGCCTCTTAAACTTACAATAAAACAGATGCCTTGCTTTTTTCACCCCAAACCTGCTTTCCCTCATTCTCCATCTCAGCAAGTGGTACCATCATTCAGCCTCTTGTTGAAGCCCCAAATCCTGTGCATTAGCCTTGATTTCTCTCTTTTCCTCATCTGCCCTCCAGCAGGCTTTGTTGACTTTACTCCAAAACAAATCCTTTATCTGTCCACTTGTCTTCATTCCACTATCACTTCCCAGCTGAAGCCACTGTCTCTGGTGGTGCTACTGTCAAAGCAGTAGCTTTGCAACTGGGTTCTCCACTCTGATCTTGGAGTGATCTTTAAAACAATAAATCTCGTGTGTACTTCTTTGTTTAAAGTCATCCAAGACTTCCTGTTGCACTGAGGATGAATGTTATCTTTTTAGTTATAGACATGACATGACATTGTCTTTGCCCAACCTCTCTCCCCACTTTGTACCCCTCTTCTGCCAGTTTTCATAGCCTGCAGCCATGTTTGCTTCTTTCCCTTTCTTGAATGCACTGAGCTTGTTCCTGCTGTGGGGCCTTTGCAGCAGCTGTGCTCTTAGTCTGGAATGCTGATCTTGGCTCCTTCTTGTCATTCTCACCTCAGCTTCAAGGTTTCCTCCTCGGGAAGGTCTTCAACTACTTAATCCGAAGTAGTTACGTGATCACTTTTTTTGAGACAGGGTGTTATTCTGTTACCCAGGCTGGAGTGCAGTGGTGTGATCACAGCTCACTGTGGCCTCAACTTCCTAGACTCAAGCGATCCTCCTTGCCTTAGCCTCCCAAGTAGCTGGGACTACAGGTGCATGCCACCACGCCTGGCTAATTCTTGTTTTGTTTTGAGAGACAGGGTCTCACTATGTTGACCAGGCTGGTCTCGAACTCCTGGCCTCAAGTGATTTCTCCTGCCTTGGCCTCTTAAAGTGGTGAGATTACAGGCATAAGCCATCATGCCCTGCCTACCTGGTAGTCACTTTCTAGAACATTACCTTATTTTATTTGCATAGTGTTTGTATGATTTTTTGTTTATTGTATGTTGTCTTCTCTGCCAGGCTGTAAATTCTTCCAGAGGTAGGACCGCGTCTGTCTTGTTTCCTAGTACCTAGAATGGTGGATGGCACATTTAAGAAGTTTACTAGTCTGCACCCATGTTAATGCCAATGTTCCCAACTAAAATTTGTCTGCCTTTGGTTTATTTCTGCTATAAATGTGGTAGTTAACACACTACAGCATGGTGCTGAACTTAATAACCCTTAAGGACCTGCATCCTGATTTATTTCATAGTACTTTTAAGGTCCACTCAGGATTGAATTGAGCTGCAGCCCATGGGCTCATTCAACACAAAAGACTACAACTGATTTTTAAGTTAGCAGTAAATAATAAAATATTTATGCCCATTTCCAAAATAGCTGTTTCCAGTATTTTAAGTATAGGTAGATATAACTAAAAATGATTGCTGCTTGGTGAATATAGTTTCAGGGGAGAGCAATGTCCTCATGAGGTTGTGAACTTAGTCTTATGCTGGGGAATGAGTCAGTCTTAATGTACTACTGGCCTGTAACTGTCAAATCCACTAGGTTTTCATGGATGCTGCTCGGGGAACTTTCTCCCTTAATTGAATGTGGCTGTAGATTCACTGATAGTTTTAGCTTTATAGCTCCGTTTTTTTAGAATTCATGGCTTTCGTCATATAGCATTATTCCAAGATATTTTTACTATATGATTTTAAAATGTTCATTTGGTTCATTGACAGCCACAACGTCATTGTATTTAATTTACATTTGTAATAGGCGGTTACCTTCAAAGAGAATAGATTATTGTTCTGGGTAACTGGTCTTTCTAAACTTTGTTTAGGAATTTCAGAGTCCTCATTTTGGGGCATAAAGTCCTCTGTCCCTTACTCTGATATCTGTTAATATCAGATATTCATATTAGTTAAGTAACATTTTTCTCTTATTTAGAGGTAGACTTTTTCCAAGAAATTTTTAGAAAAAAATATGAAAACATGATTAACTGTAACTTAAAAAGAGTGCTTATTTGTTGTCAATTTACCTTGTTTTTGTTTTTATTTTCTGTCTTCTTAGAGTGGGGATACTGTGTTGATTGGCGCTGTCAGAGGTGGTCATGTTGAAATTGTTCGAGCGCTTCTCCAAAAATATGCTGATATAGACATTAGAGGACAGGTATGTGTGATTACAGTGCAGTTGCTATCTTAGAGTATAATTGCATGTAAGTGTTGACTGATCATAATGTTATTCTTCCCACTTTCCTATGGAGATAAACTTGTAAACCCTAGTACATTTAACAGACGTATATTATTACTAAGTTTCACTGCCATTATTGTAAAATTTCTATATTAATGTCGAGTTAAATGTAGATAGAGGTAAACCAAAAAAGCTCATGTTTTTAGAATATACTGTCCTTACTAATGGGTATATATAGATTCAATCCTCAGAACTATAATGAGTAGTTAGTGATACTGAGAGAGTCGGTGACACTTTGAATATCTGGTACTTATTTATTTTTTTTAGTGTTTTCTCCCTGTTTTGTCTTCTTCCTCCATCTGCTGTTCTTCTACTGTTGTTGTTTTATTTTCTTCTCCCTTTTCCCCACTGTGCCTGCCTTTCCTAGGACCACTTGGTAGTGCCTATGGACATTGCTTAAGGCAATCATAGTTCATAGAACCACAAAGATTATTAATTTTAGATAAAAGCCTTGCCCACAGTTGTGAATTTATCAAATACTTCAAGAGCTTTAGACTTTAGAAAAAGTTCTTGGCGTCTTCATTTTGTTGTTGGACAGTCTACATTTCTGCTCAGTTTTTTCTTGTATTTGGCCAAAAATCTCTTGTATCAAAATCCATTTTTGAATCAAACTATAACTATTATGCCAAATGTTATGGGGGAATTAACATGGGCCCCTTGTCTTTAAGACACATGTATTTTAATTTGAGAGATTTTAGTTTGTTTATTTTTATGCTTTTAACATAAAAAGTGAAGCCACAAGATGGTATATGATTGATTGCCTAGCAAAAGGTTCAAGTATGAGTCTTGAGGTAGGGAAAGAAGGCCTTAAGGTCTGGGGCTTTTGGAAGAAGGTAGAACTTGAGCTAAGTTTGAAGATGAGTTGGATTTAGGTAGGTGAAGAGCCTGGCCGGGTTGCTGATGCCTGTAATCCCAGCACTTTGGGGAGGCTGAGGTGGGAAGATCCCTTGAGCCCAGGAGTTTGAGGTTATAGTGAGCTGTGACTGTGCCATTGCACTCTAGCCTGGGTGACAGAGTAAGACCTTGTCTCTTAAAAAAAAAAAAATAGAAAAGGAAAGCTGGGTGTTTCAGGCAAGGGGAGTTGTAATAGGATGAGAAAATTAGAGAAAATTAGAAAGTGAAAGACCGCATTTCATAGCTAGTGAATGAATCATTTGGCATTGGGCAGTGGGATGGTAGGCATGGTGGTGGGGATGGTGGGGAGAGGTGGAGAAATGAAATGGGAGGCGGGTAGGGCCTGGGAAGTTTGAGTTGGGCAGCTAGTGTACATTTTTTAGAAGAGAAACTGTTGAGGAAATTTTGGTATTAGGAACTTAATGTGGCTGCTGCAAAAGTCATTCATTATCTCCTGGGTTAAAATCACATTGCCACTAAAGATGGGTTCTAGGCCACCTACTTGGACTTTTACCTAACTTCCTTGCGTCTGTGAGTCCTCTTCTGTGTTTGAGTTCGTTTTTTTGTTGTTCTCTAGCTCTACTTTCAAGGTCTGTGTGGATTGATTTTTGGGTTTTGAGCTAGATAAGATTTTAAAGATCTGATCAAGGCAGTTATAGGGGTATGGGATGGATGGAAATTAAGAAAGCTAAAAATGATAATGCCTTATATTTGTGAAGTACATTTTCGTGCATTATCTTTTGAAAAATTGGGCAATACTTACAGCATGTTACAGATGAAAATCTAAGGGTCAGAATAGCCAAGTGACATGTCTGAGTTTACAGGGTTCAGGTACTGATGACTCCTAACCCAGTGTGTGTTCCTGAAATCTGATTACATTACAAAAGTGTAGTTTATTAACTATGTGGGATTGCTACTTTTTAGGTTAAGTAATACGAAGTTTTCCTAGGCTTCTTTCACAAAGAATTTCTCAAAAGTAACTCCAAGATAGCATAAGGATTAATAGTATTTCCTACCATGCTGCCTGTTGGAATGCTTTCTGACAGAAATGTTTTGTATTTATAAGTAGCAGTTTTAAATATTGTATCTTACATGAAGTGATTGTGTTTTTTTTAATTATCTAGGATAATAAAACTGCTTTGTATTGGGCTGTTGAGAAAGGAAATGCAACAATGGTGAGAGATATCTTACAGTGCAATCCTGACACTGAAATATGCACAAAGGTATAAATGGCATTTCTATTCTGTTAGCAGCACCTTATGCTGAATGTTAGTACTGCTCATTTTATTTCAGTCGTCTTTGTTTGATGTTAGAGTTACACTGATTTTACTGGTAATATTCTCTATCACATTGAGGAGTAACTTTGTATCCTTTCAGGATTTGTGTATTCATAGCAAAATACAGTGTGTTGTTACTTCAATTAAATACTTCTCAGGAAGTGCAATATCAGCCATTCATAAATTGTTATTATTTGGACAGCTCATCTCTCCCAAATTCATTTATGCCACTGTTATCTGAACACATTCCTTTGTGGGGAGATGGCGTG